>NC_000004.12:88921381-89224411 GCF_000001405.40 Homo sapiens | reverse complement strand
CATTAAATCTTCCAAAAGACAAGAATCAGCAGCCCTGTGTTCCCATTTGTAATCTTTTCTTTCTTAAAGATAACTTTCTGCTTTAAATATCATAGTACCATTGTTGGAAAACAATTGTTTTTGCCCAACATGAAAACTTAATTTAGGAAGACACTCAGGATTTTATGTTAAAGACTCCATACAGTATAAATCCATTTTTTATAAAGCTCAAAAAGAAGCAAAACAAAACAATGTGTTATTTAGGAATACATGGTGGAAACAATTTTTTAAATGCAAAGGAATAATGACCTTAAAATTTGACCTAGTGCTGGCTGGGCGTGGTGGCTCATGCCTGTAATCCCAGCACTTTGGGAGGTCAAGGCTGGCGGATCACCTGAGGTCAGGAGTTTGAGACCAGCTTGACCAACATGGAGAAATCTCTACTAAAAATACAAAATCAGCCAGGCGTGGTGGCGCATGCCTGTAGTCCCAGCTACTTGGGAGGCTGAGACAGGAGAATTGCTTGAACGCAGGAGGCAGAGGTTGCGGTGAGCTGAGATCGTGCCATTGCACTCCAGCAATGGCAATAAGAGCAAAATTCCATCTCCAAAAAAAAAAAAAAATTGAAATAGCACTTCCATCCTGGAGGTAAAAAGGAGATAAATAAGCAAATAACCCAATTTACAAATGGGTAAAGGAGTTGAACAGACATTTAGCCAAATGACCTGTGCCAATAAATTATACCAATAAGCCAATTGTCACATGAAAATATACTCCACATCATTATTCATTAGGGAAGTACAAAATCAAAACCACAATGAGATACCTTTTTTTTAACCCATTAAGATAAGCATAATAAAAAGCCATGCAATAACAGGTCTTGCCATAGATGTGGAGAAACTGGAAACTCATACGTTGCTGGTGAGAATATAAAATAGCACAGCCATTTCAGTAAACAGCTTGTCAATTTCTTTAAAAAGTTAAACATTGACTTACCATATGACCTAGCAATTTCACTCTTTTTTTTTTTTTTTTTTTTTTTTTTTTGAGACCGAGTCTCAATCTGTTGCCCAGGCTAGAGTGCAGTGGCGTGATCTCAGCTCACTGCAATCTCCACCTCCCAGGTTCAAACGATTCTCGTGTCTCAGCCAAGTAGCTGGGACTACAGGCATGAGCCACCATGCCCAGCTAACTTTTGTTTTTTTGGTAGAGATGGGGTTTCACCATGTTGGCCAGGCTGGTCTCGAACTCCTGAACTCAGGTGATCCACCTGCCTCAGCCTCCCAAAGTGCTGGGATTACAGGCGTGAGCCACCATGCCCAGCCAGAAATTTCACTCTTCAGTGTCATAAAAACTTGCACACAAATATTCATGGGAGTATTATTCACATTGGTCAAAACCTGGAAATAACCGCAATATCCATTAATGAGTGAACAGATAAAATATGATCTAGCCACAGAATAGAGAATTATTCAGCAATGAAAAGGAATGAAGTGCTGATATACAGCATGGATGGACCTCAAAACATTCTTGATGAAAGAAGCCAGACACAAGAGAACACCCACTGTATGATTTTATTTAAATGAAATGTCCCGGAAAGATAAAAACCGTATATAGAGACAGAAAGTAGATTAGTGGCTGCCTAGGACTGGAGGTGGAAATCGGGAGTAACTGTAAATGGACACAAATGACTTTTTTTTGAATAATGGAAATGTTCTAAAACTAGATTGTGATGATTGTACAACTCTGTAAATATACTAAAATTCACTGAATTGTATGCTTAAAATGGGTGAACTTTATGGTATGTAAATAACACCTCAATAAAACTTTTTTAAAAACATAACAGTTTCTAACTTTTTCCACTTTAACATTTTAATCACCTACCCACATTACTCAAAATTCTTATGAAATGTTTCTTAGTTGAAGAAACACATAACTATGCTGTTCATCTCCTTCTAGTTTGCATAACTGTCAGGTGGAAAGGAGAGACTTAATTACCCACAAATTACTCTCATTATCATCCCTACCAATTTAAACAACCACAGTGTGCTTATGAGTAATGTCACTAAAAATGTGCTAGTTTGCAGTCCCACCGATGACAGGAAATAGTGATGACTAGTGACCTGTGCACCATTGTCCTTGATCACATGGGCACCTCTAGCTTGCAGCCCTGCCTATGCCTTAGGTCATACCACAATATATCCACCGTTTTTAATCTTTACATCAAAGAATGGAAGTTGGCCCTAGCTCTTTCATTTAAAAAAAATCAGAAAAACAAACACTATATGGTATCACTTATATAGGGAACCTAAAAAAGGTAAACACATAGAAATAGAAAGTAGCATGGTGTTTGCCAGGGGTAAGGGAGTGGGGGAAATAAGGAGATATTGGTCAAAGTGTATAAACTTTCAGTTATAAGATGAGTACATTCTGGGGATCTAAATCTAATATACGAGTAAGTTCTAGGGATCTAAATTTAATATACAATATGGTGACTGGAGTTAACAATACTGTGTTTTTACTTGAAATTTTCTAAGAGAGATCTTAAATGTTCTTACCACAAATAAAGGTTAAGAAAACCTTTCTTAATCAATCAATTTTTCCTGGCTGTCTTTTAAAAATATATAAATAGATAGTCCACCTGTAGAACAAGATGGAAAAGTAGATGAACATGGTTGAATGTCATCAAATCCTACAAGAACAAAGAAGATCAACTTGGAGAACTTGGCCAGGTTTAAGATTTTTCTATCATGTATATTTCCCCAGAAACTCAGGTGCCTGTTTCTGACATAGCTGTTTTTAATGGAGACATGCTCTTTAAATGTATGTCTAGTGTACTATTGTTCTATGGGTTTATGGGTGTTTGTTCATTTTTTAAAATAGGCTATTTGGAAAGCCTTTTAGAAAGAAGGCCCTTGATGAAAATGCCTTTGTTTATCCCTTTTTTATAGAGCCCATTATCATCAGTTCTTTCTACCCTGCAAAATAAAAAAGTTGTTTGGGGAAACACAGCACAGACTGGCATATTTTTCTCCAATCAGTAGTGTGATGCAATGAGGAGAAAGCTAGAAGGCCAAGGCAGAAAAGCCACTGGAGTGCATTAGCACTGAAATGCTCACAGCCTAGTTTTCTATTACTGGTGGTGCAGCAGGAAAAAGCAACAGTGCAGCAAGGGCACAAAATGAATTCTTTTCCTCTTTATTTATCGCTTTCTATTCAACCTGACAGAGCTGACTGGCAGGAAAGAAAACAGCACTCCCGAGAGAGAATTCTCCACTTGCTGATAGGGTAATTTAGATTGAATAAGTGTTATTGATCATCTTCTATGTATCCTGGACTGTATTAGTTTTCAGTATTAGGTAGTTCCCCTTCTCTCAAATATCCTCCTCTTCCATCTTTTAATAAAATTCCATTTCTTGGAGCCTGGAACAGAGAAAAAGAATATTAGTGGAAAAATGGAGAAATTTGAATAAAACCTATAATTTAGTGATAGTGTTGTAACAATATTAATTTTCTAGTTGTGCCAAGGATATATAAGATGAGGGGGAAATTGGGTGAAGGATGGACATAAGTTCTATGTGTATTGTTTGCAAATTTAGGGGGAAAATCATAACCCTCTACATTTGTGGCTGGAACACAGACTTCTGTTACAAAAGACCGATTAACAAGAGAAAAACAAACAGAAGTTTATTAACATGTATATTTCATATAAACATGGAAGACACCCAGAGAATTAGTAGTGCTCGAAGAGTTGGCTTTGAATTCTGGCTTATATGGCATTTTCAATTCTAAGAGAAGTAACAACACAAAAGAAAATAACTCTGAGTTTCTATGGACAGCCAAGTGGGGAAAGGTAAATATATGGCAGATAAAGACTAGTGAGTAAAGCTTGCTAACATAAATTCCTCTGGTATCATCTCCAAGCAGATGAGGGTCTAAAGCTTTCTTCAGGGGTTAACCTTTGTTCTTGCTCTAGGGGAGAACAAAGGGTAGGGGCAGAATACCTTTTGTGTTTATAAATCTATGTCCTGCTTTCAGGCAAATAGAGGGAGGGCAGAGAGCTCTGCTGTATCTGTTTCTTCTTAAATGCCTTCAGCTCAACAGTCCTTAATGCTATGGTAAGGCATATTCTGGTCTCCCACACAAGTCTTCTGTAAATCCAAATATACAGCCATGTGTCATTTAATGCTGGGATACATTCTGAGAAATGCATCCTTAGGCAATTTTATCATTGTGCAAACATCATAGAGCTCACTTACATAAATCCAGAAGGTATCGCCTCCTGCACACCTAGGCTATATGGTATAGCCCAGCAGTCCCCAAACTTTTTGACACCAGGGACCAGTTTCATGGAAGACAATTTTTCCATGGATGGGAGTAGGGGGTGGGAATGGTCTTGGGATGAAACTGTTTGACCTCAGAACATCTGGCATTGTTAGATTCTCATAAGAAGCGTGTGACCTACCTAGGTCCCTCGCATACACAATTCACAATAGGGTTAGCGCTCCTATGAGAATTTAATGCTGCCGTTGACCTGAAACAGGAGGTGGAGCTCAGGTGGTAATGCTGCTTGCCCACTGCTCACCGACTGCTGTGCGGCCCAGTACTTGTACTGGTCTATGGTCCAGGAGTTGAGGACCCCTGGTATAGCCTATTACTCCTAGGCTACAAACCCGCATGGCATGTTACTGTACTGAAAACTGTAGGCAATTGAAATACAATGGTAAGTATTTGTGCATTTAAACATAGAAAAGGTATAGTAAAAATATGGTATTATAATCTTATGGGTATAGCATTTATGTGGTCCATTATTGACCAAAATGTCTTTATGCAGAATATGACTGTAATAAATACTTTCTAAAGAAAAAATTTCAGGAGAGTTAATAAACTCAGAACAACGGGAAAAATTACTCCTCATGTTAGACTTATTAACTGACATTACCTTCCCCATGCTGTCTGCTTCTACACCCTTGGTTAGAACTAAAATTTTATAGTACATTCTCTGATGGACTTTTTAAATTTTGTGTAGCACATTCTAAATCTTATCACTATAAGTTTAATCTCACCTATTAGGTGGCATTTGTATATGTTTAATCTCACCTATTAGGAAGGCAGAATGGGTTAGAACCAGAAAAATATGAGTTTAAATCCTAGTTCTACCAACCTAGGTCAAATGACTTACTTTCCCTAAGCCTTGGACACTAAAAACAGTGAGGATAGTAAGTTAACCATAAGTTATTGGGAAGATTAGATGACACACACACATAAAGATCTTTGGACAATATCTGGCACAGAGTTGATGCTCAAAATATGTATTCTATTGCGGTTCCCATTACCATTATCATTAGCTAAGTTTCTTGGCACAGGGACATTCTTGCTGAAGTTCACAGAAACTTGAAATGTGAATGCTCAAAAATGGGTTAGTGAAGTGAAGTGGTTTCAGAGTATGGCTTTGCAGGTTTATATGTTTGTCAAACATTCTCATTTTACCAGTATTCTGCTCTAAATTAGTGTTGTCCTTGTTATATAATTTTCAACTCTCAAAAGTACATATTTATATTCTATCTAGCCCATCCCTTTGAAGTTTCTTGTCAACCTACAGCAAATAAATGACGTTTTTTTCTACAAAGATACTGAGTAAATATTAAATGTTTCCCTTTTCTATTTCTCTCTGTGAGGCAGGACCTTACCTCCCATTGCCAGCTCACTAGCTTGGGTCCCATTCCTGGACTTGTCAGTACCTTTTCAAGGTGACCCTGCTGAAAACCCACAGTGCTTGCACAACTTTGTTAATATCTTCTGTATTAGTCTGTTCTCACATTGCTATAAAGAAATACCTGAGACTGGGTAATTTATAAAGAAAAGAGGTTTAATTGGCTCACAGTTCCACAGGTTGTACAAGAAGCATAATGCTGACATCTGCTCAGCTTCCAGGAAGGCCTCAGGAAACTTAGAATTATGGGGGAAGGCAAAGGGGAAACACGACTCTTACATGGCAAGCTCAAGAGCAGGTGCGGGGAGGTACTACACACTTGTAAATGACCAGATCGCATGAGAACTCACCATCGCAAGGATGACAACACCAAAAGGATGGTGCTAAACCATTCATGACAAATATACCCAATGATCCAATCACCTCCCACCCGGCCCCACCTCCAACACTGGGAATTACAATTTGACATAAGATTTGGTGGGGACGCAGATCTGAACCATATCATCTTCATTCCAAAATTAATAAAACACACTTTATTTATTCCAACCTTATTTTTTATGTCTAAGTGCTTTGGAGCTAAAAAAAAAAAAAAAAAAAAAAAAAAAAAAAAAAAAAACGGAACAGCACTGGAGTGAAACAGGAGGACAGTTTCACTTACTTATATATGAATATTCTGAAAATGTTTATTAGCCTAAGCTTAGTTGTTCTCTCATTCATTTGTTCTTTCATAAAGCCTGGTTGAACATTTGGTACCTACCAGTCACTAAGCTAAATACTGAAAATACAAACTACAGTGAAACCACAGCTCCTACCCTAAAGGAGCTCACATCCTTTAGGGAGACAAACTTGTAAACAGCTCATTATAAAGCCTTCTGGAATGTGCAATAATAGAGATGTTATAGAACATTATGGGATCATAAAAGAGCATTTCAATCTGAGGAGAAAAGGAGTGTCAGATCAGATAAGGCATCCTTGGAGAGAGGATGACTAAACTGACTCTAAAGTAGTGTTCTCAGCCATAGCTTCCACGGAAGTCACCTGGGAAACTGATTATTAAAACTCAGATTCCTGTATTTTTTAATTCACTCACATAAATTCTGTAGTAATTGACTTGGGGTGTTGCCTATGCATAAGGACTTTTTAAAGCTCTAATATTCCAAGGAATGAGTGGAAACTACCCAACATGAAAACAGAGAAGGTGGGAAAGGGCACGGAGAGAAGCTATGCCAAGCAGAGAAGAGCGTGAGCAAAGGCGCTAAGGCAAGAAGGAGCTTGGTGAGCAGGAAAGGCATTCTAAAAAAAAGGTTAAAAAGAAAAAAAACCCAGCGTGAAAGTTCAGACCACAGGGGTGGTGAGAAATGAGGCATGGGAGATGGGCAAGGATGCCAGCGTGCTGCCTTTAGGACAATGGATTTAAGGCTAGGAAATGACCTGGTCAGATTTACAGCTTACCATGCTAGCTGAGAGGAGGCAGGGAGGTGAATCAGAAGATCCAGGCAAAGCACTATCAAGAACAGGCTCTTGATACAGCATTTGGGAGGGATTCCTAAAAACTGTTTAGGAAGTCTTATTAGATGGCCTCAAGTATTGTTTGGAAGTGCCAAGTGAGGTAGAAAGAGCAATCTGGTGAACAGGTGGAAGATTAACACCTACTGAGATAGAGAAGATAATAATAGCAGTATGTTTAGGAGGGAATATGATATGCCTGTTTGGAACACAATGCATTTGAGATGCCTGTGGAGTGTTCAGGTGGATGTATTGCATTAGGCCACCTGGTCCAGATTCAAGAATGGGTAAGAATATTGACTTGGAGTCATGCAAGGTTGCTTCACTTGGCTCGCTTCTGAAGCAGCAAATAAGCAATGCAAAGATAAGGATGCAAATGGCTAACATATTTCCTCCTTGTGTCCTTTTTATCTTAAGGAGATGCATTAAAAAAGCACTGTCTTAACAATGCATATGGAAATTTTGCCCACTAGGACAAAAGAATTATGAATCTATGGGCTTGCTGGCTTTTGTACTCTAAGTCAGTACCAGTAACTTATGGTAATATTTGAAGCCACAGTTCTGCTATTCCACAGACCACATCACACAGGCCTAAGATTTGAGCTATGGACCTTGAAATTCTTGCTCTGTTAGCACTGGGGAAAATACCTTTTCTACCCAAGTCAACTTGGTCATGTACAACTCTAAGGTTCTTTTTATTATATCTCTATGACCAAGAATGTTTAGAGGTAGGGGATAAGGACTAAACCTCCCTAAAACTTCAATGCCAGGTTATAAACAAAGCAGGTTTCACATCAAACTCTGCAGCACAGACAGACATTTATTAGTGTTCTGGCTATCCATTCTCGTAACAAACCACCCTAAGACCTTATGGGTTGAAAACAATTTGATTATTACCCCTTACAATTCTGACATATGACCAATCTCAGCTGGCTTGTTTGTTCTTGAGGACTTTCAGGGGTCATTCCAGTTGGGGTTCTGGAGGATGGATTGAACTAAATATCCAAGATGGCTACTCACATGGCTGGGTTTTGATGATGACTTTGGCTGGGAGCTCAGCTGGGGCCAGGACACCTATACACATTCTCTCCATAGAGCTTGGGCCCCCGCAAAGCATGGCAACTGGAAGCAGAAACTGCCAGGCCAGTTAAGGGCTATGCCCAGAAATGGCACAGTCATTTCTGACATATTCTATCACCAGAGCATCCGCAGGCCTTCTCCAGATTCAACAGGGTAAAAAAAGAGGCTCCTGTATCTTACTGGGAGAATGACAAGGTCACATCTTTCCGGGGGAAATACAATCTGTGCTGGCTGGCTCTGGCAAATACAATCTGCCACCATTAGCAAACAGGCACAGCACAGTCATGTAACCTGTTCTTTAACAATGATAAGAAAAAAAAATGATGAAGTCTCAGCTCTTTATCCTTTAGCTCCAAAAATACTTTTCATGAAAAGCTTCACCTGAGACAAGTGTAAAGTCATTCCAGAGATAGGCTTTGGCTAGCATTTGTTTCAATCATATGGTATCAAAGAATCTGGACTGCCTGAGGCCCATGGGACAATTCAGGCCCATGGCATCCAGCTTAGAACACCATTACAAAGGTTACAGCCTATAGAACTCATTAAACTCTTATATTCTGTTCAAGCAAGGTTGGGGAATGTCTAAAAAATATTCATATATATACTTTTGTACTATCTATGAGACAATATTTTAAATCAATATGCAAATGTCATAACAAGGCAGTAGGACTTTGCCATATATGTCTACTTGCGGGTTTCTGAGAGTAAATTTGTTTCTTGCCCAGAACAAATGCCCAGTAAACCACTGGATATGAAGATCTGAGCCTTTGCAGAGAGCTTAGTGTTGGAGTTTTTGATTTAGTAGACCTCTGGATATAAATTTTTGACCCAATTTTTACCTATTTAAAAAAAGAAACATGGGAGTGGATGAAATAACTCAGGAAGGTTGAGCACAATGAGGAAAGCAGTGATTCTCGGTCAATCCCTTGGAATTACCAATATGTAAAAGGCCCCCAGAGGAAGAGGAGCCCTCCAAGGGGTCAGAGAAAGACTGGAGTTAAGCAGAAACCATATAGACAGCCTCCAGAAAGAGGGCCCATCAGTAACTTTAAATGCATTAAGATAGTCTAGTGAAATCAGAATTAATTTTTTTTTTCTAACTGGTATTGGCAACTGGAAGTCACAAGTCATCTTAGCAGATGTACTTTCAATGAATCGTGGTCAGAAGGCAGAAAAATAAATGTGTCTTGAGAAATGAATGCAAGACAAGGAAGTGAAGACTGACTGAGAATGTCTGGGTATAAAAGAGAAGAGAGAAGTGGAAAGCCTCAAGAGGGACATGGGGTCGAGGGACAATTTTTTGACAGGAAGAGCATGTTTCCAAAGTGACGGAAGAAGAGAGAGAAACATTGAAGATGCTGTAAAAAGAAAAGACATTTCTTATTAATGTTTCAGAGGAGAAAAAAGGGAAGAGATACAGGTAAAGTTTAAGCAATTGTCTTAAGCCTAAAGAAAGGGAGGAAGGAGATAGATGCAATTAAGTGTGGCAAAATAAGTGACAAATTTATGAAGTTGGAATCTGATCTTATTAAATTTTTCTCCCCAGTGAGGTGGCCAAGCATTTGTGTTCTCTTCCTTAGGGGCATTTGCATAGTGGAAGCAGAAAGCAGAAGTTTCTTGAAGACAGAGAGCCCCAGGTTTTTGTGTTTTAAAGCTGAAATGCACTGAGAGAGTCAATACTAGGTCATTTCTTTGGAGGCCAAGTAGGGAGACAGGCTGCATAACTTTAAGAGGAGAGGCTGAAACAGAGAAGAATGATGATGAAATTTTCCTAAACATGGAAGGCATGGAGGTGTTGGCTCATCTGGAGAGAAACCTAGATGACGCTCCCCACCACCACTGCCACCCACTCCCAGTACCCAGTCTTTG
Organism: Homo sapiens; assembly: GCF_000001405.40. Classification (NCBI taxonomy): domain Eukaryota; kingdom Metazoa; phylum Chordata; class Mammalia; order Primates; family Hominidae; genus Homo; species Homo sapiens. The sequence goes on along the minus strand of NC_000004.12, from coordinate 89,214,264 downwards.
AAAGCATCTCAGGAGATGGTGGAAACTCAGAGGGGAATGAGATGTGGCCAATCTAGGGATGCTGGACATCAGGCAGAGAAATACTCCACCTCTCAGAGTACAAGCAGAGGGTAGAAACAAAATAATGGGGCTGCCAGGCTTCAGGTTTGGACCCTGAAGTATCAACAGCAATAATAACAGATGAAGTCTCAATGGGCCAGGCCCCACGCAAGTTCCTAGGATCTTTGATCAATCTCAGGACAAAAATGTGATTGAATTTTTCACAACCCTGGTGAATGGGAACTCAAAGGCAAGTTTAATTTGTAATTTAATTTCAAAACACAAAGGAGAAAAATTTAAAGGGGCAAAATCACGCCTTCTGCTCCATGTCTGTCTTGAGTATGGTTCAAAAGTTTATAGTTAAAGGAAGTTAGAGGAAGATTCTTCATAGAGCATCTTTTTTTATTCTGAAAAGAAAGCAAGATTCTAAGATTAAGTGGGATAGGGACTGAGTAGAGAACATATGAAAGGAGTAAACTGGGAAAAGGTTTTTGAGGTAATTGAGGAGGATTCTGACCCAGGACTTCCAGGCAGTGCTAAAGACTCCACTGAGAATGGAAATCATGACGTTTTAGTGATGTTAGTCAGATAAATTGTGTGATTGTCTCCAGCAATCCTCAGCCATTCTGGCATTGGAGTCGAAAAAAATGGGTTGCTGAATTGCTCTTCAGCTGGGTTTTGCTGAGGGAACACAGCAGGAGAAAAACGTGCAAAGCAAATAAAGGTGTAGATGAAAGATTGCTTTTCATCAACTATTATTTGCAGACTGGCTTGGGAAGGCAGATGGCCAAGAGGAACCGACAGCTTTGGGGAAATACAAGCAGAAATTAAAAGTCTGAAGTTTCCTGGAGGGTATTATGGAGTTGTTTTGATTTGGTTTGATTTAAAGAAGAGCAGTGCTTCAGTCACTTTCATCACAGTCCAATATGGTAAACGCAGTTCTCCCTCAAGGCTTTCCTCCAAAGGTGACTCAGTCCTGAGCTGCTTCTATCTTGTAACTCTGCCCAGTCTTGGAGATCTTTACAGCCAACCAATGGAGAAAAAATAAAAAAGTAGGAAGCACCCATATCCACACTTAACTGTCTCAGATGGGAAGTGGCACATTATATCCATTTACATTTCTGTTGACAAGGGCTCAGTTTCAACCTAAATACAAGGAAAATGTAGTCTGCCTTTGTCCCCAGAAAAGGGAGTTATATGGTGAACATACATCAGCTCAGCCACAGCAGTTGTGGGAGGACATGGACAGGAAGATTTCTAATATAAAGCAGGTCCCTGCATTGACAAAGTGCCAAGGAATGTTTTGAGGTTATTGGATGAATGGCATTTGAAAAAGACCTAAAGGCTAAATTGTTGAATGGATAGTTGAAGTGGATGTTGTGCTGCACTGCCGACATTCCCCCCGGCTGCTGAGATAGCCTTCGGCTGTAAGCTGCCTTTGGAATTTCCTTGGCTGAAAAGAGATTCAGCTCTCCCAAGGCCATGTTCCTTTCTTGGGAAGTCCCACATCCAATGACTGGGTAACATAGTTGTATAATTTCCTGGCTCTCTTACCTCAATTTGGAACAATTCTGAAAGGCCGTCCTAGCATCAGAGTTTTTTATGGGGTTGTTGAGGTCTCCATCAAGACCATATCAGAACTCAGCTCCTCCCTTTGCTTATATCAGAAAATCAGCTCCTCCCTTTGCTCAATGCTCTTCCTTCCTTTCACTTCCACAAGTGGGAATACCAAGAGCAATCCCCAATAAACCTCTGCTAATCTCCATCTCAGAATCTCCTTCCTGGGAAACTCAACTTGTAACAAATGTCAAGACTGCCTATATAATTTGTGGGGCCCAGAGCAGAATAAAACTGCAGGCACTTTGTTAAAAAATTAAGAACTTCAAGATGGCAATAGCAGAGCATTCTACCATGTAACGGGTCCTTCTAAGCACAGCTCTGTATGACTGCACAGGTTGCATACTCATGAAGCTGGCCCTATAATAATCTACCTAGCTGGCTATCTGTATTAGTCCATTCTCACACTGCCATAAAGACACTACCTGAGACTGGGTACTTAATTAACAAAAGAGGTTTAATTGACTTACAGTTCTGCATGGCTGGGGAGGCCTTAGGAAACTTACAATCATGGTGGAAGGTGAAGAGGAAGCAGGCACCTCTTCAAAAGGCAGCAGGAAAAAGAGAGAGAGCAAAGGGGGAAAAGCCCTTATAAGATCATCTCATGAGAACTCACTCACTATCACAAGAACAGTATGGGGGAAACTGTCCCCATAATCTAATCACCTCCCACCAGGGCATTACAATTTGAGATGAGATTTGGATGGGGACAGAAAGCCAAACCATACCTCTATGTATCTATGTATCTATGTATCTATGTATCTATGTATCTATCTATCTATCTATCTATCTATCTATCTATCTATCTATCTGTCTATCTTTCAGTCTATCTTTCTAACTATATACTTTGAAATTTCCAACTGCATGAATTGGGGCAGATGGGTCAGTTAGATCCCAAGATGTTGAATAAACATGGACACAAGGTTAGAACATCAGATTATTGGCAGAAATGGGATACTGGAGGCTCTAGCTAGATGACTAAGCTTCACAAAGGTAAAACAGCCAAGGTCTGGAAGCAAGGGACAACCAAAAGAATGCCCTTTATGTCTTTTTGGTACATGAGATCTGGGAGAACAAGTTGCTGCATGGAGCACTGTCCTTTGTCAAGAACTAACCCCAAAAAAGGCAATGAGGAAGAAAGAGCACCTTGACTAGCAGTTATGTGCATTTTTTACAGTTACGTAGACCTTATCTAAAATAATTGGCTAAAATATAATTAATCTTGTTCAGCTACACAGTGTCTGTTTTCTACACAGATACTAGTGTAATAATTGCAATGCCATCATCCCGACACCTTCACATCTGGAATCATGACAATATCCAGTCTAATAGGCTTTGATCCATTAAACTGATACACCACCTTCGTACAAAAGGCCAATTACTTTTTCATAATAAATGATACTTAATTATAATTACAGGATTGCATTCAAGAGTGTAGATTCTTAACTACCGGAAAGATTTTGGAGATAAGGGTATTATTTGCTCTTGAGGATATGCTCATCCCAGCCTCATCTGTTGTTTATTTTTTAGTAAATGTGCAATATATTGAAATTGCAGCTTCCAAAAAACGCTATTAAGCTAATTATGAAAACAGTCTGTATAATACTAGAGTGTTGTCGCTACATGTCTTTTATCTACATTACAAAATTAGCACCCCTTTGAATGCCTTTGTTTGGCCCAGACGACCAGTACCTTTGTGAGAGAGATTAGGTAAGCAGCAGGCATGATTTCCCATCATTTCGAAGATAAAACAAGGCAACCAACAACTAAATAACTTGTCCAAGGATAATGACAGGAACTGCTGCAGTACTCAGAATCTCAAATTTATAATTCTCTTAGCTAATGTCCACAGTGTCTACTTGGCAAACTTTTCAGTTTCTCCTTCACTGGAGGGGAGGGGAAAACAGTTGACCTTTCTTCCTCCAAAAGAAAATACTTATTTGCTAAACATGCTGTCTAAAATTCATACAAGTTTTTTAAATTGATAATATGGAAGTACACAGCAGTATATGAGTGCCTATAAACTGCACTTTTGCTAAACCTGAGATTAAATTTAACTTTTTAAAAATTTGGGACAAACTGATATTATATGCTCCTAATATGAGGCACTGAGAATGCAATACCAATTTTGTAATATTCCTGCAAAAATGATTAACCTGAATATAACGGTAAAGAAGCAATCAAACAAATCCTAACTGAGAGACATTGTGCAAAGCAACTGGCAAGGACTTTAAAAAAATGCCAATGTCATGAAAGAGGAAAAAGTGCCTGGAAAACTGTTTTAGATTAAAGGAGACTTAGAGGAACATTACAAGTAAATGCAAAGAATGACCCTTGAGTAGATCTTGGATTTTTTTAAAGATACTAATAAAGAACATGGTTGGTACAAGTAGGAAAATCTGAATAGGGGCTACGATACGGTTTGGCTGTGTCCGCAGCGAAATCTCATCTTGAATTGTAGCTCTTATAATTCCCATGGGTTGTGGAATGGAGCCAGTGGGAGATAATTGAATCACAGGGACAGTTTTCCCAGTTTCCCCCATACTGTTCTCATAGTAGTGAATAAATCTCATGAGATCTGATTGTTTCATAAGAGGAAACCCCTTTCACTTGGTTCTCATTCTCTCTTGTCTGCCTCCATGTAAGATGTGCCTTTTTTCTTCCATCATGATTGGAAGGCCTCCCCAACCACGTGGAAATTTGAGTCCATTAAACCTCTTTTTCTTTATAAATTACCCAGTCTTGGGTATGTCTTTATCAGCAGCATGAAAATGAGCTAATACAGGCTACAATTATATAGTAGTATTATATTAATGATAATTTATGTGAGGGTAGTTTTAAATAATGATTATGTATAAGAATTTCCTTTTTCTTACAAGGTACAGGCCAAAGTATTTAAAGATGAAGGGTCATTCATGATATCTGCAGCAAATTCAAATGGTACAGCAAAATAAATGAATAAACACAGAGAGAGAGAGAGATTAAGAGAGGGAGAGAGAGACAGAAGCAAATTTGACAAAAATTCTAACAAAGGCAATTGCTGCTGAAATTCAGCTCATTGTACTATTCTCATGACTTCCCTTTTAAGTTTAAAGTTTAAAACACATGCTTGAAAAAGTATTAATTTGATAGGGCAAAATGGTCTCATGTAAATTTGTATTTTTATCTCTAGATAGAATAATTTTTTTTGTTTTTCAGATTTTTCTGTGCAACTTATATTTGCTCCTCTGTTACCTGTCTGCTCATGTAAGAACATTAATTTTTTTCATTTAAAAATATGTATAATATTTTTGAGAGCTATATGGTTTGGATATTTGTTCCCTTTAATCCTCATGTTGAAATATGATCCCCAATGTTGGAGATGGAACCTAATGGGAGGTGTTTGGATCATGGGAGTGGATCCCTTATTAATAGATTAGTGCCCTTCCTTAGGGGTAAGAGAAGTTCCCACAAAAGCTGGTTGTTAAAACAAAGGGGCCAACATTCCCCCATCTCTTTTCCTCCCTCACCATGTGATCTCTGCACACACTGGCTCCACTTCACCTTCCACCATGAGTGGAGGCAACCTGAGGCCCTCATGAGACATGCCAATACCATGCTTCTTGTATACATGTATACAGTCTACAGAACCATAAGCCAAATAAACCACTTTTCTTTATAAATTACCCAGCCTCAGGTACTCCTTCATAACAACACAAAACAGACTAGGACAAGAGCCTACCACAAACCAAGAGCTGTTCTTGGTACCAAGGCCACTGCAGTAAACAAAACAGAAAGTAATGCTGCCCTCAGAGAGCTTGCACCCTAGTAGAAAGGCAGAAAGTTTTCAAATAAAGAGATAATATTCACCTGTTTGTTCAACATGCATGTTTTGCATGTTCCTGTATAGGCAGGTAGTATTGAATAAAAGAACTTCCCTCCCTTTTGGGGCTTACATTCTGGGGATGGGGGAATAGATAATTAAAAAGAGATAAATCTCCCTTCTGGGTACATATCCAAAAGAATTCAAAGCAAGCTATCTAAAGATATTCTCACACCTATGTTTATTGCAGCATTATTCATAATTGCCAAGAAGCGGAAGCAACCCAAGTGTCCATCAACAAATGATGGGTAAAGAAAATGTGATATATACCCACAATGGAATATTACATAGCCCAAAAAAAGAGGAAAATCCTATTACATGTTACAAGATTGATGAACCTTGAAGACATTACGCTAAGCAAAATAATCCAGCCATAAAAGATAAATACTATGTGATTACACTTATATTAAGCATCTAACGTGGTCAAAATCATAGAAACAGAAAATAGAAAGGTGGTTACCCAGGGCCAGAAGGAGGAAGAATTAGTGTTTAATAGGTTTAGAGTTTCAATTTTGCAAAATTAAAGTTCTAGAGATCTGTTGCACAACAATGTGAATATACTTAATCCTACTAAACTGTACACTTAAAAATGGTTAAGATGATTTTTAAAAGAGACACAAAAAAACATGATTGAATATCCAGAATCAACAAGGAATTTAAACAAATTTACAAGGAAAAGAAAACCCATCAAAAAGTGGGCAAAGGATATGAACAGACATTTCTCAAAAGAAGACATTTATGTGGACAACAAACATATGAACAAAAGCTTATCATCATTACTGGTTGTTAGAGAAATGCAAATCAAAACCGCAATGAGATACCATCTCATGCCAGTTAGAATCATGAGTATTAAAAAGTCTGGAAACAGTAGATGCTGGTGAGGATGTGGAGAAATAGGAACTTTTTACACTGTTGTTGTGAGTGTTAATTAGTTCTACCATTGTGGAAGACAGTGTGGTGATTCCTCAAGGATATGGAACCAGAAATATCATTTGACCCAGCAATCCCATTACTGGGTGTATACCCAAAGGATTATAAATCATTTTACTATAAAGACACATCCACACTTATGTTTATTGCAGCACTGTTCACAATAGCAAAGACTTGGAACCAACCCAAATGCCCATCAGTGATAGACTGGATAAAGAAAATGTGGCACATGCACACCATGGAATACTATGCAGCCATAAAAAAGAATGAGTTCGTGTCCTTTGCAGGGACATGGATGAAGCTGGAAACCATCATTCTCAGCAACCTAACACAGGAACAGGAAACCAAACACTGCATGGTCTCACTCAGAGGTGGGAGCTGAACAATGAGAACACATGGACACAGGGAACATCACACACCGGGGCTTGGTGGGGAGTCGGGTGCAAGGGGAGGGAGAGCACTAGGGCAAATACCTGATGCATGCGGAGCTTAAAACCTAGATGATGGGTTGATACGTGCAGCAAACCACCGTGGCACATGCATACCTATGTAATAAACCTGCACGTTCAGCACACGTATCCCAGAACTTAAAGTAAAATAAAAAAATTTTAAAAACATAAAAATATCAAGTGATAATATGCAGTACAGGGGAAAATATAATGAGTAGAGAGCATTAGGAGCAGCCACTGGGAGGGTGAGTGGAAGAATGTGCTCCAGAGGACAGGGTACTAGGAAAGGGTTTGCTATATTTAGGGTGGTCAGAGAAGGTCTCACTGATGAAGTGACATCGGAGTGACATTCAATCCACAGAGGGAAGAGTGTTCCAAGTAGAGAAAGCAGCAAATTCCATGCCCTGAGGTCATTCATGGGTGATATATTCTAGAAAGAGCAAGGAAGTCAGCGTGGCTGGAGCAAAGTGAGTGCAGGGATGAGGGACTGTTGATGAGGTGAGAAACGAATGTGGGGAGGAGAAGGACACAGATGGTGTAAAACCTGGAAGCCATTTTACGGGTTGACTTTTACTCTGAGTGACACAGGAAGCCATGAGCAAAGGCAGCAGCAGGCAGAACAGTCCAGAAGCTATTAAATAATCCAGGTGAGAGATGGTGGCAGTGTGGCAGGGATGGCCAAAAAGTGTTTGGATTGAGTCATGACCGCACATGTTGGAAAGGCTGTCATCTACCATCCCACAGTTATTTGTTTTCAGTCTCAGGGGGCCTATGTTCCTCTCAGTATCTAAATGGTGTGAACTGCTCAGATTCATCCCACCAAATTTATTACATCTCAAATATTTTTCATTTCATTATCCTACTTGAAAAGTAAAAATTCTTCAATGTAAAGAATATCTTTAAAACGCCAACTCTTCATGACAACCATAATCCAAGATTAAAACTGGTAAAATCTAAGGAGTCCTAGCAATCAGAAATGTGTTTTGCTGAGCTACCATGGCTAGAAAAAGCAAGCCCGATCCTTGCATTTTCCTGGGAATTATTCACCCTTAATATGTCAAAGGAAATAGTCCATACTAACATCTAACCTTGAGGCATATGTAGTCAAGTTCAAAAATCTAGTTTCATCTCCAGCTTTCATGTTATTTGTTCATACAGCATCTTGTATTTTTGGCATTGTTCCTTCTCTATAGTGACAACGGCAGGAGGAAAACAGAATGCGTCATTTCAAAGCTGTTTATTTTAAATGTGTAACTAATAGTTATATTATTCTAAAATAAGTGGTAGCTGTCTTGGCACATTTATAGGACCTCCTAGGACATTCAAGACAACATATCTTACCATAAGAAATTACTGGAAAATTTCTAGTACAACCCCAAAATCTTAGTGGTTTAGCACTACAAAGGCTTTTTCGCATATACATATAGTCCCCGTGTAGGTATTCCTGGTTGTCTTGCTGTCCTGGGTGGCTCCACTACAGGTGATGACTAAGCAATCCAGATTCCTTCCATGAGGTTGTTCCACCATCTCATAGTCGTCCATTGCCAGACATATGAACAGGGAAAGATACAGAAGAAGATGGCACAAGGTATTTTATGGCCAAGTCTAGGATTAGCAAAAATCACCTTACCCAGAACTCAGTCACATATTCACAAGCAGTAACAAGTATGGCTGCCAACATAGTCTCCCTGTGTACATTATAGGAGAATGAAATGATTTGGTAAACATATAGTATTGTCTGCAATAATTTCCTCTTTTGGTCTTTAATATATTTCTATTTGACTTCTCACCTAAATCCAAAGTGCGTTGCTTAACAATTCTGGCCTTGTTATTAAGAATCATGAAGATATGCAACCCAACATAAAATCCATAACTTTTTATTTCTGAAATTTCTCAGAAGAAAATGGAACAAACATGTAGTCTGGTTTTGGGAACCTCCTTCCATGTCCAGCACCTACACCTTCTGCTCTAAGTCCTTCAGCTCCTCACAAAATGCCTGAAACCTAAAATGTCAGTGCCTAGGAGGAATGTTGGTGAAGATATTTGGTAGCTTAATGCATGGAAACTGGAATCTCAGAAAGTCTTTCACATAAGATAGCGATAAAAGGCCAAATGACAAGTGGTTTACACAGGCTGAGACAACATCCCTTCAAATCAATATTCTTTTATTTCAAATTCATTTGTGTTTAAATATTTCACAGACAAACCAAAAATTATAGAAAATACTATAATGAACTTCATATCCTAGTATCACCAGGCTTTTAATTTTTGACTATGTAATTAGTATGAAACAATATCTCTGGTTTTAGTTAGCATTTCTCTCATAACCAGTGTGGTTGAGCATCTTTTTATGTATATATTTGCTTCTTTGGTTTCTGTTACATGATCTTCCAATTTATATCTTTTCCCTGTGTTTCTGTTGGGCCATGTATGTTATTTTTATAGATAGTCACACTGCTATTTTGAAACATTTGTCTAATATTTATTTTGAGGTGATGCCAAAAGCTTCATGGAAAACAGGTGATGATGCATCACTGCTGCAGTTTGCCCTTTCTCCTATTATCTCTAGCAATTCCACTCTGGCCTCAAACTCACATACCCTACTTAGCAAAATAAAACCCTGCATGCAACCAAGAACACATTCGTTGCATTGCTACTAGAGAGTGCAATATCAAAGTACTCCTTCCAATTGTACAGAGAACATCTCCATGAGAAGAACTCTAATGAGTATAATTTTCTCCATTTCATTATATTTCCAGGGGAATTTTAATGCATCAATATTTCAGCACCCATTATAGGCTGACATTTAGTCAGATCCTTTAATCCCTATATGGATTGCCAAAATCAAAATTTATATAAGGACTTAAGGACTCATGAAAAACAGTGTAAGAAACAAGAAAATATGTAAACAAAGAAAGGGTCTCACATGCTGCCATTTACTGGTGATGTGATCTCACCATGCTTCCTGGTAAGTTTGTTGCATACTGGGGACCACGGTTTGCAAAAGTGTTAGTAAAATCTAAATAGAAAGAACCCCTTACTCCAAATGTGCTTAAAGCAAACGTGATTAAGTTATCAAATGCTTACATTCTATTAATGTCACCGGAAGCCAATAGTAACTCAGATTTCTGCATCAAAAAATGCAAAAAAGGCAGGTGGCACAGAATACTTGATAAAGCAGTTGCCATATCAAAACCTGTTTTTATTCTCTTTCATATGCACAGACATCATTTTATATTTGCTTTTCAGCATGAGCAGATAACACGGTAACATATTTGCCTTCAGGCCAAGTAACTTGTCTAGTAAGACAAACTTCTACTCAGTAAATCACTGAGGATCACACCACATTAGCTATATTGCAAGAATTCTGTTGTTACAAAGATAAGCCTTACTTTTGATAGGAAGATTGAAGCAAATGCATAGCAGAATCAGAAAATACATCATTTCTACAGATACGCATCTGACTTAGTTGCCTGAGGCAATACAATAAAATACAACCTTTATTTATTTCAATCCATTTTGCCTTTGATGGTGCCATTAGAAAGAGGGAAGAAACAGGGATGAAGCCAGTGTGCCCTTACTGCTCATTTGTGTGCATCAGTGTTTCTTAATGAGAAGAGGAGATGAGGCAGGGTTTTAAGAGGGATTTTAAGTTCAAAAAGCTCCGCTTAGATGTAAAGGGTACCAAGGAATCTGCAATTTGAATTGACATGCACCAAGCCACTGATATGCCTGTGAATCTCCTGTCGATCCTCCTAAGATTGGGTCTCCTTCCAGAGTACTCCAGCCTTAGCATCCTCTGTCCTTTAACCACTGAAAGGGGACTACTTAGATTCAACAAGGTGGACCCTGGTAACCCTGGCCTGGAGCCACAGTCGCCCTGGGACTCATCAGTACTCAAGACAGTGTAATTGGCCTCTCTTTCTCTCCATGACACTATTCAATACTGGACAGATGCCAGATTTATAAGAGCAATCAAATAGGAAGTAGAGTTTCATCAGGAGAAAAGAGAATATGGAATCATGCATAGTTTCATATCACTTCTCTTTGGAGTATTATGTTTGTTCACTTTTATCTCAGTTAAGTAAGAACTTTGTCCCATATGTATTCATTGGCAAGGGGTGCCATAAGAAGGTACCACTGAGTGGGTGGCAGAAGCAACAGAAATTTTATTTTCTTGCAGTTCTGGAGGCTGGAAGTCCCAGGTCAAGGTGTCAGCAGGGTGGTTTCCTCTGATGCCTCGCTCCTTGGTTGTAGATGGATGTCTTCTCCCTGTGTCTTTATGTGGTCTTTCCTCTCTGCTGTCTGTGTTCTTATCTTTTCTTTTTATAAAGATACCAGTTATATTAGATTAAGGTCCACCCATATAACCTCATGTTACCTTAATTATCTATTTAAAGACCCTGTCTCTAAACACAGTCACATTCCCAGGTTATAGGGGTTAGGACTTCAACATATGAATTTGGGAGAACATGATTTATCCCATAAGTTTCCAAGTGATCTTTTTTTTAAATACAATGAGTTTAGAAGTTTCTTTTCTAACCCTAACATTAAAACAATCATTCTTCACAGTTCTACTTCTTACTTTTCTGACTTTTTCTTTTTTACTTTTCTGACTTTTACCTCCTCTTCAGATTCGTTGTTTTATTCCATCAAGTAAAGTTGTACTAGTACCATCAAGCCAGGAGAAGATGACAATACCCGCCCATCATGCTAAGAGGAAACTAAACAATTATTTCCCCAACTGAAATAAATTCAATTAAGTGGTGACTGTGAGTTCTATACCACCAATGTCAATAAATATATATTCATCTATCAGAATACTGCAAAAGCTCTGTTCTTTGGCATGAGGATACTGGCTTATCAAAATTTTTCAGTACACTAAATTAGCTGATGTTAACTCTCCTAAATTAATTTCATTTTATTTTTTTATTTATCTTGCAGGGCTTACAAGTAAATGAAAGAATGGATATTTATCCAGAAAGCTAGAAATATATTTATTTTCTCAGAAATTTCAATTTCCTAAGAAGTAAAGCTCTGAGTATTTTTTAACTTAACCCACTTCTCCACCCTCTCAGTTCTCCTCCTGCCAAGAGAAAAATAAATAAGTCATCTGGCCACCTACTATAACTGGATTATCTGGTAACTGTATTGCAACTAGTCCAACTAACTTAGATAACTAAACTAGACTTCAGATCTGAATGGGCCAACAGAAAATGACAACCACAAGAGGTGTCTTGGAAAGTGCTGGCTAACTCAGTCTCAATTATGCACAGATAACTGGCAGTTTTCCTGCTAGAATTAATCTGATTTAAACTTAAAGCAGCAGATAGAAGTTTAGAAGATATCTAAGAAATTTTTATTTCTCCAAGCTGATACGATAAATCTTTGATATGGTTTGGCTGTGTCCCCGCCCAAATCTCATCTTGAGCTGTAGTTCCCAAAATCCCCACAGGTCATGGGAGGGAACCAGTGGGAGGTAATTGAATCATGGAAATGGTTACCTCCATGCTGTTCTTGTGATAGTGAGTGAGTTCTCACGAGATCCGTTGGTTTTATAAGCGGCTTCCCCATCCCTTCGCTCTGTACTTCTCCTTGCTTCCACCATGTGAAGAAGGATGTGTTTGCTTCCTCTTATGCTGATTGTAAATTTTGTGAGGCCTCCCCAGCCATGCTGAACTGTGAGTCAATTAAACCTCCTTCCTTTATAAATTACCCAGTCTTTGGCATGTCCTTATAGCAGCATGAGAATGGACTAACACAACATTGTTTTAATTTTTTTTTGCAAAACAAGATTCTTGCTGGAATAAAGTAGTTTTCACTGTTTGTTGTTTGGTAAGTTAAAGATTTAGTAAACTCCACCATTTTAAACTTCTGGGTGCTTTGTCCTGATGGCCCATCAGAGCATTTACCTCAGTGAGTTAGACCCCAGATAGTTACATTCAAAGTTATTTAATACATAGAAATGTATGTAGCTCAGCTTTTGGTAATTTAGATTTCTTTTTTCACCTACAATTTTACAGTTTCTGCCTTTCCTTTTACTTCTAATTGATCAAATATTGACTCTAAATAGCCAATCAAGTATTTAAATCACTTTTTCTTGAAACCATTTTGTTAAGAAGTTTTTGATTTGTTACATACTGAAAGGATCTACAGGAAATTTCTTTAAAATGAAACCCTTAAATCTCATGCTACATTAAAAAAAATATTAAAAGAATACCACATCATGTCATGTGGAGTTCATTCCAGTAATATGGTGATAGTTCGAAATTATAAGATACATTTAAAATAACTAACAAGACCTTTAAAAATACCTTAAGATCCAGCAAACAACTGGAATCATGCTATATGGTTAAACGCTGAACACTGATTCTTAACCAGAACCTCCAGCCCGTCTGCCAGAGTCTATAGGATGGGAATAGGGATGGATGGGAAAGAGATACATTCAAAAAACATATATATTCCGTTTACAAATTGTTTTCACAGTTTTAAAAAGCAACAGAAAGCAAAATTGACAATATTTTCTTCAGTGTGAGATACACAGAATATAGAACGGTAAGGTATTTAGGGGCTATGGCTTTTAATAAGTTGAAAAATGCTACTATAGTAAAATCTGATTAATATCAAATTAATCAAAAATTTCAAGTCTACTGTAAAAATGGTTGCTCACTTACAGTAAACCTGGAAATACTAACTAATATAATTATACCCAAAAAGGTAAAGGATATATATGAAAGTATACATACGCAAACATACATATAAGGCAGTAAAGTACCATTATGGCAGGTAATATATTTGTCGACTTGAAAACCCAAAAAAAAGCTACTGAAAAACATTTAGAAATAAAAAGAGGGCTCCTTGAAGAGGTCCTTCACATCCCTTGTAAATTGGATTCCTAGGTATTTTATTGTCTTTGAAGCAATTGTGAATGGGAGTTCACTCATGATTTGTCTCTCTGTTTGTCTGTTATTGGTGTATAAGAATGCTTGTCATTTTTGTACATCAATGCCATCTCCATCAAGTTACCAATGACTTTCTTCACAGAATTGGAAAAAACTACTTTAAAGTTCATATGGAACCAAAAAAGAGCCCGCATTGCCAAGTCAATCCTACGCCAAAAGAACAAAGCTGGAGGCATCACGCTACCTGACTTCAAACTATACTACAAGGCTACAGTAACCAAAACACCATGGTACTGGTACCAAAACAGACATATAGACCAATGGAACAGAACAGAGCCCTCAGAAATAATACCACATATCTACAACTATCTGATCTTTGACAAACCTGACAAAAACAAGAAATGGGGAAAGGATTCCCTATTTAACAAATGGTGCTGGGAAAACTGGCTAGCCATATGTAGAAAGCTGAAACTGGATCCCTTCCTTACACCTTATACAAAAATTAATTCAAGATGGATTAAAGACTTAAACGTTAGACCTAAAACCATAAAAAACCCTAGAAGAAAACCTAGGCAATACCACTCAGGACATAGGCATGGGCAAGGACTTCATATCTAAAACACCAAAAGCAATGGCAACAAAAGCCAAAATTGACAAATGGGATCTAATTAAACTAAAGAGCTGCTGCACAGCAAAAGAAACCACCATCAGAGTGAACAGCAACCTACAGAATGGGAGAATATTTTTGCAATCTACTCATCTGACAAAGGGCTAATATCCAGAATCTACAATGAACTCAAACAAATTTACAAGAAAAAAACAAACAACCCGATCAACAAGTGGGCAAAGGATATGAACAGACACTTCTCAAAAGAAGACATTTATGCAGCCAAAAGACACATGAAAATATGCTCATCATCACTGGCCATCAGAGAAATGCAAATCAAAACCACAATGAGATACCATCTCACACCAGTTAGAATGGCAATCATTAAAAAGTCAGGAAACAACAGGTGCTGGAGAGGATGTGGAGAAATAGGAACACTTTTACACTGTTGGTGGGACTGTAAACTAGTTCAACCATTGTGGAAGTCGGTGTGGCGATTCCTCAGGGATCTAGAACTAGAAATACCATTTGACCCAGCCATCCCATTACTGGGTATATACCCAAAGGATTATAAATCATGCTGCTATAAAGACACAAGCACACGTATGTTTATTGCAGCACTATTCACAATAGCAAAGACTTGGAACCAACCCAAATGTCCAACAATGATAGACTGGATTAAGAAAATGTGGCACATATATACAATGGAATACTATGCAGCCACAAAAAAGGATGAGTTCATGTTCTTTGTAGGGACATGGATGAAGCTGGAAACCATCATTCTCAGCAAACTATGGCAAGGACAAAAAACCAAACACTGCATGTTCTCACTCATAGGTGGGAATTGAACAATGAGAACACATGGACACAGGAAGGGGAACATCACACACCGGGGCCTGTTGTGGGGTGGGGGGAGAGGGGAGGGATAGCATTAGGAGATATACCTAATGTTAAATGACGAGTTAATGGGTGCAGCACACCAACATGGCACATGTATACTTATGTAACAAACCTGCATGTTGTGCACATGTACCCTAAAACTTAAACTATAATAAAAAAGAGGGCTCAATAACACAGTTAGTTATTATTTAAAATAGTTTAATTAGTATTTATTTTAAAATACACTAAAAAAATCAAAAACTTGCCTTTGTAAAACAAAAATCAGAAAATACAAAAAAGGAAAAGATATTATTCATAATAACCGGATAAAACAAAATCTATGAACAGATTTAGTATGAAATGTGGAAAACCTATGATTAAAACTCTATTAAAAGACGAATGAATGAAAAAACTCATGTTATTGGATGACAAAATTTGATAATTTAAAGATTTCAGTTCCATCCAAATCAATCAACTTAATGATATCAATGCAGTTCCTATAAAAATTTCACTGGAACTTGGGTAGACAGGAGATCTTGTTTCTAAAATTACTCTTAAATTTCCCTGGAATAGCACGTTTACAGAAAGAGCAGTCAGTAAGTATCGTAGTTTGGGATACCACAACAAAGTCCTATAAACTGGGTGGCTTATAAACAGCAGAGATTTATTTCTTACAGTTCTGGAGGCTGGAAATTTGAAATTAGGGTGCCAGCATGATCGGATTCTGGTGAGAGCTCTCTTCCATGTTGCAGACTCCTGACTCCTCATTGTACCCTAATGTGACAGCAAGAGGATTAGAGAGCTTCCTGGGGTCTCTTTTATAAGCACACTAATCCCATTCATGAAGGCCGTACCCTCAAGACCTAATCACCTCCCAAAGTCTCCACCTCCTAAGACCATCACAGTGGGGATTAAGATTTCAATGTACTAATTTGGCAAGGAAAACAAATATACAGTGTATTAGTCCATTCTCACATTGCTATAAAGAACTATCTGAGACTGGGTAATTTATCAAGAAAAGATGTTTAATTGGCTCAGGGTTCCACAAGCTGTAGAGGAAGCATGGCTGGGGAGGGCTTAGGAAGCTTACAGTCATGGAGGAAGGTGAAGGGGAAGCAGGTACATCTTACACAGCTGGAGCAGGAGCAAAAGAGAGAAAGGGGCAGGGCTACACACTTTTAAACAACCAGATCTCCTGAGCACTCACTCGCTATCATGAGAACAGCAAGGGGGATTCTGCCCCCATGATCCAATCACCTCCCACCAGGCCCCTCCTCTAACACTGGGGATTACAACTGGGCATGAGATTTGGGAAGGGACACAAATCCAAACCATATCATTGAGTCAAAACAGGCCATTTCTTTCCAGAAAAGAATAATGAATTAGGGACCTTTGGTACTGGCTATTACAGGGTATAAAAATAAAATCATGAAACAACGCATGAAACAATGCAGTTTAAGTTTAGTCAGATAATATTGACAGAGATCCAACTCTATGAGAGGATTTAATATATGACAAAAGCTGTAACTTAAATCAGTGTTAAAAGATTTATTAATCAATGAACTTCTTTTTTGACTACTGCATAGTCATTTGAGAGAAAAAATTCAGTTGACGATTTATCTTTTGCCAAAATGAATTCCATACAGTCAAGAATTAAAGTTAAAAAAGGAAAAAAAATTTATAAATGAAAAAGACAAATATTTTTGTGATTTGAATAGTTAAAATGCTTGTTAAATGTGTCAAAAGGCTGATAGACAAAAGGCTCAAAAACATTTTAAATAACAAAATTTTAAAACCCTCAAAACACATAACACATAACAACGTAAAGCATAAAGGACAATCTAGGAAAACTATTTGCAACAAGTATGTGGCAAAAGTTTAACATTCCAAGGACTCTTGCATATATCTGAGGAAAACAGAACAATGGGCAAAGGGCATGAATAAGCAACTTGGAAAAGGTGAAATGTGAGTGTAAATAGCAAACAAACAAACGTACAGCACAATGGTCAAATCGGGCTTAGGGCCAGACTGTCTGAGTCTAAACTCATGCTTTGCCAATGTTTAACCATATGACTCTGACCTCTCTTTGCCTCTATTTTCTCACCTGTTTGTTTAGTTCAGATTTTCCCATGCTCTATCCAAAAGGCAAACTTCTACAGAAAAAGTAGGGATTTTAGTTTAACATGAGGCTTTTCAAATGTTCATTTTAGAAAACTTAGTAAAATATAATTTCTTGGTACTTTAATCAGGTCCAACAGAGAAATATATAAGTGTTCAAAGATAGTAATTTGAGCAATTACAGGAATAGGGAGTTTACATACTTCTTTTTGAGAAGTCTGATATTTGAAATATCAGTGATTCTATGTCAGCAGTGCCAGAGCCACATGGTTTCATTTCTGAGTTTCTGTGTTTCTTAGATGCTCATCAGAGTACGGTTCCATGGTGAGGGTGAGAGATGAATGCTGAGAACACAATCCTCAGGAAGGAGGAGCTTGTGAGAAGCTGATGCAAAGGTCTGCAAGTTAAATGAGCTTTCCTGCAGCTGGGTTAGACTTGGGCTTGGTTAGAAACCCTGGGGATTTATTCCATTCCACCTAGATAACTTCTGTTCAGCATAAGGCCTCAAAGCTCAATTATAGGAGAGCAGGGAGAAACTCACAGGTCTATTAACTGTCTCACTCTGGAATCTCTAACTCATTGACGTTAGCATATGCATTGGAATCTTGGTTGATAATGGAGTGATAGCTCCATTTAATTGACAACTCCCATTCCATATCTTAACATACTTGGAACACTCAATTTAAACTGGATGTGATATACATTCTTATTGTGCTGCAACTGGGATGCCATTGTCCATTATACAATACATGAGAGCACATGAACTACTCAGATATTGGTGATTCATGTAGCACAGGAAACTTAACAACCTTTGCAAGCAGCTACAGCCTTAGAAAGATTAAAGTAATAAAATGTTTTCTATGGGAATTAAAGATGCCATTGTAATAGGTGTCATTTATTAAGTGCTTACTATTTGCCAGGTACTATCTTGAATGCTCTATATACATGTACCTGCTATTTGGAAAGTTATATATGCTTATAGCCTTGAAATCAAATTAAATTATATGCCAAACCAAATTCCTGCCAAACTGACTAGGAATTCAATTGCAGTAATTATTGATGGGTACTTCTTTCTTCCCAAGATCACCAAAAAATATGTAAGGTTTATGGGATTTCCAGAAAATGAGGACCAATCTCTATCATCTGGCCCACTTTTATGACAGCTATTTACTATAAACTCACATAAAATTGTTGAAACACTTTAGTCTTTTGAAAACAGGCAGTTCTAGCATGTCCATGCCAAGCCTGGTTGTAAGGATGTTGAGAGGCTGGAAGTCTGGGTGCCAGGCCCCACGTACAGGGAGCACCATGTGAGCGCCTACCAAGGTCATGCCACCTCTCGCCACTGCCACAGATCTGGACTCAAGTTCCTGCTCATCACAGAACCCACATATCTCTGGGCTCTTCCCAGTCTAGGAAAAATCTTTCTCCTCCTTCCTGTTACTTCTGTTTTCCTCTTCTTTCTATAGTATATTTCCCACGATGAGCTCAAGTTTACACACACACACAAGAAAAGCCATAAAAGGCAATTATCTTCACACCTCATCCCACCATCTACACCAAAATATGTAGGCTGCTTCGGAGAGAAAGAGGAAAAGGACAAAAGAGGGAAAAGGAGGGAAGGAGATGAGAAGAAAGAGGGAAGAAAAAAGGAAATAAAAAGGTAACCATTACATTCCTGCTGATTTTTAGGCATGAAGGAAAATTAAAAATAAATTAGTGTCTTTATGCCATATATATTATTTCATTTAAGTGTCACAACAACCCTATGAGGTAGGTACTATTATTATTCTTATTTTACAGATGAGCAAACTGAGGCTTAAACAGTTTAAACATCTTGCTCGAGGCCATACAGCCAGTAAATGTAAAGCCTGAATTCAAACCCAGTGCCATCTGATTCTAGAACCCATGTCATTAACCACCACAAATATGGCCTGATTAACAGAAACATATAATTCTTTGAATACTGCATTGGATCATGAATGTCATATTATTTGAAGATTGCATAGTATCCATTCACATGCCCAGCTCATGGCAGGTACTCAATAAGCATTTACCAATTCAGTAACAAGTAAATAATAGTTTCTTAACACAATTTCATTTTTCCTAAAATGTGTTTTCTCTATGTGATTCCCCAAAACAGCATATCTAAAATAATACATTGTCAAAGAACAACCTGACAATATTAAAATTTATATAACACAGTTTTTCCTGAAATTCCAGCACTTTTAAAGCCATCAAATACCAGGGTCAAAAGATTATCCTTTAAACTCATTTTTGTTGGTAAAAGAAGTACAAAAAGAAATCACTTTTTCAAATTCACTGCAAAAATCTGGGCAGAATGGAAGGAAAATTGAGCTCAAAACTATGTTTCTCTGTGCACTGTGAATAAAGTGAAAATTTTGTTTATTCAGAAAGAGAGAGAAAGATACGTAATTGCTCCAAGCTTGTGGTAGCTATTTTTTATTCTCCCTTTTAATTAATGAGCACTAGTCTTTTGAAAGAGCTAAAATGAAACTTGATAATTTTACATATTTTTAAAAAGGTAAAGACAGAAGAAAGTAGATCTGTGCTCTTTGAATTTTCTGTTCATTTGTATTCTCTTGGGAAGAAGCCAGTAAGCATCATAAGTTTTTTATGCTGTTCCTTAGTTGTTACTCCTTTCCATAAATTTAGTTCCAATCTAGGCAGGAAAATTCCTTTTTCCTGTGGCTCTACTGAGACTTCTGGAATTTCTCCAGGAGGCTGTGGAGAATGTTTTATTGTCATTTTGGTGGCTGTTCCTGATTGGTGAGCAAAGGTCGGAATTGTTGTCGATAATTTACAAGGCATTTCCTACAAATTTCTCAGAAATTCTTCATACATATTCCAATAGCTGCTGTGTCAGACACATCCAGATCAGATTGCAGCCTGCTGATACCGTGCAGCACTCATATCAAAGTGCTTAGCAACTTCTCTAGCATCTTTTTAATTTTAATTTTGCTTTTAGCATTCTCACAGATAGAAACCAAGTAACAAAATGTTAATAAGGGATTACTAACTTTCAAGACCACTCTTGAGCTAAAGTCCAGATGTATGCCAAGAAAGAAATAAGTAATAATCTACCCTTTGAAAGGATCTTGTGGTTTTTGTTGTTGTTTACTGTATTGGTTACATAGGTTGAGAGAATTGACTCTAAATCTTTCTTTTTTTTTAATCATTACTTCTAAAATACTTAACGTGCCATCAGAAGCACAATTTGTAGAGGCAACATTCTATAAGGATGGTGCTTCATTGAACTGTCAGTTCTGAGTAACAAAGCCAGGACTGCCATGTTCCAAAGTGTATCTTTAATTGTGTCTGACAGGTTTCTATAAGGACAAAAAAATTAAATGAGAATGATCACTAGTTAAGAATTTTTACAATAGGGCCAGGCATGGTGGCTCTTGCCTGTAATCCCAGCACTTTGGGAGGCCGAGGCGGGTGGATCGCCTAAGGTCAGGAGTTTGAGACCAGCCTGGTCAACATGGTGAAACCCTATCTCTACTAAAAATACAAAAATTAGCTGGGTGTGGAGGCAGGCGCCTGTAATCCCAGCTACTCGGGGAGGCAGAAGAATCACTTGAATCTGGGAGGCAGAGGTTGCAGTGAGCTGAGATCGCACTATTGCACTCCAGCCTGAGCGACAAGAGCAAGACTTCATCTAAAAAAAAAAAAAAAAAAAAAGAATTGCTACAATAGCCACAACTTTTATGTAGTTTACTATTAAATTAATTTTGAATTTTGGATATATTTATATTATACACAACAAAGCACAAATAATGGAGTGTGCTTCTGCTGTTAGCTTCCAATTATCATAAGGATGCTGGAGGACTTATTTGAAAAGACAGATTAGTACACAGATTTGTGTATGTTCCTATTTGTTCCAAACATAGTTATAGATGTGGATACAGATACAGATATATAGACATAGGGTATATTTATTATTATTTATTTATGTTTTGAGACAGGGTCTCCCTCTGTCGCCCAGCCTAGAGTGTAGTGGTGCAATTACAGCCTCAACCTCCTTGGTCTCAAGCGACTCTCCTGTCTCAGCCTTCCGTGTAGCTGGGACCACAGGCATGCTCCACCATGCTGGGCTAATTTTTTTTATTTTTTCTAGTGACAAGGTCTCACTTTGTTACCAGCCCAAGCTGGTCTCCAACTCCTGGGCTCAAATGACCCTTCCCCTTGGCTTCTCAAAGTGCTGGGGTTACAAGGTGCGAGCCACCATGCCCAGTGACATAGGGTATTTTATTTTACTGCTCTGCAGTATTTTGCTAATCTTCTCTTTCTCATGAATCTTCCTCATAGACATTATTGCCTATAGTTGGAATGATTATTTCTTTGCATCTCTCTGTCTACAGTTTCTCAAAGTTTACTTTGTCAACTCCATCTCCAAAGGTGTTTGACTTCTTTTTAGGAAATATTCCATTTATGACTATTACCTGTAAATTAACTCCTCTTTCTTTCTTTTGCTCTCTGTCTCTCTTGGCTCTAATGAAATTGTAAGGAGCCTACACTGTGAGAGTGTAGTAAGTGTCCAAACACCCAAGAATTATATACACTACTCAAAACCCTAGAGTCTAACTTATACTCTTAAAAACTTGTATGGATTGAAGATCCTGGATTTTTATTACTTACCTGTTTCATATTTACATTTGTAGGCTACTTGTGAGGACGTATACTATTAATTATTGTTTTTTAAGATGAAAAAACAAAGTTAGGACTTATTCTATTTCCTTCTGTGCATACTAGGACTCCATTATTGGTAATACTTCCTCCAGTCCTTAAAAAACAGGAAAATTGGAAATTCACTGGATATGATTTTTGTTGCTGCTGTTGTTGTTGTTTCAGACAGAGTCTCACTCTGTTGCTCAGGCTGGAGTGCAGTGGCATGATCTCGGCTCACTGCAACCTCCACCTCCCGGGTTCAAGAGATCCTCCCACCTCAGCCTCCTGAATAGGTGGGACTACAGGCGTGCACCGCCACGCCCAGGTACTTTTTGTATTTTTAATAGAGATGGGGTTTCGCCATGTTGGCCAGGCTGGTCTCAAACTCCTGGCCTCAAGTGATCCACCTGCCTCGGCCTCCCGAAGTGCTGAGATTACAGGTGCACGCCACCATGCCTGGCTGCACTGGATGTTTTTATACAGAGTGTTAAAGAAACAAGTTCAAGAAAAATGGCAATGGTTTGTTTTTATTTTAATAATTAAAATCCTATTGCCAAAACTGTCATTAGATGTTTCAGTTTCTAAACATATCTTATTAAACAATTCAATTCATAATCTCCAAATATTATACAAAGCATAGCCCTAGGGTTTTGAAAAAGAAAGATAGAATAAGACTCACTTCTTTCTCTCAAGAAGATTGGAGTCCAAAAAAGAGAAGATACACACATAATAAAGGAAAATTCATTCACCTTAGAAAAATCAAGTGGAAGAGAATAATAGCAATAGGGATTGTATTTTATATAGTATATATGATCATATTTATAAAACTCAAGTAACTTATTTCTTCAAGGCTTTGTTCAAAGGAGGCCTACACTGACCACTCTAATTACAAGCTTCAACCCACTCATCTCTGTTATTCTGCCTTACCTTTTATTCTATTCAGTAGCACTTGCTGCCTTCTAATATACTTTATAATTTGGTTATGTATTATGCTTATTGTTTATTGTCTCCATCTGCTAAAATGCAAGCTCCACTAGGGTAGAAGTTTTTCACTTTTTCACTGATACAACCCAAGAGCCTATGATACTATCTACAGATTGTAGGTGTACAAAAAAATTTTTGTTGAACAATTAAATGAGTAAATGTTCTGTGATTTGGATTAGATGTTGTGTGTATGTGGGGGGGGGCATATATATTATACATATGTTATATATGAATATATTGTATGATTTTTAAATATATCATATATCTAATATATAAGACTGAGAGCAATATTGGAAGACTAAAAATGAAATGTAAGTATTTTAAGACAATTAAAGTCCCAAACTTTTATATATTTGGTGGAATCACATACTCATCAGATTTACCAACATTGAAATGAAGGAAAAAATGTTAAGGGCAGCCAGAGAGAAAGGTCAGGTTACCTACAAAAGGAAGCCTATCAGACTAACAGTGGATCTCTCTGCAGAAACCCTACAAGCCGGAAGAGGGTGGGGGTCAATATTCAACATTCTTAGAGAAAAGAATTTTCAACCCAGAATTTCATATCCAGCCAAACTAAGCTTCATAAGCGAAGGAGAAATAAAATCCTTTACAGACAAGCAAATGCTTTTGTCACCACCAGGCCTGCCTTACAAGAGCTCCTGAAGGAAGCACTAAATATGGAAAGGAAAAACCAGTACCAGACACTGCAAAAACATACCAAATATAAAGACCAACCACACTATGAATAAACTGCATCAACTAACGTGCAAAATAACCAGGTAGAATCACGATGACAGGATCAAATTCACACATAACAATATCAACCTTAAATGTAAATGGACTAAATGCCCCAATTAAAAGACACAGACTGGCAAGTTGGATAAAGAGTCAAGACCCATCAGTGTGCTGTATTCAGGAGATCCGTTTCATGTGCAGAGAAACACATAGACTCAAAATAAAGGGATGGAGGACTATTTACCAAGCAAATGGAAAGCAACAGAAAGCAGGGGTTGCAATGCTAGTCTCTGATAAAACAGACTTTAAACCAGCAAAGCTCAAAAAAGACAAAAAGGGGCATTACATAATGGTAAAGGGAACAATGCAGCAAGAAGAGCTAACTATCCTAAATATACATGCACCCAATACAGGAGCACCCAGATTCATAAAACAAGTTCTTAGAGACCTACAAAGAGACTGAGACTCCCAGACAATAATAGTAGGAGATTTTAACACCCCACTGTCAATATTAGACATATCAACGAGACAGAAAATTAACAAGGATATTCATGACTCAAACTCAGCACTGGACCAAGCAGACCTAATAGACATCTACAGAACTTTCCACCCCAAATCAACAGGATATACATTCTTCTCAGCACCACTTACCACTTACTCTAAAATCAATCACATAATTGGAAGTAAAACACTCCTCAGCAAATGCAAAAGAATGGAAATCATAACAAAAAGCCTCTCAGACAATCAAATTAGAGCTGAGGATTAAGAAACACACAAAACCACACAACTAAATGGAAACTGAACAACCTGCTCCTGAATGACTACTGGGTAAATAACGAAATTAAGGCAGAAATGAATAAGTTATTTGAAACCAATGAGAACAAAGACACAATGTACCAGAATCTCTGGGACACACCTAAAGCAGTGTTAAGAGGGAAATTTATAGCACTAAATGCCGTCATCAGAAAGTGGGAAAGATCTAAAATCAACAAACTAACATCACAATTAACAGAACTAGAGAAGCAAGAGCAAACAAAGTCAAAAGCTAGCAGAAGACAAGAAATAACTAAGATCAGAGCACGACTGAAGGAGATAGAGACATGAAAGCCCTTCAAAAAATAAATGAATCCAGAGGGTGGTTTTTTGAAAAGATTAACAAAATAGATAGAGTGCTAACCAGACTAATAAAGAAGAAAAGAGAGAAGAATCAAATAGACACAATAAAAAATGATAAAGGGGATATCACCACTGATTCCACAGAAATACAAACTACCATCAGAGAATACTATAAACACCTCTACGCAAGTAAACTAGAAAATCTAGAAGAAATGGATAAATTTCTGGACACATACACCCTTTCAAGACTAAACCAGGAAAAAGTCGAATCCCTGAATAGACCAAACATTGAGGCAGTAATTAATAGCCTACCAACCAACAAATGCCCAGGACCAGACAGATTCACAGCCAAATTCTACCAAAAGTACAAATAGGAGCTGGTACCATTCCTTCTGAAACTATTTCAAACAATAGAAAAAAAGGGACTCCTCCCTAAACCATTTTATGAGGCCAGCATCATCCTGATATAAAAACCTGGCAGAGACACAACAGAAAAAGAAACTTTCAGGCCAATACCCCTGATGAACATTGATGCGAAAATCCTCAGAAAATACTGGCAAACAGGAGTCAGCAACACATCAAAAGCTTATCCACCACAATTAAGTCGGCTTCAACCCTGGGATGCAAGGCTGGTTCAACATATGCAAATCAATAAACATAATCCACCACATAAACAGAACCAATGACAAAAACCACATGATTATCTCAATAGATGCAGAAAATGCTTTTGAAAAATTCAACACCCCTTCAGGCTAAAAACTCTTAATAAACTAGGTATTGATGGCACATATCTCAAAATAATAAGAGCTATTTATGACAAACCCATAACCAATACCATACTAAATGGGCAAAAGCTGGAAGCATTTCCTGTAAAAACTGGCACAAGAGAAGGATGCCCTCTCTCACCACTCCTATTCACCATAGTATTGGCAGTTCTGGCAGGGTAATGAGCCGAGAGAAAGAAATAAAGAGTATTCAAATAGGAAGAGAGAAAATGAAATTGTCTCTGTTTGCAGATGACATGATTGTATGATTGTATATCTAGAAAACCCCATCATCTCAGCCCAAAAATGTCTTAAGCTGATAAGTAACTTCAGTGAAGTCTCAGGATACAAAGCAATGTGCAAAAATCACAAGCATTCATATACACCAATAATAGGCAAACAGAGAATCAAATCGTAAGTGAACTCCCATTCACAATTGCTACAAAGAAAATAAAATACCTAGGAATACAACCTACAAGGGAAGTGAAGGACCTTTTCAAGGAGAACTACAAACCACTGCTCAAGGAAATAAGACAGGACACAAATGGAAAAAAATTTCATGCTTATGGATAGGAAGAATCAATATTGTGAAAATGGCCACACTGCCCAAAGTAATTTATAGATCCAATGCTATTCCCACCAAGCTACTATTGACTTTCTTCACAGAATTAGAAAAAACTACTTTAAATTTCATATGGAACCAAAAAAGGAGCCCATATAGCCAAGACAATCCTAAGCAAAAAGAACAAAGCTGGAGGCATCAGACTACCTGACTTCAAACTATCCTACAAGGCTACAGTAATCAAGACAGCATGGTACTGGTACCAAAATAGATATATAGACCAATGGCACAGAACAGAGGCCTCAGAAATAACGCCACACATCTACAACCATCTGATCTTTAACAAACCTGACAAAAACAAGCAATGGGGAAAGGATTCCCTATTTAATAAGTGGTGTTGGGAAAACTGGCTAGCCATATGCAGAAAACTGAAACTGGACCCCCCATCCTTACACCTTATACAAAAATTAACTCAAGATGAATTAAAGACCTAAACATAAGATTAAAACCACAAAAACCCTAGAAGAAAACCTAAGTAATACCATTCAGGACATAGGCATGGGCAAAGACTTCATGACTAAAATATCAAAAGCAATTGCAACGAAAGCCAAAACTGACAAATGGGATCTAATTAAACTAAAGAGCTTCTGCACTGCAAGAGTAACTATCATCAGAGTGAACAGGCAACCTACAGAATGGGAGAAAATTTTTGCAATCTATCCATCTGACAAAGGTCTAATATCTAGAATCTACAAGGAAAGAAAACAAATTTACAAGAAAAAAACAAACAACCCCATCAAAAAGTGGATGAAGGATATGAACAGACACTTGTCAAAAGAAGACATTTATGCAGCCAACGAACATGAAAAAAAGCTCATCATCACTGGTCATTAGAGAAATGCAAATCAAAACCACAATGAGATACCATCTCATGCCAGTTAGAATGGTGATTATTAACAAGTCTGGAAGCAGTAGATGCTGGCGAGGATGTGGAGAAATAGGAATGCTTGTACACTGTTGGTGGGAGTGTAAATTAGTTCAACCATTGCAGAAAACAGTGTGGCAATTCCTCAAGGATCTATAACTAGAAATACCATTTGACCCAGCAATCCCATTACAGAGTATATACCCAAAGGATTATAAATCATTCTATTATAAAGACACATGCACACATATGTTTATTGCAGTACTATTTACAACAGCAAAGACTTGGAACCAACCCAAATGCCCATCAATGATAGACTGGATAAAAAAAATGTGGCTAGTATACACCATGGAATACTATGCAGCCATAAAAAAGAATGAGTTCATTTCCTTTGCAGGGACATAAATGAAGCTGGAAACCATCATTCTCAGCAAACTACCACAGGGACAGAAAACCAAATACCACATATTCTCAGTCATAAGTGGGAGTTGAACAATGAGAACACATGGACATAGGGAGGGGAACATCACACACTGGAGCCCATTGGGGAATGGGGGGCAAGGAGAGGGATAGCATTAGGAGAAATACCTAATGCATGCAAGGCTTAAAACCTAGGTGATGGGTTGATGGGTGCAGCAAACCACCATAGCACATGTATACCTATGTAACAAACCTGCACCTTCTGCACATGTATCCCAGAACTTAAAGTATAATGATAAAAAAAACTGCATGTAATTTTCACTCCCCCAAAATTTAACTATTTATAGCCTACCGTTGACTGCAAGCCTTACTGATAACATAAACAGTTGATTAACATATATTTATTACATGCTGGAATCTTACAATAAAGCTACACAAAAGAAAATTCTATTTAAAAAATCATAAGAGAAAATATATTTACTATTCATTAAGTAGAAGTGGACCATCATAAAGGTCTTCATCCTTGTTGTCTTCACATTGAGTAGGCTGGAAGGTGGAGGAAGAGGAAGGGTTGGTCTTGCTGTCTCAGATGGCAGAGGTAGAACAGGTTGAGGTGGTTAGAAGGCGAGACAGTAGAAGCAGGCAGATTTATTGAAAAAAGTCTGTATAGAAGTGGACCCATGCAGTTCAAAGTCTTGCTGTTCAATGGTCAACTGTATTCCCAACCTGAATAGCCTCATCATCTTTGAATTAAGGCTCTATAAGCAGACAGTATATTGTTGATTCTTGGGTGTTTTTTGGGTTTTTTTTTTTTTCCGTTTTGGTTGATTTTGAATTTTTTTTTGTAAAGGAAAGCTATTTAAAAATAATCCTTGTGGCCGGGGACGATGGCTCACGCCTGTAATCCCAGCACTTTGGGAGGCCGAGGCAGGTGGATCATGATGTCAGGGGTTCAAGACCAGCATGAGCAACATGGTGAAACCCTGTCTCTACTAAAAATACAAAAATTAGCCAGGCGTGGTGGCACATGCCTGTAATCCCAGCTACTCAGGAGGCTGAGGCAGGAGAATCGCTTGAACCTGGGAGGCAGAGTTTGCAGTGAGCAGAGATCGTGCCACTGCACTCCAGCCTGGGTAACAGAGCGAGACTCCATCTCAAAAAATAATAATAATAATAATAATAATCCTTGTTAGTATAGTTACTATGACCAAATACAGAGATAGTATAGGGATTGTTAAATGTTAAGGTGCTTAAAAATCCACTGAGGACCTTATTTCAAATGCAGCTCCCCAGGCACTGCTCCCAGGAAATCTTAGTATGTCTGAAGTGAAGCCCAGAAATATAAATTACTCACAAGTTCCCTAAATGATTTGAGTGAAACGTTGAGAAAACATAAATCTGAGACCAAATATGCTGGATTCATATTAGTTTTATCTAATTTGATTAAGTAAATTATAATTTTTAGTTGATGTAGCTCAAACTTCTCAGTATATATATTTATTTTGCTAGGCATAATACACTTATTTGGAGGTAAATTATTTTTATATCATGATGTAATGGAAAGAGCATGGGAGCCTGTAGGAGCTTGGTTCAAATCTCAGTTCTGTTGCTTAATTAACTGAATAATTTTGGGAAAATTACTTTATCTTGTTAAGCCTTACTTTTTCTGTTTTAAATGAATAATAGCACCTAACCCCTTATGGAGGGTTAAAAGAATTAGCAGATGTAAAGTAATTAATTCAATATCTAATGCAGTAAAGTACCGAAAAAAAATCCAAATGGGCTATAAGAATTCTGCTGTACGAAGTGTTTCACTGAATACTCCTACTTTGACTTACTTGCATTTAGAACTATTTTGTATCTTAGGTGTTTCAGCTGGGACACTACTTTGCTATGTGATAGTGCCAGTTATTTACCTATTTGCTCTCTGATCCATTTGCCTTCTCTCCCATCTCTTCTCTGTACCATAGGAAGCTAAACCCTGGGAATGTTTTCCCAAATTCCATTCCCAACTTGCTTCTGGGTAATTTTAGACAATAGGAGGCACCGAGGGAAGATAGAAAGGTGAGAAGAGAAGATAAAGGGAGGTGACCATTCCAGTAGGATCTCTTCTGGATTCCAGCTGTTGAGGCTGCTGGCCTAGGCTTTGGTAAAAACACCTTTTCCCATTGTCCCTCCAGTGCTGGGTTAAGAATAGCTTTCTGCAGTTGCAGATCTTAAAGTTGCCTCACCTTCCCCTGTGTGTGCTTTCCATTTTAATAGAATGTAATGTTTTTGGAATAAATGGTTTTTGTTTGGGGACTCAGATGTGCATTAAAAATTTACAGAAATCCTTTAATAGTAATTGAAGTTTCAAGTTAGGTTTTATTCTAAGAAAGGGTTTTCAGAAACAAATTACTCTGTTAAGGAAAAGAAAGTCTATAGACAGTAAAAGCCAGAAAATGTTAGTTTCTTCCTTTTCTCCAAAAGAAAAAATTTGGCCCAGAATCTCTTCATCCACCAAAATCAAACTATCTTTGTCTTTCCATTGCATGAGATACAGTATTTTTTGTTTTAATATAGAGATGAAAACTACACTAAAAAAATTTAAACTTCATATTATATGACCTTTTAAGAATATGTGGAGAAGTTTGAAGAAGATTGAATAGAGAGCCAGGAAATAAATCCATGTGTTTATGGCAAATTGATCTTCAACAAAGCTACCAAGAACACAATGGGGAAAGGATAGTCTCCAACATATGGTGTTGGGAAAACTAAATATCCACATACAGAAGAACGAAATTGGACCCTTATCTCACACCATATGCAACAATCAACTCAAAATAAATTAAAGATTTTAATGTAAGACCTGAAACTGTAAAACTACTAGCTAAAAACCTAGGGAAAAGGCTTCTTGACATCCCTCTAGGCAATGATTTTTTGGCTATAACCCCAACAGCACAGGCAACAAAAGCAAAAATAGGCAAATTGGATTACATCAAACTAAAATGTTTCTGCATAGCAAAGGAAGAAATCAACAGAGTGAAGAGACAACATTCAGAATGGGAGAAAATACTTGCACACTGCATATCTGATAAGGAGACAATGTCCAACATACATAAAAAAGCTCAAACAACTCACTAGCAAGAAAACAAATAAAATCCAATTTACAAATGAGCAAAGAACCTGAATACATATTTCTAAAAAGAAGATACAGAAATGGCTAAGAGGTATATAAAACAAATATTCAGCATCACTAATCATCAGGGATATGCATATTCAAACCACAATATGATATCGTCTCACACTTGTAAGAATAGCTATTATCAAAAAGATGAAAGATAACAAGATGTAGAGAAAAGAGAACCCTTGTACACTGTTGGTAGTAATGTAAATTAGTACAGTCATCATGGAAAACAGTATGGAGTTCCTCAAAAAATTAAAAATAAAACCCCCATGAGATCTAGCAATTCCTACTTCTGGGTAAATATGTAAAGGAAATGAAATCAGTCTATCAAAAACATAGCTGCGCTCCCATGTTCGTTGCAGCATTAGTCACAATAGCCAAGATATATGGAATCAATCAAAGTGTCCATCAATGGATGAATAAATAAGGAAAATGTGGCTTATATACACATGAAATATTATTCTGCCTTCGAAAAAAAGGAAATTCTGTCATTTGCAACAACCTGGATAAAACTGGACATTACGTTAAGTGAACTAAGCCAGGCAGAGAAAGACAAACACTTCATGATCTCACTTATATGTGGACCCTCTAAAAAGTTGAATTCAAAGAAGCAGAGAGTAGAATAGTGGTTACCAGGGCCTGGAGATGAGGGGATGGATGGGAAGAAGTTATTTAAAGGATACAAGTTTCAGTTAGACAGTATGAATAAATTCTGGAGCTCTATTGCACAGCATGGTGACTATAGTTAATAAAAATGTATCGTGTCCTTGAAAACTGCTAAGAGTAGATTTTAAATTTCACCACGTACACACAAAAAAGAATAACTATGTGAGGTGATGGTGATGGATACGTTAATTAGCTTGATTGTGGTATTCATTTCACAATGTATGCGTCTATCAAAACATGTATACCAGAAATATGCACAATTTTTATTTGTGAATTATACCTCAAAAAAGCTGAAGAAACATCTATGTGCAAAGGGAACATAAAATTGAGAAGATATTTCATCATAATGTTAGCATAAGTTAATTAGATTATGCTGACTTTTTCCAAATTGTACCATCTGTACAATGTTGTCAAAAATTTTAAACTCACTTTCTGGCTACTGGAATTAGCACCTCGACTGTATTTTTGGACTATGGCCAAATCTGCTATCTACAGGATTGCTTTACCTTGTGATAGCCAACCATTTACAATTTTATCCTCACTTGAACCCACTGTTAGCTGAAATTGCTACTACAGAGGTTTGAGATGAAATTTCTAATACTTCAGGACATTGTGGAAAGTAACCCAACACATTCAAGAAGTATATTGCTTCCTGTGGAATTGATCTGCAAGAAAAAAAAAAAAAACTACATTCCATACTAAAATTTCTGATAAATTTTTCATAATTTGTCACTAATAAAAAAATCAAAAATACATTGTTTGTACTACCCTAAAAGCTTAAAATCCATAAATTTACATCTATTACTTTATGAAGTATGTATTATTATCTTCATTTTTTTTTTTTTTTTTTTTTGAGACAGAGTCTCGCTCTGTCGCCCAGGCTGGAGTCCAGGGGCGCGATCTTGGCTCACTGCAAGCTCTGCATCCCGGGTTCACGCCATTCTCCTGCCTCAGCCTCCCAAGTAGCTGGGACTACAGGCACCCGCCACCATGCCCGGCTAATTTTTTTTCTATTTTTAGTAGAGACAGGGTTTCACCATGTTAGCCAGGATGGTCTCGATCTCCTGACTTCATGATCCGCCCACCTCAGCCTCCCAAAGTGCTGTGATTACAGGCGTGAGCCACTGCGCGCGGCCTATTATCTTCATTTTTAAATGAGGAACTAGCTTAGATAATTTCATTAACTTGTCCATTGCACTATTTGTAAAGGGAGGAGTAAAGATTCAAACCCAGATATCTGAAATGATTCCAAATCCCTTGCTTACCACAACTATATGGTTTCTGGGATGGCAAATGCCCTTAATTTAAGATAATACTTTAGCACTGCCCAAATCAATATCATCCAGTACCATACTTGGATCGCCAGTGTATTAACTAAGGTGAAACTCCAGTCTCCCTTGATTTATGAGTTTGACCTATTGATTTATGTAAGAGCCCAGAGGTTTCCTAAAGAAAAAGGTTTTGACTACTCAAGAGTTCAAGCACTAAAAAACATATGTTTGAAACACAAGATACTACTACATGCCTATTAGAATGGCAAAAATCCAAAACACTAACAATACCAAATGTTGGAGGGGATGTGGAACAAGAGGAAGTGTCATTTATTTCTGGTGGGAATGCAAAATGGTACAGCTACTTTGCCACACAGTTTGACAGTTTTTTTAAATAAAACCACACATACTCTTACTGTATCAATCCAGCTATCATGACCTTGGTTTTTATCCAAAGGAATTGAAAATTTATGTCCCCACAAAAATCTACACACGGATATTTATGGCCGCTTTATTCATAATTGCTAAAACCTGAGAGCAACCAAAATGCCCTTCAGTAGGTAAATGGATTAACCATGATACACTCTATACAATGGAATATTATTCGGTGCTAAGAAGAAATGAAAAGCCATGAAAAACCCTGAAAAAAATGCAGAGGAAATTTAAATGCACATTATTAAGTGCCAGTCTGAAAAGGTTACATATTGTATGATTGCAGCTCTATAACACTCTGGAAAAGGCAAAACTATGGAGATAATTAAAAAGGTTAGTGATTGACAGGGGTTAGAGGAGAGAGGGATGAATAGGCAGAGCACGGAGGATTTTTAGGACAATGAAACATTTCATAAGGTACTAAAATGTTTGGTGTGTGTCATTTTACATTGTCAAAACTCATAGAATGTACAACACCAAGAGTGAACTATAGACCCGGCATGGTGGCTCATGCCTATAATCCCAGCTCTTTGGAAGGCCAAGGGTGGCAGATTGCTTGAGCCCAGGAGTTCAAGACCAGCCTGGGCAACATGGCCAAGCCCCATCTCTACAGAAAACACAAAAATTAGCCAGGCAAGGTGGTGTGTGCCTGTAGTCCCAGCTACTCAGGACACTGAGGTGGGAGGATCAATTGAGCCCAGGAGGTCGAGGCTGCAGTGAACAATGAGGGCAACACTGCACTCCAGCCTGGGTGACAGAGCAAGACCCTGTCTTTAAAAAAAAAAAAAAAAAAAGAGTAAATTATGGACTCTGGGTGATAATGATGTGTCATTGTAGGTTCATTGCCTATAACAAATGTACCACTCTGGTGTGGGATGTTGATAGTTGGGGAGGCTTTTCATGTGTGAGTACAGGCGTTATATGGGAAATCTCTGTACTTTCTGCTCAATTTTGCTGTGAACCTAAAACATCTCAAAAAAGTAAATCTATTTAAAAAGAAAGAGAGGGAGAGAGAGATGTACTGAGGAAGCCAAATCAAAAGGAAGGAGAAATTTGAAGCTCCAGCTTTGCTTTTGAAGTAGAAACACACAGATTAAATTTACATTGATAGGAACAGGAGGAAATTAACACTGGTTTTAAAATAAAAACCTCCTCACATAGAACTCTCTGTACTTCTTTTGCAACTTTTCTGTAAGCCCAAAATTAATTCAAAATAAAAAGTTTTTTAAAAGCTACAATATGCTAGGCAATGTGTGTAATAACCCTATGGTATAAATATTATTCTCATTTTCAAAGACAGAAATGGAGGCCTGGGATGGCTAAGTAGCATGTAGAAGGCCTGCTAGAAAATGGCTGGGCTAGAATTCTAAATATTATGTCCCCGCTACAAAGCTCCTCCGTTCTTCACTAGATCACACTGAGTCCTAATGGCAGCATTACAGATAGGGCACAAGTGTGGGAGCCGAGGAAAGCAATAGTGGAATTTATTTTCACACTTGCCTCTTTTTCACTCAGATGGCTGATCAATAGAAGTAAAAAGTATTTATAGAATTTCATGCTTTATTGAGCAGACATTAACATATGATCACGCCTTGAATCGCAGAAAGCATATCATGGCATTTTAAATGATTGAAAAACAAGATGTTCTCTAAAGATAAAACAGATTTATGTTCCTTTTCAATAATATTGAGTCCAAAGACTTGTATATAAAAGATTACAAAATTAACATGAAAATCTTCTACTTATTTTATTTGTAAAGCAAAAGCAGAGTCTTTCATTTTCTTTGACACGTTTTATCTACTTATACAGAAATAGGGTATACATTAAGCCTCTTCATTGAAATGTGCCCAATTTGAAGAGCATCTTTGCTGGCAACCATTAATTGTGAACACTCCTCCTTCAGTATGACAAATGGCACCTTTGACCTATTCCAGTATTTGTTCTCCTTACCCCTATATTCATTCCTAGGTCTGTAAAACTTAAATTTATTGATTCAAATACTATTCAATGAGCACCGACTGAATGCCAAACATCGTGCTCTCATATTTCTTAAAATAACCATGAGGTACTTCCTGTCTCTGATGTTTGAATGATGTCAAGACCGCTCTGAATTTGTAGATGTTCGTAATAAAGTAGATCCAAGAAAAGGATTCAGCAAAAGAGGCTCTCCCAAGATTTGTGAACGTTAAAAAGATTGGTGATGAATATTTCAAAAAAATCTGCTTTATTTTAGCAGCAACTTCATAACAGTAGAGTCAATTGTCCCTGAAGTCACAGTGGGTCACTTGCAGAATACTACAGTAATTGGAGACAGCATACATTCTTGTGAGGAGGAATATTCCCTGGGAGGCTCTGGAGCCTGTTTCAGCATTTGGTATAACAGCCAACATTGGTGAAAGTGCCTTATGCGATGTGGATGTTAAAAAAATCAGTCATTAGTCAGGGTTGGTGGCACATGCCTATGGTCTCAGCTACCTGGGAGGCTGAAGTGGGAGAATCACTTAAGCCTGGGGAGGTCAAGGCTGCAATGAGCAGGGAGGGGCCACTACACTCCAGCCTTAGGAACAGATTCTGTCTCAAAAAAAAAAAAAAGAAAAGAAAAAAGAAAAAATAAAGGTCAGAATTTTATAGCTGAAAGGGACTTTTGAGATCAAAGTAGCTGATTATTATGAACATTTTCCCTCCTGAAAACACAGTGAAAGGAAACATTAGCAAAATGAATTTTCACACATTTAGTACCATCAGAATTTTAAAATCTGCTTCTTGGGGCATAAAGCAGTAGTTTTGGGGATACTCCTAAAATTCAAAACATGATGCCTCTTCATTTTATTGCCTGTTGACTGGAATATAGTTGTGCAGGTCTGATATCGCTCTCTACAATTTTAGATGAGTTCATTAAAATAAGTTATATCGCAGAAGACAGTTGACTTTTTAATCAGTATTATGAATCTCCATCTACCTGAAATCACATTTATTAAAATATCTTTTATTTCACTAATCTTTTATCTCACTAATACTTGAACTCAATGTTCTTCACCAAAAGCCTCATACCACACCAAAGAGAGCTAAATTATTGTTCTAACTCAGCCATAAAAGAGGATCAGAGAATGAGGCATAGAGCTCTGTTGACTTGTGAGTCATGCACGTTTTCAAATGAATGGATAATCAAGAACATCTCTAAGATGCAAGAAGGAAAGGTCAGAGCTTCATTTTAAATGCCCTGAGCCTGAAGACTAAATGTGAAATGTCACAAAATTCATTGCATGTAGTATTTTACCTATTATTTTAGTAACACAAAGGCAACTAATTTCATCTTATGGTTTCTAATACCATGCTGGAAATGATGCATACTAATCAGAGATAACATTTGCCAGCCAGGACTTTAGAGCCAGTTCTGCCTAACTTGATTAGAGGAAGAACTTCCTAAGCAGTCACCATGGCCCCCATCCCCAATCCTGATGGCACTCAGATTGTCCGCTAGAAAACAAATACTTGTTTAAAGGTTTTGAAGCCAGGCACAGTGACTCACACCTGTAATTCCAGCAATATGGAAGGCCAAGGCAGGAGGATCAGTCAAGGCCAGGAGTTCAAGACCAGCCATGGCAATCTAGGGGACCCCATTTCTAAAAAAGATATTGAAAAATTAGCCAGTCTTAGTGATACATGCCTGCAGTCCCAGCTACTTATGAGGCTGAGGTAAGAGGAGTGCTTGAGCCAGGATTTTGAGGCTGCAGTCCGCTGTGATTGTGCCACTGCACTCCAGCCTAGGTGGCACAGCAACATTCTGTCTCTAAAACAAAACAAAACACAATTAAGAAATAAAAAAGGGAAAGTTTTGAGCAGGAGGTGCCTTAAAGTAAGTAAAAGTAATTACATTTTAAGCTGCTAATTCTAAAAACATTTTTTGTTTGTTTGTTTAAGTATATTCTGGCCTTTGGCCTCTAATTAAAAGATGATCTGAGTATTTTCTTTAATACCACCTGCCCTGAGCTAGCTACTGTTCTATCAATTTTATTATTAACTCATTCATACCTAACAACAACCAAATTTGGTAAATATTGTTATTATAATCCCTATTTTACAAATTAGGAAATTGCGCTGTGAGGAATTTAAGTAATCTTCCCAAGCCCGCATAGTTAAGAAATGGCAGAGTAGAGTTTGAACCCAAGAAGTCTGGTTCCAGAGCTGGGACCCATGCACATTACAGGTACAACATATAGTTTATAATATATCATTTATTGTTTGCTCACTGAGGGCCAAATGCTACGCTAAACTCTGTATGTGATAGATGTCATTTTATTCCTATCACCCCCTGAGGTAAATAATGCATTTTACTGATCCTCATCATAGACTGAAAGAGCCCATGTCCTTTGTTCATAGTCACACTGCCAATACGTGACAGAGTTGACACCTATTCCAGGTCTAGCTCTGTCCAAAATTCACAATGTAATAGCTCCATTAAAGAGTTTTTCAGGAAAAGGGCCAAGGAATCCCTTGATAAGGTATGAAAGGACAGGACAAACACCCAAATTTTAGGCTAATTACACTTTTATGATGCTTTCTTAATACATTTTAACAAATAAATAACTCTAGAACAGGAAGGACCTTGAGATGATCTAAGCCCCAGCTGCCTCCTTTTACTGATGAGGACCTGTGGCCCAGAAGGGTTAAAAAAAACTCTGAAAATCACAGAGATGCAAGGACAGAACCACCCTCCACTCAAGCTCTGTTCCAGAATTCTATGCCACTTTCTTCAGAATGCTGCATCTCAATTCATAGCAATTTATACTATAAGTGGATGCAAGTGTATCTATTTCTAAGATACTTTTGTTATCCCCTGTAGAACTCGGCAAATCTCTCTTTGCTAAAATTGTCTTTTTTAGCTGTATCATGATTGCTTAAAGGCCACTTTATCCATGCTTATTGAAACACTTTCAATAATTGGACACAAATATTTGTTTACATTGTTTCCTGCTTGCTAATTTATCCTCCTGCATTTCTTTAAAAGCATTCATTTGCAATCTTAGTCCTCTTTAAAGACATTGTTTTATTTGAAAAAAAAAGATACTATCCTTAAACAAAGGCATATATTAATAAATCTTCCATGCTTTTTGTGATTTTTAATTCAATCCAAAGAAGAAAAGCACTTTTAACTTCAGACAATTGTCCTTTTTTTTCCATTTATTGTGTGGCCCAAATTTATTTCTGTGCCAGTTCTGAGTATACCTGAGTCTCTACTTCCTCTGTGTATCCTTTGTGATTCTGAGCTTGTTGGCTCCCTATTCCAAATCCTTTCTGGGCCATCTGCCATGTTCTTCTGTACCTTGACCCAGGGTTCTTGACTAGGTGGGGATAGTAGGTATGGGAAGCCACCTGTTCCTTTTCTCTGTGTGGAGATGTTTCTAATCCTTTGGCAGTAAACAGAGACAGCAAACAACAGCAGCACATCTACCCTAACTGTGCAAAGGCAGATAAATCTCCCAGCTCAACTGCCTGATCACTCACCTGATTTTCTTTCTTAAGATGTAAGTATGTGGTCCCATGCTCCTTCATGGGCAGCTTGCTTTGTTATGACAATGGAGTTTAGGATTATAGCCTGGGAAGGCAGAGTTTGTGCCTAGATAGTATTGCACCAACTGATTTCTCAGACATTAAACTGACAGAGAGACTATTTAGGATTCAGATCCTAGAGAGAAGGACTGAGGTTGGGAAAGAGGGAAGATGGATAAACAAGAGGAATTTCTCAGGGCAAGGGTTGTAGTTATGAAGGATTCCAGAGGTTTTGTGGACAGATAATGGTAGACATGTTAGGGATGGAAAGTATCTGAGTTACCGGGGGGCGAATCCATACTGGTCTGCAGCAACCTCAGTTCTTGCCTTCTCAGAAGAATTTGACTGAGGGGCATAAGGCAGAAAAAGAGACCAAGGCAAGTTTCAGAGCAGGAGTAGAAGTGTATTAAAAAGCTTTAGAGCAGGAAAGAAAGGAAGGTACACTTGGAAGAGACCCAAGTGGGCACTATGAAGGTCAAGTGTGACGTTTAACCTTGATCCTAGGACTTTATACTCTGGCCCACTCCTCACATTTTGCGCCTCTTTCCCATGATTCTTCCCTTAGAGTGGGCTGCCCGCATGCGCAGTGCCCTCCTTAGCTTGGGAGGTGAGACTGCCAGTGTGTTCAGGAAGTTGTACTCAGGCCCATCTGAGGCTTTCTTCCCTTTTCCAGTAGAGTGGCCCCGGAAGGTCATACTCCTCCATTTTGTCTCTTAATGGGCATGCCTGGGCTCACTCGCCCAATATCTGACATTTTATTGGATGCCCTTTTTGCTTCTCCCTGGCACCTGCATTCAATTTGCTTCTCCCAGGCACCTCCCTGGTTACCTGCTGTAACAGCTGTGGACCATCAGGAGATTGTCTCTCCCTGGCGCCGGCTGCTGAGTTATCATGTTTAGGGAGGCAATGTGGTAACTGAGAAACCATCACCAATGATTGCCTGACATTCCTGGTGGGTGGGGGAAGAGCCCTCTTCTGCCCTGCTCATGCCTGGCTAACTAACGGTAACAGACAGAAAAGGAAAGAAATGAAGGTGTGATTGCTTAAGAAGGGGCAGAGTGAGGATGGAGAGCATCGAGTCTCTCTCTGAGGCTGATGAAAATGAAGATCCTAGCTGCTTCTGTGTTCAGGATGTACCTGGAAGGCTGACTGGACCCCCTCAGTGTCTCCCACAAGCAGGCGGCGGCCTCAGTGGCCACTTCTCCTTGGGCCTCCAATACACCAGCAACCAGAGAGCAGAGTTGGAGAGTGTGAGAGAGTGGAGAGTGTGAAAAAACCTTTGGCTTTTTTTTTTTTCTGAGTCGGTTTCTTGCTCTGTCACCCAGGCTGGAGTGCAATGGCGTGATCTCGGCTCACTGCAATCTCTGCCTCCTGGGTTCAAGCGATTCTCCTGCCTCCTGCCTCAGCCTCCTGAGTAGCTGGGATTACAGGCACCACACCCAGCTAATTTTTGTATTTTTAGTAGAGATGGGGTTTCACCATGTGGTCAGGCTGGTCTCGAACTCGTGACCTCAGATGATCCACCAGCCTCGGCCTCCCAAAGTGCTGGGATTAGAGGCATGCGCCACCTCACCCGGCCCCCTTTGGCATTTTCTAAGTGAACTTAGACTTGGAAGACTCTGTGTTTTCCGTACGTCTCTGACTGCCTGACGGGGGATGGGCAGGGCTGTCAATCAGATGGCATTTGTCAGAGTCACAAATTACCAGCAAAGCGCCTCACAAGAAAAGCCTCGTGTTCCCTCTGCAGAGGTGTCCCCATTTAGGAAACGTGAACTGAAGTAACCTTGCAAGATAAAGTTCTCACATATCACAGATACTTGATCATTTTCTTCTTTTTAAAACTTCAGAGAATTTTTTTCTCCTTCTTCACATGTTCTTGCCTATTACTAAGGAATTGAGACTTTTGAAATGTCATTGTCAGCATTTTCAGGCTATGATTTTCCTGTCTCATTAACAAAGGCCTCTTGTACTTTCTCTCCCTGCTTTCAGAAAGGTGAGAGCGCTTGACTTATTCTTGATGTTCACATGAGGCTTCCAACCTCAACCTCCCACTGCTGACTTTCTGAACTTGACCTTGGGAGGGTCTGGAAGCCGGCTTGTCTGTTTAGACAAGCCAGAGATAAGTGCCCTTTTGTTGTGCTGCTCCTATCAAGAGCACTTACCTACAAACTGGATAATTTCTCCTGCACTCCTAATTTTTATCTTAAAAGCACCTCTCCCTCATCCTTCAGAACTAGCACACCATATTCACCAAATGACCTTTTTGCTTTAGTCTGGAGCTAAAGTATTTGGAAAGAATACCCATCAACTGGAAACTTAGACTAAAACTAATGTCTGGAATATTTAAGGATAGTAAGAGCTCCCTTCCTTGGATAATTGCTGTGTTGAAGTCAAAGAGATGAAAGTTTAATGTATATTATCTCCCTTAATCCTCACAACACCGTGAGGTAGGTAGTCCATTTTACTGACGAAGAACTATGGCCCAAAGACAGTCTTTTGCTTGCAGTGTCACACAGGTACCATGCGAGGGAGTGATTTGAGTATACAACTCTTTGATTCCAAAACTGCAGAACACGTTGATTCTGCCTCAAGTAGAATGTACTTAAATAACATATTAGGACAATTAAAAAGGAGGGGATTTCAGTAGCAAAATGTGTCTTTCCTCACACAGTAATGCCTCCTCTCAGAGGAAAGACATTAAGATATTAATAGGACTGGGTGCAGTGGCTCACACTTGTACTTTCAGCAATTTGGGAGGCCAAGGTGGGAGGATCACCTGGGACCAGGAAGAGTTCAAGACCAGCCTGAGTGACATAGCAAGGTCCCAATTCTGCAAAAAATAAAAAATTAGCCAGGACTGGTGGTGCGTGCCTGTGGTCCTACCTACTCAGGATACTGAGATGGAGGATTGCTTGAGCCCAGGATTTTGAGACTGCAGTGAGCTGTGACTGTGCCACCACACTCCAGCCTGGATGACAGAGCAAGACCCTGTTTCAATAAATAAATAAATAAATAAATAAATAAATAAATAAATAAATAAATAAGAATTGGCAGGATTTCACTATTTGTTGAATGAGACTGTCAGATTTAAGTGCAACATAAAATAGTGTTGGGAACTCAGTTTCTTCATAGATATTATTGGTATTATATCAATATTTCAAAGATGCCAAGAGTCATGGTTACCACAGGTTTCTGTTTAAATTCTAAATACTAACTCTTATCCTGTTAGACTTGGTTTGTATGGAAAATGCAGAAGCTGAAGTAAAGGTTCTCTCTCTTTTTTTTTTTTTTTTCCAGAGACAGGATTTCACCATGTTGCCCAGGCTGGTCTCAAACTCCTGGGCTCCGTGCCCAGCCTGCAGTAAAGCTTTTTACTCCATTTAGGAATGTGTGCTTCCCCTCTTTTCTTTGCCAAATCGCTTGACTTCTAATAACATCTGGGTGAGTATGTTTATTGAGTGTGAGTATGCCACAGAAATAACAGGAGAAATGACAAGTAGGATCTGTCAGTATCTACCATGTACTGGGCACTGTGGCATTTCATATGTTCCCTATTAAATTCCACATCAACCCCGCTAGCTAAGTGATGTTGTCCTTATTTTATGGCCCAAGAAACTGAGACTTAGAGAAGTCAAGTAGCTTCTAATCATCAGAACTTGACTTCAAACCTAGGGGTATCTGTTGTTAATTAAAGAAATGAGGAAGTAAATATAAAATATGGTTCATGAAATATGATGTTAGGTCAGTATTTACACATGATTTTCAGAATGCAAGAGCTATAATATCAGGCAAGATCTTACATACAGTACTTTATTTATTTGGCATAAGGTGGTCATACTTCATTAATTTTTTAAGAGTCCATGACCTTGCTTTCTAATAAAATGCTTTGCTAGTAAAGCTCTGGAGACCCTTGTTTAAACTTTAATTAAACAGTTTACTTGAAACATGAGCATAATACTTTAAGCCTGGCAATGAATATTACAAATTGAAAACACCACCAAATATGTTGTTATAAACCAGGCTGTTTGTTTTGGGGTGCTGTCAACATTTATAAACCACTTGCTGATAAAAAGAAATACTGTTTTACATGACAACATTGAAATATGTGCAATAGAGATTTCCACTCTTGCTGTCTATTGCCAGTAAATGAAAGCCTCTGTTCATTCATGTTGTGCTTGATAGCTATGAAAAAATCATTCCTATCCAAACCTCAAGCACACAGGGACAAAATAATTGCCAGTTTCAAGAACAAAAGAGCAGTTTGAAACCATCTGTTTGATAGTGGACTTGTTATATCAAAGAGTTCCTACTGGACAAATTTCTAAATGAGACAAAGACAGCAGAAGGAGATAGAAAGTATGTATTTTATGTTACTGCGTCATTCCAAAATTTGTCACTAGGATTCTGAAAGTAACAAAAGCTGATTTTCTGTCCCCATTTTTTTTGTGTATGTTCTGTTATAAGAGGAAGCAATTTTACTGTTTCTGTGTTATTTTTAAAAATTCTCCTCAACTATATTATACATGAGTTTAATAATAAACATGGCAAGAGAAAAAGACTCAGGCCTGAAGGCATGAGGTCGGAGTTTTAACTCCAATTCTTCATGAAATTTTAAATGTAAGATATAATTGTGGCCCTCAGATGTCACAAACACTACCATGATACACACTACCCTGGCATCTTCTAGCTTCTTGGACTGTCAAAATTTGTAAGACCTTATGGATTCAGTTCGATTTTTTAAGCCTGTGGATTTTTAAATCAGAGATTCTGTCTGCTAAACTCAGAAAATGATCTGTGAAGCAGTTGAGAAACAGTGATATTTTCCATGGTAGTTCCTCTAGTTATCTTGGATTTCACTTGCTGGGTATCTATACTCTTATTCTTGGCGCACTTGATTCCATGGAGTCTAGCAGATGCAATGAAAGAATTACATTTTTCAGTACAGTCAATTTAGGAAATAAGAAGACCTTGAATTAGCAAGTGGGTTATATACATATATTTTTCAAATAACATCATGCAAAATAAACAGTGAATAATCTCCCTCCCATCCTTGCCCTTATCCACTCAATTTACCTCCTCTGTAAATAGTTTACTTACACGTTGAGTATCTCTTGTCTGAAATGCTTGGGACCAGAAGTGTTTCAGATTTTGGTCTCTATTTTGAGATTTGGGATGCTCAATCCGTATATGCTTTCAAAATTTCTTTATACATAAGCAAGAAAATACAAATATATATTCTTATTTCCCCCTTTTATACAAAAGATAGTATGCAATGCATTGTGTTCTGCACCTTACCTTAGAGATCTTTTCCACATTCAAATGGCCTGAGTATTCTTCTTTGAAGCTTATGTATAATGTTGCATTATATAAGTTACTATAATTTATTTAACCAGTGTTCTGTTGATGGGCATTTAGGTTATTCCCCATCTTTTGCTTTTACAAACATTCTGCAATGAATAATCTTGCATATGTCTTTTGGAGCATGTTCAAATGTAGGTGAATGACATATTACTAGATGTACAATCTCTGGATCAAAGGATTACATTTGTAGTTTAGATGCAATCACCAAGTTGCCCTCCATGGTGCCTGTAACAATGTACACATTGTGTTATCAAACATTCAGATATGTAACAATCTAATAAATGGGAAAATGGTATCAGTTTGGTTTAACTTGCACACCTTTTATGAGTGAATGAAGTTAAGTATATTTCTATATGCTCACAAGCTGCT
Organism: Homo sapiens; assembly: GCF_000001405.40. Lineage (NCBI taxonomy): Eukaryota > Metazoa > Chordata > Mammalia > Primates > Hominidae > Homo > Homo sapiens. The sequence goes on along the minus strand of NC_000004.12, from coordinate 89,169,848 downwards.
TGCTAGTGGGGCACAGTGGTGTGTGCCTGTAGTCCCAGCTACTTGGGAGGCTGAGGTAGGAGAATCTCTTTAAATCTTTTGTCCATTTTTCTGTTGGATTTTTTGTTGTCTTTTTCTTATCTATTTCTAGTTTTGTATATGATAGGAAAATTAACCCTATCTCTAATATGAATTATATATGTTCTTATTTCTTTGAATATTTGGCTTTTGGTTCTGCTTAGGATATTTTGCCGTATGTTTATTTCTATGTAGTTAAGTTTCTGAATTTTTTATTTTATTCTATGTTATAAATAATAGAAAGACTCTTCCTCCAAGACAGCAAAATAATTTTTTCAAATATAGGCACATTTAGTTATATAATAATATATTATTGGTAAAATTATGTACCAGATAACATAAAAGATAAATTTGGGTGTATACCAATACGGAAACAGTTTCCACAGTAAAAACATTAGTATAGTATGTAATATGTATTAAGTAAAATAATGTTCCCAATTTTCCTTCTTTTCAAAATTCAGTTTTCTTCATAATTCAGTATAATGTGAGTAATGTAGTATATATAAATATAAAAGAGAAAACTTTGTGCATAATAACATTCAACAAAAATTTAATAGTTTAGTAATTTATGGTATGGAATAAGAGTGATGTCACCGAAACAAATGTCCTGAGATTCAATTATCACATTTCATAAAAAATAAAATTCAAAAATAAAAAACAATGATAAAGTTATTTAGCACATCATCCTCCCTTTCATCAGATTGGAGTTATTTGCTTCTTTTTAATTTTAGACTTTCTGGTTACATGCATTTTAACAGATTATTACCTTTTAAAGTTATTATTATTATTTTACATGGGCTAGAACTGTTCAAGACAATAGAGAGCATACCTCTCTAGAAGCTACCTATTGGAGTTAGAATTTGCTAACTCCAATAGGTAGCTTGCTAATGTTTGTTTTCTTTGCAAATCTTACACACTCAGAATAGAAGAGCATTGTAGTTTAAATGAATCAAATGTAAAGAGAGGCCCGCCAACTGATTGACAAGACTTATGAGCATTTGAGACATACATACATGGGTCCAGCAGCCCTGGTGTTCACTGCCAGGGACTCTGTATCAGTAAGTGAATCCATTCTCACCGGTCAGTACCCATGCCATACTTGATATTTTGAATATTTCTTCTGCTCACAGGGGAAGAAAGTACTTCGGTAGCCATGGGTCTAGGATGTGGCTTCAGTTTTAAGGATCAAAAACTCAATTTCTCCAGCTCATTAATAGTGAACTCTAGGAAATGGATTTTTTGGTATATAAACTTGCTAGATGTTTATTGTTACTCTAGAAATTAAAATTGTCTATTTACTATAATAATCATACTTACCAAGAAGCCTGGCACAAAGTGATGCAGTCACATTGGAAAAGAGTTTAGCAGTTCCTCAAAAAATTAAACATGAAATTATCCTATGATCCAAGAATTCACTCCTAGGTATATGTCAGAAATAATTAAAATGTATGTAAGTACACACCACAAAACCTGTACACAATTGTTCATCGTATCATTACTTATAATAGCCAAGAGTGGAAAGAACCCAAATGTCCACTGAATGCATCCATAAAGTATGATATAGCCATACAATGAAATATTATTCAGCAACAAAAAGGAATGAAGTACCAATACCTCCTACAGCATGGATGAACTTTGAATACGTTATGCCAAGTGAAAGAGGCCAATTCCAAAAATCCACATAATGTATGATTGCATTTATATGAATGGTCCATGGCAGGCAAATCTATAGAGACTGAAAGTACTGAGTGGTTGCCAGAGGCTGGGGGAAAGATGAATGGGGAGCGATTACTAATAGATAGTGGTGGTGGTTGCACAACTCTGTGAATATCTAAAACCATGGTAGTATGCACTTCTAAAGCATGAATTTTATGGTATTTAATTAATCTGAACCTATTATATAAATATATATTATATATATATAAAATATATATATGAAATAAGACTATTCTCAGTACCAGTTTCTGAAATATTATTAATGGTTCTTCTTTTGGTTCATATTGTCAACTCAGTAATTTATATAAGAAAAAGAATTATTTCCTAAACTAGATAAATTTGGAATTCCCATTAGGCATAGTTCTCCCTAAATTTAGCAGCAGCAGCAATAAGAACATTATGTTATAGGAGAATCCGAAGTTAAACGTGAAGCATGTTCCTGCCTACACTGTATTTGCATTCTGGTCCAAAGGTAATGAGACCTTTTTCATTGACTCAAATATCCTACATTTCTTATCTCTACTTTAAAACTTCAGATTAGATTAATCCAATAGCAATAATAGTAAAATAAAATAGAGGAAAAAAGAATATAAATTAAATGTAAGGAGAAAAAAAAAGCCAAGGCAAATGCAAGAGTTGGACTCATCACTCAAGTAGCAAAAAGGGAGTTATGCTGCCTTCAAGGTCACATGTTTCAGGTCTCTCTTTCTCTAAAACATAAAACTTGTTACAGAGAATTTTCTCACATTCCATAGTGTATTAGTAAAAAGGTGCATCTAGAATCCAAGTTTCCTGACCCCTAGTCCATTGTTTTTTCTGCCCACAGTCATTTATCCTTTCACATTCTCTGTTTTCTCATGTATAACATGAGGATAAAAAACCCTTTCCTAAGGCCTTCCAACAGGAATTAGTGAGTAACACATGCAAACACCATGGTGGCTGGCACATTGTTAGCCATTGTGTATGGCTATATCACACTTTATACATCCATTCAGTGGGTATTTGGGTTGTTTCCACTCTTGGCTATTATGAATAATGCTACTATGAACAATTGCATACAGGTTTTTTGGTGTGTACATACATACATTTTAGTTATGTAAGACATATACCTATGATTGTATACAATCTACAATAAATATCTGTTGGATGAATAATCAAATGAAGGAGTAAATAAATAAATGTTTTGTTTTCTTCCCTTTCCCTTGGGTGTCAGCTCAAATTTCCTTCCTCCCCAGTATCAAATAAAGAAGATACAGGAAAACGTCTTCCTAGATAGGAAGAAAAATTAGGCTTTGCTTATTCTTTTTTCCCAAATATATTAAGTGATTTGTCTAACGTCCCATAGTTATCAAGTGGTTAAGGAAGATTTTACCTGATTTCAATACCATTAAGTTTACCCCATTAAACTATCGTACCTTTCAAGAGGTAGCTATCTTAACATATGAGAAGTTTAAATTGTGTCCCTTTTTAGTCAAAGACTAGATATTTTGTACATCATAGACATTTGAGAGCTGGAATTGTTTATATTGTAAATTTGAGCTGGAAAGAAATCAGTGAATCTTGAGCACATCTTGTGCACCCATTTCTGTGTAGAGGATGTAACTGAAAAAGCATTAATGCTGAAACTTAGCTTCTCCAGCACCTCAACCAATGTACTTGAACACAATGTGTATCTTGTTTTTCCAACCCAATTTGGGTTTCTCAAATTCTAAAAGTAGAAAGTTTACCCGATTAATATGACCACTCAATGTAGTGCAGAGAGATAGGCTTTGGGAATTACCCAAGATTGGTTCTGAAATATAACCCCCATCACTTATCAAATGTGTAATAGGAAAAGCCACCTAACCTGTTTGAGGGATATTCCTGTCTCATACAGTCATTGAGAGGATTAAATGATAAAATATATGTGAAAAATTTAGCAAGGTCCTGGCACATTCTAGGCACCCATAAATTATTAACCCCCTTTCTTATGGCTTCTGTTGAGTGTAAGACAAATATAGCATTTTAACCATTTGCGTTTGTTTGCCTCTTTCAGTGTTTTTAAGGCTTTCTCCTATATGTGAGCATATTGTAGCTTGTCTTACTGAGAGTTCGAGTAGTCTTCCTCTTTGATAGTTGGAACTATAACTCGCATTGAGACAGAAGGTCTATGAAGATGAGGACTATGGCTTTTTTCCTCTCAAAGACATGGTAGTGCTTATATCTCTAACAGGTGACAATTATCTGAATGTTTCTATTTTTTTCCTCTGCAAACCTCATTTTGGTAGTAGCTGCTATGAATGCCACGTTAAGAAGGGTTTTGCAGTCATTGGAAAGAGTTTTGTGGTTCAATGTCACCACGGCGCAAAGTTAAATAATGGCATCCATGCCACAAATTAGCCATGGACCCCTGAGGGAAGGGAGTTATGCCAAATTAATCTTTGAAGCCCTGACCTTGTACCAATACCTAATGTAGGTCTTTATATGTAGAAGGTCTTCATTCTGTATTTCTTGACTGTTCTTGACTGTATTAATAAATAAATGTACAGATGAAATAATCTGTGCCTGAAAGTGATGAATAGCCAGAAAAGCTGGACAAAAGTGAAATACAGATCCTTTAAAGACATTATCTGTTAAGTGGATCGGCAAAGATCAAGAGAATAAAGAGGAGAGACTGTCTATGAAATTTTATTTAAAATTTGGTAGATAAAGTATTCCCTCGTTTAGTTACACAGGAACACAGGAGTAAATGACTCATTGTTTCATAATGCCCTTTACCCATAGCATTAATTTCTCCCACTATGATGCAGATCAGTTTTATTTGTTGCATCCATCTTCAAAAGGTTAACTCTGAGCCCACTTTTCGCTGTAATAATCCCTCCAGGATACCGCCAGGAACATCTCCTGGAACCATATGGTACTACTTTAGATATGGGATTACGTATGGGAACATAATAGGGCCATTTAAAATTAAAATAACTCTCCAGGAGTGTTGTGCCAATGAGCTATTTAAGATGGTCGACTAAGAAAAATGAGGTGAATATTCGTTACTGAAAAGACTGTATAAAAATAGAATGAAATAAGAGGGGATAAAAGGTAGTAGAGAGGATTCCTATCCTTGCCCTTAGATAGGACTTTGGTATTTCACAAAATGGACCATTGTAGATGTTTGGTAAATTGAAGATATCCCTAAATCTAAAGGATCTTCTTTTATGTTGTCTCAGTGGGTGGCTTATGTGACTACATCAGAATTTATTTAGACAATCTTTATATGGGACTGTTTCTCTTATTTTACTTTAATATACCCAAGAACAACGGTAAGCTGTTTAAATGGGTGAGGATTTAGTTTTCTGACATGACAATTATTTTTGGTATAAGTTTAGAATTGAAGTATCTTACATATATTGAGCTTCCAGTTGCACAAAAGTGCCATCTATAGGTTGGGAATAAATTACATGAATAGCTGTGATTCTCTACTCTTTCAGAATCATACAGTTAAAGAACCTGTAGTCAAGAAATGACGATGTGAAAACCTAGGTCATGAGCATTGAATTCATTATATTAGATGATGGATAGTTAGTGATGGGACAGGAAACCACATATTCCAACACTTGACCAAAGTATATTCAAACTCTTGCTGTACCTACTGTTATTATGTGAACTTACTCAAATCATTTAGCTTCTCTGAACTTATTTCTTCATCTGTAAAATGATTTTTAAGAATCATTGATCTTTCATATTTCAAAATTAGAAATGTTCTATAAAGAGCTTAGTACAGTGCCCAGCATGTATCAGGAACTCAATAATGATAGGTATTATTTTATCATCATCATTATTATTATTCTCCATCTAATAAAAACAAAATGCTAACAATTGTATGAGGTTTTAATTTCAATATTGTATTTTAAAGCCATAAGTAATACTTTTCAAAGTTATGTAATAATTATACAAAAAATATTATGGTATGACTAGCATGGGCAACATGGTAAAACCCCATCTCCACAAAAAATACAAAAATTAGTTGGGTGTGGTGGCTTGAGCCTGTAGTCCCAGCTACTTGGGAGGCTGAAGCAGGAGGATCGCTTGAGCCCAGGAGGCAGAGGTTGCAGTGAGCCGAGGTCGCACCACTGCACTCCAGCCTGGGTGACAGAAGGAGACCTTGTCTCAAAAAAAAAAAAAAAAAAGGGGGTAGCCAGCCCCCAAATAGCCACAATGAGCTCCATCTCCTGGCATTTTCTTGTGTAGTCCCCTCCTGCATTATACCAGGGTTGGTCTGTGTGACCCATATGATATGGCAAAAGTGATAGTATGTGTGGTAGACTGGATAATAGCTCCCCAAATATGTCCATATCTTAATCCCCACATCCTAAGCCTGTGAATATGTTGAATATCACATTACATGGCAAAACGGATTTTTCCAATGTGACTAATTTAAGAATTTTTGTAATAGGGAGATTATCCTGGATTATCTGGGTGGGCACAATGTAATTCAAAGGATCCTTAAAAGATGGAATAAAGTCAGAGTGAGAGAGATTTAAAAGTGCTATGCTGATGGCTTTGAAGGTAGAGAAAGGAGCTACAAGCCAAAAAAAAAAAAAATGCAGATGTCCTCTGGAAGTGCAAAAATGCAAGGAGCCTCTGGATTCTCTCCTGAATTCTCTAAAAGGAACACAGTCCTGTCAACACCTTGATTTCAGCACAGTGAAACCCATTCTGGACTTAGGAGCTTCAGAACTATAAGATAATATATTCATGCTGTTTAAGTTACTAAGTTAGTGCTATTTGTCACAGCAGCAAAAGGAAACAAATACAGTATGTTACTTCCAATATTAGGTCATAAAAGACCATAGCTTCTATCTTGGGCTCTTTGTTTCTGTCTTTTGCATTGCTCATTCTGGGGAAAGCGAGCTGTAAAGTAATAAGGAAACCCAAGCAGCCGAAGGAGAGGCCCCTATGGCAAGGAACTGAAGCCTACTAACACATGAGAGAGCTTGGAAGCAGTTCTTGAGCTCCAGTGGAACTTCAGACGACTACAGCCCTGACAGGTTGACTGCAACTGCGTACAAGATCCTAAACCAGAACCACCCAACTAAGCTGATCCTGGATTCCTGATGCAACGGAAACTCTAAGATAATATTAATATTTGTTGCTTTAAGCTGCTAAATTTCAAGGTAATCTGCAACACAGCAATAGCTAACTAATACAATATCCTTGTGTAGTCTCCACCGACACAGAATCAGGCTGGCCTATGTGACAAGTGGAATCCTGAAGAAGTGACAGTATAAGACTTCTTAAGATAGGTCCTAAAAATTATTGCAGCTTCTGCTTTAAACTGTTGGATCATTCACTCTGGAGAAAAGCAGCTGACATGTCATGAGCACACTCAGGCAGCCCTGTAGAGCAAGCAACTTGTCAGTCATGTGAGAGAGTCACGTTGGAAGTATACCCTCCAGCTCAAGTCATGCCCTTGACAATTTCAGCCCTTCAGCCTTCAAATCATCCAGCTGAGGCCCCAGACCTTATAGAGCAGAGACAGACCCTGCCAACTGTGCTCTCTTTGAATGCTTGACCCGCTGAAACTGTGAGATAATAAATAATTATTATCGTTTTCACTCATTTTGTTTTGAGTGATTTGTTATGCAGCAATAACTAATACAAATGCATTAATATTTAGTATCTTCTAATTGCAGTTTAGAAAAATATTTTTTCATATTCATAATATAGGTATGTTAGTACCTTCTCAAAATGATGATTGACGTGTGTATAAAACTATGTCAACACTTCTTTTCCTCTGATCAGAATTTCTGTCAATATTGTATAAAGCAAATATCAGAAAGAATTTGTGAAAACAAACAAAACAGATTAATGTTGCAGGGTATATAGCAGACTGAACACTTGGTAGGAAAGTGGATTGTGTTTTGGATATATGGCAGCTTTATTTTTTATAGTTACAACAAATAAGGTCAGAAATTTCTCTTGTTTACAACTAAGCTCAGCTTGCTCATACATCTTTTATTTGGTTGGATGTGGGAAGGAGATGCAGAAAATGACTCATTGAACTTGCCAATTAAAGGCAATGTAGTCACTTTCTGCATAACTCTTAACCTCTTGGGAACTCAGTTAGTCCATTCAAACTCCAAACTTCATATCTGGACAACATCATCTCTTACTTGTCCTCCCCTTCCATTGTTCTCCCCAGAAAGGGGTTTAGATCTAGGGAGAATACGTAATACGTGTGTGGGTGCCCATCTAATATCTGCATTGGCATGTCATCTTTGCTGGCCCTTCTCTAAGCTGGAGCTTGTCCCACCTCATCTTGGGAGGTCTCTGTCTTGACTATGTTGGCTGCTGAAGCACCTAAGGCTGATGTGGCCATAGACTATTCTCTTGCACCCTCAGTTCATGGTCTCCCCCTTTTCCCCACTCCCCAACCCTTGTTCTTTCCCTTGTCTCATACTGGGGCTCTAATCTGCTGAAAATTTACCATATTATCAAATCACCGTGCAATCTCACAATAGCATCCACTCTCTTCCTGAAAACAAGGACCTTCTGGAAGGCACAGAGGCTCTCAATTCTCAGACCTTCTTCGCACCTCCAAATAAACTGGAAATTTTCTTATTTGTCTTCTACACACTCAGGAGCAGAAGGGTACTTTCAGTGGGGTGGTCAGTTTGCTCAGGGAGGCTTCTCTCCTCCAGCTAGTCTGTCAGAGTGAGGCAGAATTTTATGGTAGCTTCTTGCTTAAATGAAGAGAACAGCAACTCCTTGTCTAGCCAGGGAAAATCATTTTCCCATATTTCAGATGTTCTACCTGGCCAATTAAGTATAGCAGGCCTAATTATCAAGTTATTCTGCCACCTTGTAGGTAGAACTAATAACATAGGCAATTTGTACATCCATCCTATATGTATTTGATATGAAACAATGCTGGATAAATGTTTTTAAATGTCTTCTTATTCAAGCCTGCAAGTGTACGTAGAATGTTGCTTTATTATATACAGTAAAACATGTCTCCTCATATCTTCAACAAAGCAGCATGCCATACTACTTTGGCATACTTCATGGCAGTGTGTAATGTACCAGACAACACAGTGTTTATCACTGAGTTTTTCTCTTCCTGTCTTTGTTTGCCACTGCTCATTTCCTAGCAGTATGAAATAACAGTTAAAAACACAGCTTCTAGAGATAGATTATCTTTGATTCAAATTCTGACTTTGCCACTTATTAGCCATGAAGCCTTGGACGTGTTATTTAGCCTTTCTTTGTCATTTTTCATCTGTAAGTAAAATGAGGTTGTTGGTAATAGTATCTACCTCACTTAGTTGTAAGAAATTAAATGAAATTATATTAAAATCTTTAGAATGCTGGAAAACACTGAATAGTTGTTCGTTATCACTTTTCCCTTACTTTGTCTTTCCGTTCTGTATTAGTGAGCTCTGGATGCCATCACAAAATATCCCAGGTTTGGTAGCGTCAACAATAGAAATTTATTTCTCACAGTTCCAGAGACTAGGAGGTCCAAAATCAAGGTCAGGAAGGTAGGCTTTATTCTGATGCCTCTTCTCCTGGCTTGTATAGAGGTAGCCACCTTCTCACTGTGTACTCACATGACCTCTTCTCTGTGCACAAGGGAGAGAGAACTCTCTCTGGTGTCTCTATTTATAAGGGCTATGGGGCACCACCCTCGAGACCTCATCTAAAACAAATCACCTTCCAAAAGCCTCATCTCCAAATACTATCATATTGGGGGTTAAAGGCTTCAACATATAAATTTGGGGAGGTGGGTGGAGCTACAGACATTTAGCTTATAACACATTCCTCTCCCAAAACCCAATTTCTTCCTCTAACTCCCAAAACCCAATTTCTTCCTCGACCTTGACTTCCTATACCTTAAGTCAGAACTAGATCTACTAAGTGGATAGAAACACTCAGTAAATGTTATGTATGCCAAAATACTTGATTCAATGGAATGCTAGGTTACAGGTACATTTTGCTGAAAGATATCTGGACCAGTCATGCACTTGTACAGAGTTAGAAATAAAGAAGACCTTACAAACATTACCTATTCTACAAATAATGCTGGACAAAAACAGCATGACAAAACTCAATGGCTAAAAACAGTGTATTTATTGCTCATACATCTGGAATCAGCTGCAGTTCAGAGACTTAGGCTGGGTGATTCTTCTGGCCTCAACTGGCCTCTCCCATTTGTCTGGGTGTAGACTGACTATTGGTGGGGATCTCATTTTTCTAAGTTTTATCTGGCTTGGAGAATCCAGCTTATCTTAACAGGTCTCATACACCATGTATATGTCACATCCTTCCAGCAGACTAACTCAGGCATGTCCTCTCATGAGATGCAAATACAAGTAAGCTCAGTGCCCAGTCCTGAAAGCAGACAGCAAAAGGAAACACATTCTACTGGCCAGAGCAAGTCCCAAGAACAATTCAAATTCAAGAGATGGAGAAATAAACTGTGCCTTTTCATGGGAGGAATGAGGAATTAGAGCCATTTTGTAATCTGTTGCACCAACAATCCTTTAGTCAGCTCTACCACCCCTCCTTTCCTTTTTCAATTAAAACATCACAAATTTTAATTAGAGAGAGTATGGTATATATTGGGGGTGAAGTTTTATGTAATTCATAAATTACCCAAAGGGTAATTTATAAAAAGTCTTTCTTCATAAGAATTTTGGTGGTTGTTTTGGGGGGGGGGAGGTGGGAGGACTGTATTTAGAAAACATATTGAGGAATAGTTCTGAACATAATTTAATTTCTTTTTGTGTGTCTCAAACTGAGAAAATTGTTTATTAAATAGAAACATCTTATGTGTGCTATATATTGCACAGAAAAGAGGATATTAATATAAACTAGAAGGCTGAAAAATATCAAAATCTATTTTCTAAAAATGTATTACCTTATCTTAGTGTTTACACTTAGCATCCAGTTATGGCCAGGAATGAGGAAATTTGATTTTTGGAAATGAAACAATAATGTGCTGCCACCTTGTGTACAATGCCTGTAAGCACCATTATTTGTCATTGGCATCTCTAGAATACTAATCAGAAAAAAATACTGCAATGAAGGGAGACATTTTGTCCTTATGAAAGGCGGGGTTTCTTAATCTTTTGTGTGCTCATGGGACTCTTTGACAACGTATGGGCCTTTTTTCATAATAATGTTTTTAAATGCATAAAATAAAACACTAGATTTAGAAAGGAAACTATATTGAAATATAGTTATCAAGAGATTTAAAATGACAAATGTATTAGACTAATCCGTGTGTTTAATTAACATATCAGTAACAAAATGTGGTGGTTAATCTAATAACTACTATGATTTTGAGCTGATAGTGTATACATTTTTTGAGACATCTGCAACAACAATAATATGATATGAAAATGTATGTGACAGGCTGATACTATTGTGGTCTGTTGCCTATGCTGTATTCATAATTGAAGGAAATGTTTTATTACAGTTAGAAATTAGTGGAGAAAATTGGTCCTTTTTTGCCTATCTAAGTTCATGGGCCACTTGAATTCTGTCCATAGACCCCTGGAGCTCCAGAGACTGCAAAGTAATCATTCCTGACACTTAATGTAGATTATATTTGATCACTGAACAAAGAAAAACAACACATCAAAACTATCAAAATCAAATATTCATGGAAACCCTACAAATCCATGAAAATGTTCTTTGAATAACATGTTTTTGAAGAACAAAGCATTAATTTTTCTCTCATAAATATTACTTTTATACACCATAATGTAATGAACTATTGGATATTTCTGATATTTTTATATTATATATTATCAAGTATATGTCAACAAAATATATGTGTTGATGTGTTGTTTTATTTGATTTCTTAAGAAAATGTCTAAATTACCTGGATTTTAGCCCAAGATTTGTCTTTGGATGATTTAGTGACCTTGTACATTTCTTTCTTTTTCCTTCCCTTCTCCTTTTCTTTGCTATCTTTCTTCTTTCTTTCTTCTCTCTTTCTCTTTCTCTCCCTCTGTCTCTCTCTCTCTCTCTCCCTCCCTCTCTCTCTCTCACACATATACACACACACACACTTTATTTTATTATTCTTTCAACAAATATTGAATAAGAGATGAATATGTGCTGACATGTGTGCTAAGCTTTGTATAGTGGATAGTGCTCTCAGAAGCCTCGCAGTCAGTCATAATATATCATGGCCCAGGGGCAAATTCATCACACAGCCAAAGAAGATTCAGCTTCATTCCCATGGTCCGGGTATGTGTTCAGCTCCATCATAATGGGTCATAGCTTCCACAAGACCCTCCGGGTCAGAGACAGAACTGACGTAGGTTTCTGTCTATCCTCATGTGCTTGAGCTCATACTGTGGGTTACAGCTTGTTCTTGCTCTCCTCCACTTACCATCTGTCTTCCATTCCCTACTACCTGCTCGGCAGACTTCAAACTCTTAACATCAGACACAAGGGTGACATGTTTACGGAGACTGGTTTACCAGCTCCCAGCATTGCATAAAATTAAATCCCCGTAGCAAATATCTGATTATTACAGATATGTATATATTTTGTTTTATATATAATATATATTATATATTATATATTATATATTATATTATATATATTATATATTATATATTAATTAATATCTATTAATTAATATATAATATATAATTATATATTATATATTATATTATATATATTATTATATTAGATATATAATATAATATATAATATATAATATATATATTATTATATAATATATAATTATATATTACATATAATATATAATATATATTATATAATTATATATTACTACATAGGATATCTATATCCTAATGTAGTTATTAGACTAACCATTGGAGTTTATTTTATATAAAATACAATTATAGTATATTATTAACATAATATATACTTTTATATATAATACATATTAATATAATTATATATTATATATAATTTTGCTTTATATATAATTATATATATAAACAAACTCTAACGGTTAGTCAAATAACTACATTAGGATATATATGTGTATATATATATATATATATATATATATGTATATCCTAACGGCTCTGCTTCTCTGACTGAACCCTGACTGATACAAACACCCATCCATATTTACATACTACATTCTATAATGGCTAATTAATTTCCAATCCTTATCACTTAAGAAACCGATCACTGTACTTAGCCAGGCTACTAAAGGGATAGTCTCTGTGCTGATTCTATCTAGATCCCTCAAGCCCATCCCAGGATTTCTCGCGTGCCATATTGCACTTCTGTCCCACAACATCCACGCTGAAAGGTCTTCAGAAACAATAATCTGGTTTTCTCAGCCTGAGCCCTCTGTTCTTTTTTTTTTTTTTCAGTCTTGCTCTGTTGCCCAGGCTGGAGTGCAGTGGTGCAGTCTCGGCTCACTGCAGCCTCTGCCCCTGGGTTCCAGCGACTCTCCTGCCTCAGCCTCCTAGATAGCTGGGATTATAGGCGCATGCCTCCATACCCGGCTAATTTTTGGATTTTTAGTAGAGACGGAGTTTCGCCATGTTGCCTTCTGTTCTTTTACTCTCCTAGTCCGGCATTCTCTTGGGCATGATCAACATTCTCCTCAAGCTGCAGAGTTGAGAGGGACATTTGAAAATCTGCAAGAGTCACACTGGAGATGGAGCCACTCACTCCGTGGCCCTTTGACATTCTCCATGTGACACCATTAATCATGGCCTGGTAGCGCAAGCTTAGGAGTGCTCAGGCTCTTTACTGTTTAATTGCTTTATGTCCAGCATCACATGGGTCATACTAGTTCTTGTTGCTAGTCCAGATTGTCCCAAAAAACTGCACACTAGATCAAGTTATATTCATAAAATCCAGTACATAGCTTTAGAATAGTATTCAGTGGAAATATCTGCACAAGGGTATGCTACAGAATGTTAATGGGACATACTGTCTTGGAGTCAGGGCCATTCTCAAATTTACTCATACAGACATCAGGAGAGACTGACCCTTTTATTTTGTGTTATGAATGTATATTATTTTTAAAAAATAACTTTGTTACTGTAATAGCTCAACTATCATCTCCTATTTGAGGTCTTCCTCAGTTCCTTCAGACAGAGCTAATGACTTTGTTTGGTATGTAACATCATTTTAATAAAAACCACATTGTATAATGGCTGGATGTTTTTCCAGCTCATCCACAAGACTGTAATCCTCTCAAGTCAGAAATCACACTTTCTTCATCTTTGTTTAACTAGTTCCTAGTGCATTGAGTTTTATTAAAGTTTTGTTGAATGAAAAATAAAGTTATTTTTATTTTATCTCAATTTTCCAGGCTTGGGAAAAATAACTCATTGTTACTTTTAGGTGTTACCAAACACCTTGATGAACATTAAGAATCTGTCTAAAGGCCAGGGCATGGTGGCTCACACCTGTAATCTCAGCACTTTGAGAGGCTGAGGCAGGAGGATCACTTAAGCCCAGGAGTTCAGACAAGCCTGGGCAACATAGTGAAACCCCATCTCTACAAAAAATAAAAATACAGGCCTGGGCAAAATGATGAAACCTCATATTTACAAAAATATACAAAAATTAGCCTGGCATGGTGGCTCGCACCAGTAGTCCTAGCTGCTTGGAAGGCTGAGGTGGGAGGATCACCTGAGCCTGAGAGGTAGAGGCTGCAGTGAGCTGTGATTATGCCACTCCACTCCAGCCTGGGTGACAGAGTGAGACCCTGTCTCAAAAAATAATAATAAAAATAAAACTTAAAAAAATAGCCATGAATGGTGGCTCTTGCCTGTTGTCCTAGATACTCAGGAGGCTGGGGTGGGAGTATTGCTTGAGCCCTCTGAATCAGTGATATCCAGTAGGACTTTCTGTGATGATGGTTATTACAAATTTGAAATGTGTCTAGTGCAATTAAAAAAGTGAATTTCTAATATTATTTCATTTTAGTTAATTTAAAAATAAATAGCCAAATATGGTTACAAAACGCTGATTGGTCAGCACCGCTCTGGATGCTTGGCATTTTGCAGACACTTCCACAGGGATAGCCTGTGTTTTGACTTTGAGTCTTTAAATGCCACAGACTAATCTCTATCAACTTCTTCCCTCTGATAGGGTTTTGAACCTAAATTCACCATAAATTAGGGGGAAATGATCTCATGCTGGAACAGATATATATAAGATAATCTTTTTCTAAAAAATGGCCTTAGAATTTAGTAGCATCATTGATTTTTGGTTTTAATTAATGACCTTTAAAATATTTCCCATTACATATTGTATGTTCTGTTCTATTTATCAAAGCGTTTAAAAAATTATCTAAAGAGCCTAATGAGGTTGGATAAAAGATAAGCTTGTTAGACCAATGTCACCTATATTATAAACTCATGAGTCTTTTCAAGTTAATTTATGATCATTAGTGGGGAGACATTTTAGGCAGTATAATGTGTTTTTAATGGAAAATGAACATATTGTTGGACAAATAATCTTCATTTCTCTTGAAAAAAAAAAACTTTCCTGAGATTACAAAGCCATTCTGTTAAAAGAACTATGCACAGTTTACTGAACACATTTGTATAAAACTGTCCATTAAAGACAAATAACAGGTTCTCAAATCAATGCCAATTTTGTTTTGGGGGTTATGTGAGAGGGTGTTTTTGCTCTTTTCCTCAAAAATAGGCTACAGAAAAAAATGTCTATAGAGATGATTAATTCATTCAGAATGTTAGATGTATTTTAAGGGTTTAACCTAAAGAAAATACACTTAACCACAGTAAGAAGGGGATTTCAATTAATAAGATATATAAGAAGAGGACTGTAAAACTGATTGTATAGCTGTAGCTTAATCATAGGTGTTATCTGCTTGTATTTATCATGGAATCCAGAAGACAACAGGCAAGTGTATGTTTTTTGAAGTTTAAACTTAGAAATCCTAATTTAAACCAAGGACCTCAAAAGCAACTAGCTAAACCACTAGCCCCATAATAACTAAATTTAGAAATTCACATTTACAGAGCAATTCACCTATTATTTAACTACAAACTTTTTAGAGTAAAATGAGATCCATTTTCAACAACATCAAACAATACCACAAATGTGAAAACAAACTAATGAGATTCAAAGGAATTGCAGGATTAAAAAATACAAACAATGAAATTTGTTCTCTACATAATACTCATGATTTGTGTTTCTATGGTGTTTTTAAGAAGCAGCTTAATGCATTTCTTATACAGACCTGTGTTTGAACCTTATTTCCATAACTTACTCATATCCTTGCAAAGGTGCTGTGCTTTGATTTCTCCATCAGTAAAATGTAGATAATCATCATGACTTTTATATGGAAAGCATTTAGAATATTAAGTACTCCATAAATATTAGCCATTCTCATTAAAGGCAAGGAATCTCTTCTTTCATTTATTTCTTAAAATGTAAATCTTGATATGTGTGATCTTCTGTAATATCTTTTATTCTCTTTCAAGCATCAGCTATAGGAAGATAAATCGGAGCATTTGCAAGCCTACAGAAAGAGCAGGGGTTAGGAAATTGTAATTGTAAATCAGACTAAAACTCTACTCATTGCCATATAAGTGGCATAAGTACATATGCCAAAATAATTATGAATAATAAATTTAATAGCAAAGTAAACTTCTAGTAGTGAAGCACAGAAGTGATTGCTAATATTATTATATTATATCTTGAAGTTGCTAGCTAGTGAGATCCTCATTAAAAACTTGAAGTTTTTGTTCTGGCTGTTGTTGAAATAACAAGAGGAAAAGAGGACAATCTGTATCCTACCCCAGAATTCTAGCAGATGAACCACAGGAAGGAGAATTGGTGGTGACAGCTGGAAAGAAGAAAGGTGAGCAGACCAAATCTCTAGGGCCTGCAGGAAGAAAAGATTATACTGAAAGCTGACTCCAGATGAGGAAGGTGACTCAAGTGCTTAACCAGCAGGAGGGCCCATATGTTACTTCACAGCAGGGAGACGAGAAAGATGCCCAGTCAGGGATTCGATCAACCCCATGATTATATAATGAATGGAAATACTCACTGGAGTTAGACAGATCTAAGTGTAAATCTTGGCCCAGCCATTTGCTAGCAATGCAACATTAGGCAAGTTTTTTTTTTAAACTCTCTGAGATTTATTTTTATTACTGTAAAATGAAGACAATAATTGCAATTTCTTTTAGTTTTTTGCTTTAAGAAAGACATTTATAAAGTGATTAGCACAATTCCTAGAAGAAAGTAAATTTATTTTTAAATTTTTATTTTTAATTGACAAACAATAACTGTATATATTTATGGGGTACAATGTCATATTTTGATATATATATACATGTTATGGAATAATTAAATCAAGCTAGTTAACATATCTCACACATACTTGTTTTTGTGTGTGATGTAAACATTTAAAATCTACTCTCTTAGCAATTGTGAAATACACATTACATTATTAACTATAGTCACCGTGCTAAGCAATAGATCTCAAAAAATTATTCCTCCTAACAAAAACCTTGTACTCTTTGACCAACTTCTCCCTTTTCCTAAGTTTAAAATTATTATTTGAAGCAAATATTATTCGAGGTTGAGGAAAGATCTCTAAGTAACTGTAGCTTAAATAGATATTAAACTATTAACTCCCATGGAGAATCTGTGAGCTATGAATTGACTAATAGCCCTAGACAGTCATTCATTAAAGATGTTATGCCTTTTATCTTTTTAAAATCTTGGTAGTTTTTCTTAGATTCTCTCCTATTTTGGTTTGTTGACCTTTCTCATGACCTCCTCACCCTGTATTTTCAAATTCAGCTATGACAGGATATGAGGACATAATAAAAATGTCTATGTGCTTCTGAAAATTAGGGCCAACTTCTACCTGATGCCTGATTTAGAAATATCCCTTCTACCTTAGCCACTCAGATACTCTATGAAAGCCTTCTGTCCTGGGAATGCAGTGTAGACTTCATGTGCCCTGGCTTCCTGCTATTATGCCTCTAACAAGGACAGATAAATGATATACAACCACATCCTATATAAGTACTTACAGCAAGTTTGTTTATAGCTTCAGGATAACTAGCAAATAAGAATTCTTCCCCAATGAACAGTTATTTATCACTTACTTTTTAAAAGGCCACTATTCTACAAGCTATAAAGAAGACTGTTAAAAAGATCTAGAAAAATCTGATCTTTTAAATGTAATTTAAAACATTAACTTTCTAGTACTAAGAAACAGAAAAAAAAAGGCTGTAAGTACAATCTTTAGACTGTGCTATTGGGGAACCTGCCCTGATTTTCACGTAGGTTCTTTTCTATTTTCCTTAAGTGTCGGCCAGCTTGAGAAATAAAGGGACAGAGTACAAAAGAGAGAAATTTTAAAGCTGGGCATCCGGGGGAGACATCACATGTCGGTAGGTTCCGTGATGCCCCACAAGCCACAAAAACCAGCAAGTTTTTATTAGGGATTTTCAAAAGGGGAGGGAGTGTGCGAATAGGTGTGGGTCACAGACATCAAGTACTTTACAAGGTAATAGAATATCACAAGGCAAGTGGAGGCAGGGCGAGATCACAGGACCACAGGACCGGGGTGAAATTAAAATTGCTAATGAAGTTTCGGGCACCATTGTCATTGATAACATCTTATCAGGAGACAGGGTTTTGAGATCAACCAGTCTGACCAAAATTTATTAGGCGGGAATTTCCTCTTCCTAATAAGCCTGGGAGCGCTATGGGAGACTGGAGTCTATTTCACCCCTGCAGTCTCGACCATAAGAGACAGGTGCACCTGGGGGGACTGTTTATAAGCCTATTCTCTCTCTCTCCAGGCACATATTCTCTTTCCCAGGTATGTTCTATGCTGAGAAAAAGAATTCAGCAATATTTCTCCCATTTGCTTTTGAAAGAAGAGAAATATGGCTCTGTTCCACCCAGCTCACCGGCGGTCAGAGTTCAAGGTGATCTCTCTTATTCCCTGAAAAATTGCTGTTATCCTGTTCTTTTTTCGAGGTGTCCAAATTTCATATTGCTCAAACACACATGCTGTACAATTTGTGCAGTTAACGCAATTATCACATGGTCCTGAGGCGACATACATCCTCCTCAGCTGACAGGATTAAGAGATTAAAGACAGACATAGGAAATCACAAGGGTATTGACTGGGGAAGTGATAAGTGTCCATGAAATCTTTACAATTTATGTTTAGAGATTGCAGTAAAGACAGGCATAAGAAATTATAAAAGTATTAATTTGGGGAATTAATAAATGTCCATGAAATCTTCACAATCCATGTTCTTCTGCCATGGCTTCAGCCGGTCCCTCCGTTTGGGGTCCCTGACTTCCCGCAACACTGCATCAAAAGACTAAGTTACTACTTAACCTCTGTTGACCTCGATTTCCTCTTTGAGAAATAAAGCAGTTGAACACAACTTGATCTGTTAATTCCCTGCTAAATTAACCAGTGTGTGGTTCTATGACTGTGGTGGACAATTTAGGAGCTAAAGATAGCTTAATTTACAGGTGCATTTGTCTCTCATAGAATATAAAAATATATTATTTTCAAAGCTAGCAGTGGTAGTTAAAAAAGATATTAAGAAAGACATCCCTTAGAAAGCATATGAGTAAGAACATATAAAATGAAAATTACTCAGGCCAAAGCACCTTGTAATTTTTTTTTCTTTTTTTGAGACAGAGTTTCGCTCTTGTCCCCCAGGCTGGAGTGCAATGGCGTGATCTCGGTTCACTGCAACTTCTGCCTCCCAGGTTCAAGCAATTCTCCTGTCTCAGCCTCCCAAGTAGCTGGGATTACAGGCACATGTCACCACATCCAGCTAATTTTTGTAGTTTTAATAGAGACAGGGTTTCACCATGTTGGCCAGGCTGGTCTCGAACTCCTGACCTCAAGTGATCTGCCCACCCCAGACTCCAAAAGTGCTAGGATTACAGGCATGAGCCACCACGCCCAGCCTATAACATTTTTAAGTCACTTGTTGGCCTGCTTTTCACTCACCAATCAAAAATAATTTCATTAATTCATTTTCACCTAGAAATTTAAGTATTTGTTTCTTCTGATCCATTGTGCATGATCCTCAGGGGGGCAAAAAGGAATAATTAATCGTAGCCTCCTCAGTTTTTGGTTAAATGTGAGAAAAAGTAATCAGAAAATGGATAAATCTATATTACATTTATATGAGTTTCCTACAGGTGCTGTAACCAAGTACCAAGAGCTGGGTGGCTTACACCAACAGAAATTTATTGTCTCACGGTTCTAGAGGCTGGAAGTTTGAAATAAAGGTGTCGGCAGGGCCACAACCATTCTGACAGTCTAGAAGAGAATCCTTCCTTGCCTCTTCCAGCCTCTTGTGTTTGCTGGTGATCCCACGCATTCCTGGCTTGTAGATGCATAACTCCAGTCCCATGGCCACCCTCCCTGTGTGTCTTCACATTATCTTCCCTCTGTCCATGTCTATGTCCAAATTTCCCCTTCTTATAAGGAAACCAATCATATTGAATTAAATCCCTCACCTTAACCTGGTTAAATCTGCAAAGACCCTAGGTGCAAATAAGGTAACATTCTGAGGTACTGGGGGTTAGGACTACAAAGTATTTTTTGAAAGGTACACAATTCAATCCATAACAATACATTTCCCTCCTCCAGAATAAATTCAGTGAGTACACTAGATTTAAAGTTTTGTCAAAGACCAGGAACTGAAATAAATGTCATACAGGACTTTCATCACTTGTATAGGTGACATTGTTTGGTTGTGTTCCAACCCAAATCTCATCTTGAATTGTAGCTCCCATAGCTCCCAGGTGTCATGGGAGGGAACTGGTGAGAGGTAATTGAATCATGGGGGTGGGTCTTTCCCATGCTGTTCTTGTGATAGTGAATAAGTCTCACTAGATCTGATGCTTTTATAAAGGGGAGTTCTCCTGCACGCTTTTTCTTGCCTGCCACCAGGTAAGCCATGCCTTTTCTTCTCCTTTGCCTTCCACCATGATCGTGAGTCCTCCCCAGCCATGTGGAACTGATGGCAGCAGTGGGCCATCTGGTGAGGCCACTGCCATCACACCGGCATCTACAGGGAGGGCATGATAGGAGGCAGACAGTCCCCTTTCCGCAGCCTGCCATCCTGGGGGCCACCGTAATGGGGCTGGATCACATGAGGGCAAGGGGGAGCTCCATGCTGCCCCGGAGCACTGGAGCCACATGAGGAGCTTGTGTCAACATTGCCCTGCCCCAGATACCAGCTCAGGCCCAGTGAGGACCTGGCGCCCCATCCCAGGCTGAAAGGGGTTGCGGCTAGGTGCCATGCTCCATAGATCTTGGTGGGACCCGGGGACAAGCAGGGGCCCTGCCTCTTCCAAGTTGGCAGAGAGGGAGCTCCCCCAGTGCAACTGCAGCTGCCCAAGCTGCAGCTGCAATTGGGCATACCTGTGCTCTTGGAAGCTGAGAATAAGCAGGAGCCAAGCCCTGCATAGCTGCAGCTGCCCCCCACCCCGCCTCCCTGCAAGCAGCTGCAGCCCATTGGCAAACCCAGGGATACCCGCACTCCTTGGGCATCTCCAAGTAGGGTTGGGGCCAAGCCTGGATGTTGTCACAGCCCAGATGGGTGTGCACACGTTCAGGGCAGTGCTGACATGCCAGCCCCCTGATGCCTCAGTCCTCTTCAGACTTTGGGCATGTAGGAACATGGGAAGGGAAGCTGAGGGGGCACTGAGGATGGCTGGGCACTGGCCTGCAGTTGCCCCTTGGTGCCAGCAGCCTGGGCCCCATGGATGACTGGGGAGACAGACATGCTCCTGGGTGGAAGGAGGTGGGTCCCCAGTGAAGTCTACCTTCAGGCTAGGATAGGCCTGAAGCCTGGGGCTGGGATGCCAGTTCTGCAGACCAGAGGAGGAACTCATGGTGCTTTTTCCTGAGCCCACCCATGGCTGTCCCTGGACAAATCAGCCCACACTTCTGCCTCTTCTGAGGCCCCATAAAAACCCTGGGCTCAGCCAGAGCAGGGCAGACGATGGAGAGACAATGGGACAACCAGCTGCAGAGAGGAGCTGCCCTCTTCACTGAGAGCTGCAGAGACAATGGGATGACCTGCTGGCAGAGAGGAGCCACCCACCGCAGGTCTCCTCTGAGCTGTTATAATACTCAAGAAAGCTCCTCTTCATCTTGTTCACCTTCCACCCTGTCTGAGTACCTTATTCTTCCTGGACACAGGACAAGAACTCAAGCAAAGGTGCACCAGCCACAAAGGTTTCCAGCCAGAAAAGCAATATCCGAAAGATCCTGCAATGGAACTGTGAATCCATTAAACCTCTTTCTTTTATAAATTTCCCAATCTTGAGTATGTCTTTATTAGCAGCAGGAGAACAGACTAATACAAAAGGCAAGATATAGTTTATTGGAACCATCAGGAAATTTAGAGATATTGATTAAGATGAATTTTTGCCTAGCTGGCTGGATCAATATCTTTGTAAATAAAGTATTGTAGGAATAAATATTCATATTCATAAAAGTGTGGATTTTTTTAGAGCTTACTAGTTTTGAAATACTGTTCTAAATGTCTGACCTGTATTAATTAATAATTCCTTTTATCACTCTACAGTATAAGTATTATTGTTATTCTCATTTTACAGTTGAGGAAACTGGGGCACAAAGAGATTAAGTAACTTGATCAAAGCCACACAACTATTAAGTGGCAAAACTAGGATTTGAACCAAGTAGTCTGGCACAAAAAGTTGTGCTCTTAATTACCATGAAATATCCTTGCATTTATATTCTAGTGGTGAAGCAAAACATATTACCATGATATGACATAAAAACAGTCATTTGTGCATATCAGAAATCAAAATGTTAATTAGCAAAAGAGAAGAACTGTACAGATTATTTTTTAAAGGCTGGCTGATGTGTTTAGTAATAACTTCAAAAACTTCAAGGAAAAGGTATATTATGAAAAAAATATTCATAGACTTCAAACTTTTTTGCACCAAAACAAACTCATACTAACTTGTCATAACAGGTCTGAACAGGATTTAGTTTGAGGCACTAAGAGGGTAAGACATCAGTTTGAAAAGAGCCCCTTACAGAGCAACATGAATTCTGTTGAAACTGAAGTAAGAACAAACATCACATTTATGATGAAGCTTTGGTGGAAGAATGGTGAAATCATTGATGATTTACAAAAAAGTTTATGGCCATGCACGGTGGCTCACACCTGTAATCCCAGCACTTTGGGAGGCTAAGGTGGGAGGATCACCTGAGATCAGGAGTTCAAGACCAGCCTGACCAATATGGTGAAACCCCATCTCTACTAAAAAATTGCCTGGCATGGTGGCGGGTGCCTGTAGTCCCACCTACACAGGAAGCTGAGACAGGAGAATTGCTTGAACCTGGGAGGCGGAGGTTGCAGTGAGCCAAGATTGTGCCAACGGCACTCCAGCCTGGGTGACAGCGAGACTCTGTCTCAAAAAACAAAAAAAAAACTTTATGGGAACAATGGCCTAAAGAAATCAGCAGTTTACAAATGGATAACTGGTTTTAAGAAGGGATGAGACAATGTTGAAGATGAACCCCACAGTGGCAAACCATCCACATTAATTTGTCAGGAAAAATTAATCTTGTTCATGCTGTAACTGAAGAGAATTGATTATTAACAGGAGAAACAACAGACAACACTGTCGACATCTTAACTGGTTCAGCTTACACAATTCTGACTGAAAATTAAAGTTGAGCAAACTTTCCACGCAATAGATGCCAAAATTGTTGTGCCTAGGTCAGCTGCAGACAAAGGCAGAGCTTTCAAGGGAAATTTAAAGTGAGATCAAAATCCTGATGCATTTTTTAAAAGAACTGTAACAGGAGATAGAACATGACTGAAGACAAAGCACAATCAAAGTAATGGCTACCAAGAGGTGCAAGTGGTCCAGTCAAAGCAAAACTGGTCCAGAGCAAAGGTGATGGTAACCATTTCTCAGGATGCTCAAGGCATTTTTCTTGTTGACTTTCTGGATGGCTAGTGAACAATACCATCTGCTTCTTATGAGAGTGTGTTGTGAAAATTAGTCAAAGTTTTAGCAGAAAAAAATGCCCAGGAAATCTTTACAACAGTCCTTCTCCACCACAACAATGCTCCAGCTCATTTATCTCATCAAACAATAACAATTTTGCAAGATTTTCACTGAGAAATTATTAGGCATCCATCTTACAGTCCTGATTTGGCTTCTTCTGACTTCTTTTTGTTTCTTAGTCTTGAAAAATCTCTAAAGGGCACATGTCTTTCTTTAGTTAAGTATATCAAAAGACTCCACTAAATGGTTAAATTCTCACATCCTCCAATTCTTTATGAATGGGCTAAATGGCTGGTATCATTTACAAAAGTGTCTTAAACTTAAATGGAGTTTATATTGAGAAATAGAGTTTCCATTTTTTATTTTTATCTTTTAATTCTTTTTTTTTCACAAGCTTGTTGAAGTCCCCTCAGACATCCTATTTCTTATGGCTCTTTAAGCAAGTTTTATTAAGAAAAGAAAAACAAGTCTGACCAACTTTTTACATGAAAGAGACTAAAAGATCATTGCATTATGTAAAAACAGACAAACGGGACCTAATTAAACTAAAGAGCTTCTGTACAGAAAAACAGTTTACTATTAACAGAATAAACAGACAACCTACAGAATGAGAGAAAATATTTGTAAACTATGAGTCTGACAATCTGACAAAAGTCTAATGTCCAGAATCTATAAAGAACTTACACAAATTAATAAGCAAAAAACAAACAACCCCATTAAAAAGTGGGCAAAAGACATGAACAGACACTTTTCAAAAGAAAGCAAACACACGACCAACAAGCATATGAAAAAATGCTCAACATCACTATTACTAGAGAAATGAAAATCAAAACCACAATGAGATACCATTTCACAAAAGTCAGAATGGCTATTATTAAAAAGTCAAAAAACAACAGATGCTGGCAAGGTTGCAGAGAAAAGGAAATGCTTATACACCACTGATGGGAATGTAAATTAGTTCAGTCATTGTGGAAAGCAGTTTGTTGATTTCTCAACACACTCAGAACAGAATTACCATTTGACCCAGCAATCACATTATTAGGAATATAGCCAAAGGAATACAAATCATTCTACCATAAAGACACATGCACATGTATGTTCACTGCAGCACTATTTACAAGAGCAAAGGCATAGAATCAACCTAAATGTCCATCAGTGGTAGACTGAATAAAGAAAATGTGGTACATATACACTATGGAATACTATGCAGTCATAAAAAAGAACAAGATCATGTCCTTCACAGCAACATGAACTGGAGGTCATTGTCCTAAGTGAACTAAAATAGGAACAGAAAACAAAACACTGCATGTTCTCATTTATAAGTGGGAGCCAAACATTAAGTACATGTGAACACAAAGAAGGGAACACAGACACCGGGGCCTACTTGAGGGTGGAAGGTAGGAGGAGGGTGAGGATTGAAAAATGACCTAATATGTACTATGCTTAGTACCTGGGTGATGAAGTAATCTGTACACCAAACTCCATGATGCACAATTAACCTATATAACAAACCTGCGCATGTACCTCTGAACCTAAAATAAAAGTTAAAAAAAAATCACTACATTATGAAATGATGCTAACTAGAAATAAGATGTTGAGCACATGGGAAATTGGCCAATAAACTATTAATATTTTGGTGTAAGCTTATTGTATTAATCCGTTATCATGCTGCTATGATAATTTATAATTTATAAAGAAAAGAGGTTTAATTAACTCACAGTTCCGCATTGCTGGGGAGGCCTCAGGAAACTTACAATCGTGGTGGAAGGCACCCTTCACAGAGCATCAGGAGAGAGAATGAGTGCCAACCGATGGGGGAAGCCCCTTATAAAACTCAGATCTTGTGAGAACTCACTATCACAAGAACAGCATGGGGGAAACCATCCCAATGATTCAATTATCTCCACCTGGTCCCATCCTTGACATGTGGGGATTATTAGAATTCAAGGTGAGACTTGGGTGAGAACACAGAGCCAAATCATATCAGTTATCTAAACATAATTATTAGAAAGTGTCTATTTAACTGTAAATATAAACTGTATTCTTCAAATAGGAAAATGTAAAATGCATTAGTCTTAATGATAAAGAAATGTGCTTCCTACAACTACTAAGTAATTCATTCTTCTTTAGAGGACTTTTGTTATCTTAGAGAATACAATTCTTTTGGCCAAAGATTTCTAACTAGCCCTCTTAGTAAAATTAAATTATTTTGTAAACCAAAACTGTTAGTTGCTTATAACATGTAGGCACAATAAAATGTAAATATTACCATTTATTGATTTGAATATTTCATTTAAATGGCCTTAAAATTATGCATCAATATATGCTGAATGCTAAAAAAGAATTATTAGATTTTTAAATTGCAATTGCAACTCTGTTCTTTTAGCTTGCTTAAAATTTCTAATTAGGTCATTATTTTAAAACTAAACAAAATATGTTAAGATATAAAAAGCCTTGGCACAGATGTCTATGATGTTAAAGTCCATTTTTTGCTAATATGCCTAAAGGTTATATTTGTGAGTGAACTGAGAGTCCCAAGTGCACTGATGACATATGTTCTTGTAATTAACAATTTACATCTGGTTTCCTGATTCTATTTTGTATGCGGTGCATTGGCAAACTGCTGTGTTTTAATTCATGACCCATTTAGATTAAATTTAATTGCACTTATCTTTTAATTTCATTCTTTATTCTTAGGTAAGTGGTGTATTATTTTTCACAGTTATGCTATTTTTTAGAAATGTTTTATAAGCAATTATAATTTTTGTTTAAAATGTAATATTCAGAAATGGAAGGCAGTTCAATTTTGCATGCAGTAGCAATGCTATAGGCAAAGAAAGAATGCTTTCAATGACAATTCTTTTTGAAGGTATTAGGACATTACTGGCAGATATTTTTAGGAACTGAAACAGGTCAAAGTCACCAAACTGGTCATAATATTTTTCTAATTGAATGCACATAATAAGATATATATTTTTAGAGAAACCATATTTTAAGCCTACAAATGCTTTCTGAATTAAATTCTAAAGAAAATACTTAATATTATACTCTGCAGATTTCTTTTAATAGCTCATTATAAATATTTTATTATTACATTGCTGACTTTTTAAAACATGTGGGTGTCAAGAAAGTGCTGTAAAACGAAACTGACCATTGTGACGTTAATACATATCCAGTTAAGCCAGTTAGTGATTTCCTGAGCAAAATAGCTTCATTACCTGATCCCAAACAAATATCATTTCATTTCATATTAGAAAAAAACTTTGTTTCGTTAAAGACATGTTATAATCATATTAATCTTGATTTATTATGCAAGTCTTTCTATAGATAAAACAAACATTTTTTCTTCAAAAGTGATACCTTTGGTCATAAGGTTTCTGTCAACTAGAAATATAAAAAGTTCAGGTTGTAAAAATAAAATATGATAGCTGGTCTTGATATAATTTGAGGTTTGGGGTCTTTTATTTTTCTATATCTGGTACTAGATTAGTCTAAAAATATGAACTGAAATACATTTTAAAGTAGCGCTGGATGGGAGTCAGGGAGAAGAGAGGCTGTTGTTTTGGTTTTTATAAGTGAGAGACTTAATTAACGACATTACTGCCATTGGCAGTTTAGCATTTCCAGCTAAGTCGTTTTGGAATAGATTGCCAGTATGCAAAAAGTTTTCACTAACATGGGGAAATCCAAAGCACTGTAAGTTTGAAATAAAACTGAACACTTTAAAAAAAACTAGTTCTAATAACTACTTTTCCACACTTAAGGCTGGAAAACAGCAATATTAGACCAGTGTGATGTTTGAGTCCAGGTTTGAGCAAAGATCTCATCTAGATGTTCAGAAAACTTTCTGAGTTCATTGTCATCATCATCTATTTTTGATGAGTTGGTGACAAGAACAAAATATTATTCTCTCCTCTTCACTTTTCCCTTTTTGCTTAAAAATTTGTCCATTCCAAGAACTATGAACTTACATTTAGAGGCAATAGTTATTAAGTGTTGGCCATTGTGATCACATTGTTTAGCAAATAGAGGGTGCAGTGGTGAAAAAAATCACAAAATCTTGTCCTGCCACTGTGTGACCTGAAGAAGGTTATTCAACCTCTTTAAGGCTTACTTTACCCATCATTAAAATTAGGACAATAATGATATCTACCTTACTGAATTATTGTGAAGATTAAATGAGCTATGTAAACAGTATGAATTAAAGCATAAAGTTCTTATATATTTTCTCATTTAAATGTTACTCTCATTTTATTTCAGATTATTATGTATAAAGATGCAAAATGAAATTCATTCACATTATCAGGCATGCAGTGGAAAACCAGAACAGTTCTTGCTCTAAGTCTCCTCACAATTTGTATTTGATTCTTTAACTCTGAAACTGAGTCCACAGAACAGAAAAAGTTTGTTCTGATTCAGGCTCTGTCCCTTTTTAGCTTTGTCCTGACTTTAGCTGGTAACTACCAGCTCTCTCTCCCTGTGTTAAGTAAGACTTTTTAACCTCTGTCTGTATTTTCAGCTTGGATTCTTTTTTAGCAAACTGTCTCTTTAAAGAAGGATTTGAGAAACAATAGCGGAGTTTTACACTTATGATAAAATGTAAATAAATGTAAACTGTAAATTTTGTTTATTTAGAGACTCAGAAGTGAAAAATTAAAGTACAAGCCTAAAAATTAACAAATAGCATGGTCAATTTCACTTGCCATGCCAATCTATAAGACTATATCCTGTTGGGAGCCTAAAATAGGAGACAGATGGGAGTCTGCTGCTCCTAAGCCTAAGGCCCCATGTGCCTCTCACAGTAAAAGGCTCCTCATCAAAATGACTGTGATTATAACATTTTAAGATACTTTTCTTTCCATATTATATGGGTTTAAGATTAATTCAGTCAAATGAAATTTTCACCTTACGAGCTGATATTAAAATCTAACTTCCACTTCAAGTTTAAAATGATGATTGACCATATATGTTTATCTTTTCTCCCCATCCTCCAGATCTTTCTGAAAGGGAGGGAAAGAAATTTTTTAAAATTATTAACTCACAAGGACAAAATGAATGGTAGGGGAGACTACATGAAACAACATTTCAACAAATTCTCAGAAAATGGAAAGGAGATGGAGCAGAAGTAATGAGTTTAACAGAGTGGAAGAAGTGGCAACCTGAAAACCTACAGAGGAGTTTTACTCCAGAGAAGAAGTGAGCACTTTCGCCCTGTGCCCAGAGAGGCACAGCTACTTCAGATTGTGAAGTACTTCAGGTGTGAAGTCAGGATATGAAAATGGAAAACTGACCAAAAAATTGTACACAAAATGCTTGACTGGCCAGTGTGATGATTAACTGTCATCACACTTGTCCGGCTTAAGGAATACCTGGAAACCTGTTAAAGCACGATCTTGGTGTGTGTCTCTACGGTGTTTTCCAAGGAGATTAGCATGTGAGTCCTGAGTGGACTAGGTGGAGAAGATCCACCCTTAGTGTGGGCAGACATCATCCAATTGGCTGAGGGCCAGGAGAGAACAAACACAGAGGACAGGTGAATGTGTCTTTCAAGCTCCTGGAGCTGAGATACACTCCTCCTCCTCTTGGATGTCAGAAACCCAGGCTCCCTGGCTCTTAGACTCCAGGACTTAACACCAGCTGCCGCTCACCCCAGGTTCTCAGATCTTTGGCCTTGGACTGAGAGTTACACCACCAGCGGCCCTGATGTTGAGACCTTCACACTTGGACTGAGTCATGCCCCCAGCATCCTGCGGGCCCCAATTTGCAGACAGCCTGTCTTGGGGATTTTTCAGCCTCCATAACCACATGAGCCAATTCCCCTAATAAATTCCCTCTCATATATTTATATGTATTTACATGTATATTCTATTGGTTCTGTCTCTCTGTGGAACCCTGACTAACCCAGCTAGGTTTCCTATCCTACCCCAGGCAAGGAAGCAGATACCCCTCTTTCCTCCCAGCAACCACCTATCCCTTCATCTCCCCTCAAACACTTATTCTCTGGAGAAGATGAATGAAGAAGTTCCAGGCTTAAGGATGCTGTGGAGAGCTGAGGAGATGAGGGATTTCAAGTAGGAGCATCAAGTGAAAATGAGCACACTGAACTGTGGGAGCCTAGGTATGTTTGATTTTTTTTTTCATATTTTCCTGGGTTTTAAAAATAATAATAATTTATGAAAAGGACTTGATCCCAAAGCAGAATGCAAAATGACTATATAGTGTAGCACTAAGATGAAAACTTGTATCAAATCATCCTTGTTAATGATGAAACTTACCCTTTATTGAGTGGTTACTATGTGCTAGGCACTTTACATAGATTTTTATTTACTATGTGCTAAGCACTTTACATAGATTTTTTATGTAATTCTCCCAAGTAGGTATTACTATTTCTATTTTCATAGGTAAGAAAACTAAAGAGAGACTGTAACTTGCCACATGTCATACAGCCAGTCAGTGATCAAACCAAGGATTTTTGTTGTTTTGTTTTTTGTTTATGAGGCAGAGTCTTGTTCTGTTACCCAGACTAGAGTGCAGTGACACGATCACGGCTCACTGTAGCCTCGACATCCTGGGCTCAAGCCATCCTCCTGCCTTTGCCTCCCAAGTAGCCAGGAGTACAGGCACGTGCCACCACACCTGGCTAATTTTAAATTGTTTTGTAGAGCCGAGGTCTCATTTTGTTGCCCAGGCTGGTCTGGGACTCCTGGGCTGAAGCAATCCTCTCTCCTCAGCCTCTCCAAGTGATGGGATTACAGGCATGAGCCATCATACCCACCCAAGATGTTCTTAAATACCATACTTTGCTCCTCTCCTGGCCCGGATCTTGAGTCCCAATTGTAGCAATTAGGATTTTTTGCCATGTTTAACACCCAAATTTTGATTTCTTTTCTAAATCTGTGAACAGTAGTCTTATATTGCCCCTGTACATAAATTTTGTCTTAATAACCTTGTAAAATTTGTAATCCCTCTAGGGCTAGAATCTTGCTTTTTAACTCTGTAGTATAGTTAGACTCCATTAGAGACTCCGTAAGTCACATAAAGGGGCAGGTAGAAAAAAAAAAAACAGCTTTACTTTTATTTTTAATTTTTTTAGAGACAAGGTCTCACTCTGTCACCCAGGCTGGAGTGCAGTAGGTGTGATCATAGCTCATTGCAGCCTTGATCAAGCAATCCTCCTACCTCTACCTCCCAAGTAGGTAGGACTACAGGTGCATGTCACCACACCTGGCTAATTTTTAAAAATTGTTTTTGTAGAGACGGGGTCTCACTGTGTTGCCTAGGCTGGTCTCAAACTCCTGGCCTCCCAAACTGTTGGCCTCCCAAAGTGTTGGGATTACAGGTATGAGCCACTGGGCCCTGTCCAGATGGCTTTTAGAATGGGATTCTGCATTGGCAAGAATTGGATTCAGCTACTTTGAGCTCCAAAGTGGGAGCAAAATATTTCAGTTTCATCACAAAATGTAACACCCAGGAAGTCAAATGAGACTGAACTGAGGCATATCAGAAGTAGCCTGGAGTAGCCTTTCTCAGTCTTTTTACCCTGGAGAAATTCTTGAAATAATTTTCCAGTATCAGGAAATCCTTACATAAATGTTCTTAATATCTGCTAATCACAGAATATTACCGTGATCATAAGCAATAGGTATAATAATCCAATAATTGTCAATCCTTTTTTGAGAAACAAATTATCTTTTTCTATGGATACCTTATTAGCTTAGTTTTTCTGTGTGCTTCTCCTTCACCATAAAAGACATCAACCCTAACATAAATTGGTACAATAGGTAAAGAAAACTTAGCTTCCCTTTTATTTTTATTTACTACTTGATTTTTAAACCATATCCAATGGTTAGTCCAAGTTATCCAAGAAACCAAGATTGGATTTAAACAGGTAAGGATTTTATTAAGGGAAATACCTTAGAGGGAAAACACAAGGGAGACTGGAGCCCTGGAAGAGCCATCAGACCATGAAGCAGGTAGGACCCCGAGTGAGGGAAGAAGGAAGAAAGGTGGGGTGTTGAGTAGCCTCGACGGCCATGAGGTCTGAGGAAGGGTTAGCAAGGCTATCAGGGAGCCAAAGTCAGCCATCACGGGGGTCTAATGACATGCAGAAATGGCCTGCCATAGCATTCCTCCTGTACTCAGTCACCGGCCAGGAGCAGTCCCTGGGAAGCACGGCCTTAGTACCAACCCCGCAATGGAGTGCGGAGCACGGCAGCGGGGCTGAGCTCCCTACAGGTGGAGGTCTGCAAGCTGCATTCTTATGGCCTCTGCATCCAGAAAGCCTAAAGGTTTGCCGTCAAGTCCTACTCTACAAGTAGCTGAGAAGGTACGCTGTGTGCTATATGGTAGATTAAGGTTTGTTTCCCCTATTTAAAACTAAGGATGACTTTTTCCCCAAACTGTCTTGAAAAAAAAAAGTTGTTTAGCTTACATTTCTTGAAAGTAATATTTTACTTTCTTTTTCATAAGTTATTAAAAAACATATAAGGCAAACAATAAATTTCTGTTAACTAGCAAGTTTAAGCCAAAAACTTATAATTTACTTTTTCTAAAGGTAGGCTTGATTGATTGAATTTGAATAAAATTTACGGTGATGGAGAAGAACAACACACGCTGGGACCTGTAGGGGGAGAGGGGAGTGACAGCATCAGGAAAAACAGCTAATGGGTGCTGGGCCTAATACCTGGGTGACGGGCTGATCTGTGCCGCAAACCATCATGGCACACGTTTACCTATGTAACAAACTTGCACATCCTGCACATGTACCCCAGAACTTAAAATAAAAGTTGATTAAAAAAAAAGGTTATGTTGATTTAGTTAATGTTATTTACAACATGAAAATTAGACAATGCAATTAGTACAACTATTAAAACCATAAGCCACAGAATATTAATAAAAGTATACCCTAAGACACACTTTTTAACAAAGCTTTCAAAAAATTATTTTCTTCCTGAGTAACATGATTAAGCTCAAGTATAAGACTAGCTGTTATGATCATAATAATTTTATATGTGTCGAATTTTTATATCTCCTCTATATACCTATGCATAAAATTTGTTACTTTTGAAACTAGAAATAAAGAACAAAGTAACTTGAAACTTGTGCTATTTTTCTGCTGTACAATAATACAATGCTGGATCAAACTTGAGATAAACACACATGGATGACATTTCAACTAAAATGAGTTGATATTTTTCCTTGCTCATGATGATTGTTAAACAAGTCAAACTTGTTCACATATGTAACGAATTGAAAAAAATGCAGCAGAATGTTTATTGCTTTCCTGTGACTAGCAGGATACTCTTCATTCACAGAAATCCAAAAGTCGTCTAGGAGCAGATGAGTAAGCCTTATCTTGACTGCATGATCAGATGGCAGCTTACTAAGTTATTTTTCCTCTTTCAAAGTCAGGTTCTCAAACTGTAGAGTAGCAGTAGAAGATTCAGAGAAAAGGTTTTTCACCTTTGTGTTGAAAGAAAGAAAAAATACTGTGCCATTTTGTTCTGCGGTTCTTCAAGGTGGCTTTCTATAAAATTTAACTCTTACTAATATCTTTCCTCATTCTTAAACCCAAGTAGCAGTGGGAAAATTTTAAAATTTGCCATTGCAATATGATTTTTCTAAAAATTCAGATTTATATAAATCAAAGAATCTTGTCACTTGAAATCATGCTACTTTCTCCAAGGTCTTATAGATACTCATTCAACTGGTTCATGTGATGAAAAATATTTGCTAAGTAGTTCATTGCTGTAGCCACCACCTTCTTATTCAAAATACTCAGCAAAAGCTGGCCTACCTTGAAAATACTCATGCACTCCAATCCACCTGTCAGCTAAAGCATACTGTTGCAAATCCTTCCTCTGCTAAGCCACAGATTTCTATATGTAGCAGGAGATGTATGTAATCTTTGTCCAAATAATAACACAATTTTTAAAACATTATGGCATGAATTGGTTTTTATTTAACAAAGCCAACCATTTTGTAGTATCATTCAGAACTTTTATCACTTCATCTACAGGGTTATCTCTCTGTGAAGAAAGCAATATGTTGTGACAACCTCAGATCCAAGAAATTCAACAAACCCAGGCACAAGCAACATGAAGAAAATTATAGCAAGGCACAAATCAAATTTCCCCAAACTAATGATAAAGAGAAGATCCTAGGAACCAGAGAAGAAAGCCTTGTTACATATACAGGAACAAAGGTGAGGATGACTTCAGATTTCTCATCATAAAGAATGCATGTGAGAACTAGAACAAATTATTACAGTTCTGTCCTGGTTAAGAAATGACACGTGTTTTGGAAATTCATGTGTCAAGAGCAAATGATAAAGAACGAGACTCCCAGGTGTCTCGTGATATTCTTCCTTTTATCATTCTTTAATTCCCTAAGTATCCTGTGGTTCCTTGAAGCTAGGCAGAGAGCCTCCTTCAGGTCTTTATATTCCCATTGCCAATATGTGTTCCAAAAAAAAAAAGAACACTACTGCGGGGGGAAGCTGTTACTAGAAAACAAGAAAGACCATTATCATTCCCCTTTACTTTTATGCTACCTGTGGATTTTTATACCCACATTGTAAAATATCTATCAAGTGCAAATACACTTAATAGACATAAGTGGAAGAAGTAGAAAGTTCACATGTATGTTAGATATCCAGTTTATCCCTTACATTTTAATAGTCCTCAATGAATAAGCTAATTCAGATAATGAAATATTTCTTTATAGTTATATAAGGGAATCATAAAGTCATTATCCCAGTTTGATTACGCAAAATGTGA
This sequence comes from Homo sapiens, assembly GCF_000001405.40. Taxonomy (NCBI): domain Eukaryota; kingdom Metazoa; phylum Chordata; class Mammalia; order Primates; family Hominidae; genus Homo; species Homo sapiens. The sequence continues at coordinate 89,135,268 of NC_000004.12, read as the reverse complement.
GAAATTACTGCATTGTGTGTTTGTGTGTGTTTATGCAATACTATTTACTATGTGCTAAGCATTGTTCTAAGCACTTTACATATACTAATTCGCTTAATCCACATACCAATCCTGTGAGGCAGGTCTTATGATTCTCCTCATTTTGTAAGTGAGGAAACAGAGACGGAGGGTAAGATCACATGACCAGTGTGTGACAGAATGAGAATTCCAACCCAGGCAGTCAGAATCCACAGTCCATGTTCTTTACCACCTCACTATTTTGCCTTTCCACTACACAGTGTTAAATAGGGACAGAACACTGTGAAAACTAAGTTTAGGATGCTAGCCAAGCAGGAGAAAAACCAAAGTGGCCCTTTGCCAATCAGATGTTGTTTTGCTGCATCTGAAGCAACAAGACTTCTAGACATCTTTCTGTGGGAGTTTTAGTACAATCCCATTTTCCCAGGCTCTGGTTTTGTAACCTCGAAGAGCCAAAGGGAGAAAAATAGATTAGCTAAAAGAATTATATTGTTGCCTTCGCTTTTGTGTTAATATAAGATGTGTGTGTGTGTGTCTTTGTTTTTAACAAAAGTTTAAAAAGTAAATAAATAATTTTGAAAGTAGAAAAAAGCTTATAGAAGAAGGATATAAAGAAAGAAAATATTTTTGTATAACTGTACAGTGTGCTTATGTTTTAAGCTAAGTATTATTACAAAGGAGTCAAAGTTTTTTTAAGTTAAAAAGTTTATAAAGTAAAAAAGTTACAGTAAGCTAAGCTGAATTTATTCTTAGAGAAAAAGAATAAATTTGTTTTATAAATTTAGCGTAGCCTAAGTGTGCAGTGTTTATAAAGTGTACAGTAGTGTACAGTAATGTCCTAGGCCTTCCCATTCACTCACCACTCACTTATCGAATCACCCAGCAACTTCCAATCCTACAAGCTCCATTCATGGGAAGTGTCCTATACAGGTGTACCATTTTTGTTTACCTTTTATATTGTATTTTTACTGTACTTTTTTTATATTTAGATACACAAACACTGACTCTTGTATTACAACAGTAACAAGCTGTGCAGGTTTGTAACCTAGGAGCCATAGGCTACACCACATAGCCTAGGTGTGTAGTAGGCTATACCATCTAGGTGTGTGTATGATGTTCACACAAAGACAAAATTACTAATGACACATTTCTCAGAACATATTCCCATCATTAAATGATGCCTTGAGGCAGGAGATTAGGGTCTGGAGGCAGGGAACCTAAGGCCAATTCATACTGACTTCCTAGAACTGAATCAAAAGGAAAACCCCAACTTTCCATGCCCAAGTAACAAAACGACCAGAGGCTACTCCCTTTCCACCGCCACCTTTTCTGTGTGGCAGACGAAAAACTGAAAGTACCTCTGATTGGTCCACTCCCACAACCAGTCAGGTTGGTTGTGGGCCAAGTCTTCTTTTGCACAGGAGTATAACTTTGTAACTTCACTTCAGCCTCTGATTGGTCACTTTCTGCAACTAATCAGACTGATCACGGGCCACTACTTCATTTACATATGGAGTACACCAAGCAACCAATGGGAAACCTCTAGCGGGTAGTTAATCCCCAGAAAATTCTGTAACCAGGCCCTTGAGCCACTTGCTTGGGCCCACTCCCACCCTGTGGAGTGTGCTTTCATTTTCAATAAGTCTCTGCTTTTGTTGCTTCATTATTTCCTTGCTTTGTTTGCAAGTTTTGTCCAATTCTTTGTTCAAAATGCCAAGAACCTGAACACAATAACTAGAGTTGAGAAATACTACTTTTAATTATATAATTATGCTGTTATTTTTCTAATTTGAAAAATGCATTGACTTGTTTTTTTGAGAAGAACTATAATGGGCAGAGTTGTTTATGTAAAAATTGCATTGCACTTTTTCAAAATTACCTGACGTTGAAATACATTCAAAGTAATTGGATACAATAAATGCTTAACCTTTTGCACTACAAAGTTAAGAAGATGAATTATGTGTCTATGGAGCTATGAACTCTAATAGTGTGCTTTATCCCTCTTCCCCTTGCCCTAGGCCCAGCTCTCTGAGAGGCCTAAACTATGTTAAAAATAAAAACGTGAAAAAAGGAAAAGTAATTCAAACTGACAACTGAATGCCCTATTTTCTACTTTTTACTTTTCAATAAGAGGTAGGGGTGTTTCAAGTTTTGCAGACTAGAGCTTGTCAATTTTGGTTAAGTTCAAATCCAGTTTTTCTAGTTGAAAAGTGAAATTAGAGAGCATTAGGTTAGTGTTAGATTTTTTTTAATGAAATTTGTTATTTACAGTGGAAAAATTAAATCTTAATATAATGCTAATTTTCAAGGTGACTGATTTAGGATGTGCTTCACATGTTCACTGTTTCTCTCCCCACCATTTTATTTTTCTCCATTGCCATAGTTAAAATCCAGCACAGGGAGAAGGGGATCATTCAATGTAGACAATGGGTTTCTCCTCTCTCCTTATCCCTTTCAATTCCCTTTTTTTCTTATTCCTATTCTATTTTCCCCTTTCCCTCATCTTCCCACTCTCCCTCCCTTTCCTGCATTTCTCCTTTTCCTTTAGTCAAAGAGAGAGAAGCAGAATTGGTATCTGGAAGTAGTAAAATACAATGATGGAAGTAGGGATTTCCTCATCACCATCACTAAGTTTTGTCACCACTGAAAGCTACTAGAAATAGTCTGCACTTGGCAGATTTTTCATCTCTCATTATCTCCTATTTAATATTTTTAAACTTAAAAAGGTTATGGGCATACAGAACAGCACATAACACATATATGCAGTTTATTCACTGCCATTAACTCTTCACCTGACTAGCCTTTGGATACTACACCCTTCCCTCTGATCTTGCTCTGACAAGGGTCACAGTAACTTAATTGTAATTACTATGTTGATCACTACATTTTATTTTTCAGAGTCCCATTTAGTTCCTTTTCAAATCTGCTTTATCTTTGTAAGTCTCTCCTATTCTTTGCTCATATTTTAAAGCCTCTGTTTAAAATAAATTTTGCGGCCAGGCACGGTGGCTCACGCCTGTAATTCAAGCATTTTGGGAGGCCGAGGTGGGTGGATCAACTGAGGTCAGGAGTTCGAGACCAGACTGGCCAACATGGCGAAACGCTGTCTCTACTAAAAATACAAAAATTAGCCGGCAGTGGTGGTGCACACCTGTAATCCCAGCTACTCAGGAGGCTGACAGGAGAATCACTCGAAGCCAGGAGGCAGAGGTTGCAGTGAGCTGAGAGCGCGCCACTGCACTCCAACATGGGCGACAGAGCAAGACTCCGTCTCAAAAAATAAATTAAATTAAATTACTTTTGCTATTTTTTATATTCTATACCTAAACTTTTGCTACTTTTACATTCACTACACAATAAATTCAGGAACTGCAGTCTGAGCATATCTGATTCTGCTTTCCACTGCTCCTGCTGGTGCTTACTCACAGTGCCTTGTGAGCTCTTGTTCTCTGGAAGTTTATCCATGGAAATTCTTTGAGGCCCATATAAAAGTTGTGTTCCTTCAGAGAGGATTTGGGTTTACTCCTACCAATCTCCTGCAAGCACTACCATCTTAAATTAAATGCTCAGCTTGATGGTTTGGGAACAACACCTAGAGTTAAGTTCACAGTGCAAATCTACCTGCAGTCAGGTTCCCATTTTCAAATTCTCAGGCAAGATGTTTTTATTCCTCCCACCAAAAGCCAAGCTTAAGACAAGAACATTGTCTTGCTGCCTCTCCTGTGCTACAAGTTTATTTCTAATTCTCTTTCACTGTGTAGTCTTTTGTGGTCTCAACCTTATAGGAGACTTCCTCCTGCATTTCCATCTTGGACAGGCTCTAAATTATAGTTCCCTAGTAACTCCCACAGCCATCAAAACAGAATCTGAAAATTACCAGGATTGGGCATATAACCTCCAGTCAAAAGCCAGCTTGGGTATCACTTACAGCCTAGTCTACCCACTTTTTTTGTGGTTTTTTTAACTTAAAAAAAAAAAGTAAACTTTTACTGAAAAAAAGCACAAAGCAGTGCAAATATTCTGAGTATATGTGAAAGCTGGATGAATTTTTCACTACTGAATACTTCTACATAACCACCAGCTAAATCAAGAGAAGGAACATTAGCAATCCTTCCCTCAATCTCCTTTGCAGCCACTAACTCTATCAGGAATAATTATACTCTGACTTCCAACAGAGGTAAGTTATATGTGTATGTGTGTGTGTTTGTATTTTATATAAAATGGCAATGATTTTCACTTCTACTTGTTTTAACCTATGCAGATTCTATACTTTTTTGTCAGCTCAGTGATACATTTAAAATGATAGCGTTTTCTCTTTTTTTAAATTTTAATTTACAGGGCCATGCTAGTCTTCTCTGTATTGTTCCAATTTTAGTATATGTGCTGCCAAAGTGAGCACTTTTTAAATATTTTATCTAGCATTTTTAGTTGTTTTCAGCACAAGCGTCATTCAAGGAATCTAATCTTCTGTACAGGTGGTCAATGACTTTCTTGTTAAATCCAATCGACTTTTCTTAGTCCTTATCCCTTCTTTTTCCTGAAATGTACTCTTCCCTGGCTTCCATGAGCCCACACTCCTAGACAGTCTCTTATTGCATTGATTTTATTAAGCAATTATTTACTGTAGTTATTTGAATAAATGATGCTCTCCTACTCCTTTATTGTAAATTCTTTGAGAATAGAACTTTTATCTTAATCATGTATATAGTGCTCAATATTGTGCTAATTCATTCAATCAACCAATATTTATTGAACATGTTCTATCTGCCAGGACTGTTCAGGGACTGTGTAACAAAATTGCCAAGGCATTTAAGGTCCCTCCTGTCCTGGACCTTAAATTTGTTAGGGCACATTGTAGGTATTCAAAAAAGTGCTAAAATGAATGATACAATGAAGAGTAGCAAGAGCAAAGAAGAAAAGAGGGAAACTGTCAGCCACAAAAGAAGATAAGGTTATGTTTAGAAGAATGGCAATAAAAATGGCCTCAAGAGAAAGTGTTACAATTAGCTGCCTAAGGTGAGTATTCTAGAACCAAATCTAGGTTTAGAGTGTCAGATAGTGCCCACGATGAGAATAAGCTGGCTTAACTGGAGTAGGGAAATTTAGAAATAGGAAGCTAAACAATCTCCAACTGCTTTTGAATATCTTGCTTTTTATTACAGCTCTGCTATGTGTACATACCTCATTTAAGGGCATTGACAAATAAGTGAAGCTGAAGACAATGATTGTAAGAAGTACATTTCATCATTCTCCTTCTCCAAGCTTCTCCCTCAAAGGACAGAGAACTGTTCTCCCTCTCTCTCTGCATTTCAAATCCCTCTTTTATTACTTCTTCAAACATTTACACTTCTGCCTCTCACTTACGTGTGTCTTCTCAATTTCTATCTCTAGGTTCTCTGGGGTTATCTTTGTTTCTTCTCTGTATTTTTCTATTTATATTCCCTTCACTTTTTTCCTTCCTGTCACTCCTATGCCTTTATGTGTCTTGGTAAACTCTTTAAGCGTAGGTATTGAAAGTTCAATTCTTGACATTTTCACTTCTTACATTCTTCTTCAGTGATCATAGCCAGTTTCATGATTTAAACTAGCAATTCTATGTGGCTGAATTCCAGATCTGACTTTCTAGCTCTAACCTTTCTTTCTCTTTTGTCAATCTAGTCAACTACCTCATCAACAGTTTATGAATGCCTGCCATATTGGTTGAATTTCAATGTTCTATGTAACATCATAAAAGTTCACAGCATATGAAGGTTCTTACCAACATTTACTAGGTAGATGGCTCTTGACTTTGTGCTATGTATCTTGCTGACAAAGGCTAGCATTTTCATAATCTGCATTCCTGTCCCCCACAAATCACCACACGGAATTTGAAAAATAAACATCAGTGGCCTTAAAAAGTGCTTTGTTTAAATAAAAATTCTTAAGAATTTAAGCCTTTACTTACTTTGTGTTTGTTTTGGTCTATGATGCTTTGGCTTTCATAAAAAACCCCTAAAGGAATAGTATGATTCTTAAAGTTATTCTGTTGATATGTATAGTGTGCACTGCAAAGCAGAATTTATTAAAGTGAAAAAGAACAAGCTTTTGGTAAATGAGCTCTGTTTTAAGATTAGCACTCTAAATGTGATATTTATTCATTGTAAATATGAAATTACAGAGAAATAATAAGAGAAGATTGACCCCATGTCCTAAAAATGCTAAAATATTGAAATAAACTTTCCTGACTAGTAGATATATGCACTAAACCAAAACCACTCTATAACTCAGGTTTCAACACCTGGTTATTCCTTAAAATGCTACGAAGATAAAACGGAAATCTGTCAACTAAAACTTCATAGACTTTCAAAACTGTTTGCAGTAACCTTCGGAAATAGGAAAGTAAAACAAGTTTCTGGTAAATAAGTAAATTTATTAAATTTGGCAATTGGTCATTTGACTAGTTGATTCTTGACAAACTGACTTGTGTTAAAAGATAAGCTTAGGGCCGTTACAATTTTAAAGAGTCTATTTGAGCAGACAGCAATTCATGAATCAGGTAGCACCAAATCACAAGCAGTTTGGGCTTCACCAAGGAGGCATGAAGAGAGACATGGGGGTTCATGAAAGCAAGACAAAGAAACTATTTTACTGTTTAAGGTGGAGAGTCTCTAGTTGGAGGTTAGTTGAAGGTTTTTGATTGGTACAGCTCCCAATTAGAGCTTTGTTGGCAGTTTCTGATTGGTTGAGTTACTCTGAGTTGGGTTTCAGTTTGCTTATGTAGGAACCCAGAATGCAGCCTAATGGCCTCCTAATTTTTTTAACATCTATAAAAACAGGCAGATAGAGGTAGGCCATCCTGTTTAGCTTCCCTAAACCACCTTGGATCACAGAATTAGATGAGGTTCGGAAAGCTGCTAGAGAGGATTCGCCATGGCCAAGGGATGCAATGGATAGCTCTGTGTCAAGGGCTGTAGTCTGGCTAGGGCCAAATGGGAGTCAAACCCAAACATGTAGTGGGCTTACGGCACCAGTGAGAGCCAAGGTGAGACAGTCTCAGCTAAGCAGTCACTAATGGCCAGTGACTAAGGCAGTGAAAAGCCAACCCACTACTGACACCAGGTTCAGTCTTTAAGGGTAAAAGTCAGCAGGGCAAGTATACAGCCAGAAAGAGCACAGACATTTCTCCAAAGACCAGAGATAACAGAGGGGAGTTCAAGGAGAGCACCTGAGCCTGAGGATTTCACCTTCATGGCAATGCTGAGAGGCTGATGAAGCTGCACACCCCTTTTCCATATACCCACGTGCTGCCTTGAGGAGAAAATTAGGGGAATGCATGAGCCACTTGAGAGACCAAATATTTTTATCAGAGAGGCACTAAACAGAACCTACAAGTACTATTTAAATTATCAGAGTGAACTAAGACTTAAGAGAGATTAGATATTTACACTTCTTCCCTCAGTTACAAATTGGAACTTCAGGTATTAGGAAGCCAGATTAATCACAAATGAAATAAAGAAATTATATTTCTCATTACATATCCAAATTGTAGTATGAGGTAAAATTTGTGATCTTGCTGTGTTTATTGTTCAAATACTCTATATCATTTATTTTTTATCTTCTTGATCTGTCAAAAACAGAATGTTAAGTAATTCCATTACATTTATGTTTCTATCAATTTATCCCATATGACTAATAATTTTTGCTTTATCCCTTTAAGTATTACTTTATTTATAAAATACAGCTTTATTATTATCACCATCATTATGCCTATCATTTATATAAGATAATCATTCTGGTCAAACTTGCTTTTTGCTTAAAATTTTACTTTGTTAGTATATTGCCACTCCTAACTTTCAGTTTATTTGTTCTTTCTTTACTTTAAAATGTTGTGTGGCGTTTTGCTTAAGATATGTCTCCTGTAAACAGCATATGGTGTTTTGTTTGTTTGTTTGTTTTTTAGATCGAGTCTCACTCTGTCACCCAGGCTGGGGTACAATGGCGTGATCTCAGCTCACTGAAACCTCTGCCTCCTGGGTTCAGGAGATTCTCCTGCCTCAGCCTCCCAAGTAGGTAGGATTGCAGGCATGCATCACCATGCCCAGCTAATTTTTCTATTTTTACTTGAGATGGGGTTTCACCATGTTGGCCAGGCTGGTCTTGAACTCCTGACCCCAAGTGATCTGCCCCCCTTGGCCTCCCAAAGTGCCGGGATTACAGGTATGAGCCACCATGCCCGGCCTGTTTTGGTTTAACTTAATACTAGAACAAAGTATTAGACATTTTTCACTCTCCCTATGTTCGTTAAAAACATTACCATGCTTTTATTTTCCCAGTCCATTCTGGGTCTTTGTTAACATAATCTGGGATTTCTATACTCAGACAATATTGCCAAAACATCATCATAGCTTATATTTTAAGGGCTTTTCCTTTCCAAGTTATTTTTCTTATTTCATATTTTTATAGTTTACATTTCTTATTTTTATATATCTTTTATAGCTATACTTACAATTAGATATCTATATTTAAATGGTTTTAAAACTAACTGCCATTTTTTACAAGGCTAACAGTTTCTTGTGTTTTTCAGTTTTTAGTCTGCTAGAGTTTATATATTGTTTTTTAATTTGAGGTAGGTTACATGGGTGATATGATAAATTGCTGAACTCTGAACTCTTGCATAAGACACAATAATTTTCTGTTGCCTTTACACAAGAATAACAAGCTGGGTGGATATAAAATCATTTGCTTACAACTCTTCTCCCTTAAAATCTATGGAGAGTCATCAGTCTCTTCTATCACTTGAGCTACAAAGCAACCTGAAGACAAACTGATCGTGTGTGTGTGTGTGTGTAACTTTTTCTGACTGGATGCTTTGTGAGCTGTCTTGATAGTTTAAAATGAACAATCTCTCTCCATTGATATTCTCTGCTATTCAGTAATTAGTATTCCCACTACCTATTCCTATTTTCAGTTCAAGCATATAATGGAATTTAATTTTGATTATTGCAAATTTAGAGTTTGGGTTGTTTACTTTCTGTCACCTCATCATTTTTATTCCGTGACCTTGTTACTGGTGCCCTGGGTTCTTGAGCTCTCCCATGATAGAAATCAAGAGAGATCACCAAACATAGCAACAAAAGAGTTTTATTCAGCTTGCGCACAAGGGAGTCAGCACTGAAAGGAAAGGGGAATGGGTTAATCCCTGAGGATAGTGTGTGGGTATGTTTTATAGGGCCTTTCTACAGGGAAGGATTACATCAGGGCATGTATATAAGTCTTTCTAGCATTTGTGCAGTGGCTCAACATACTTCTTCATACATTGTATGCATCCTCAGTATTATAAATCTCTACCCCAGGCAAGATTTTTAGCATTAAAAGGAGGAAGGGGTTGAAGTGTCTCCAGATCCCTGAGGAAGTCCCTAGCCCCCTCCATTAAGAACTTGCATTTGATAACTTCTTGGATCTTTTGTTACTGATTGGCTGAGAGTTAGGTAAGCTAGAGCTTGAGTAAGGGGCTTTTGCTCTCTTCCTCCAGTTCATATTCAAACAGGAAACCAACCAACCTGCTTTTCTCAACCTTATCTTCTGCATTCTGGGAAATTGTTTCCAGTTTATCATGAAAATTACTAATTGAACATTTTACAATGTTAATCTTGCTCCTTACCATCTCCAATGAAGACTTTAATTCTGATACTCTATTTTTGCTTTCCTGGAAAGTTGCTCATTTTGGTTAACTCACCATCTCAGTCTGCTGAATGTGTATCTTCAGCATTGCTTCATAGAGCCCATGTATTTTTGCATCTTAATGAAGAAAAGTGCATATTTTCTATAGGTTGTTTCTGTTTTGCAAAGAAAAGCCACTGCATGCTCTTAACTCTGAACTTTCATAATAATTTTCGTAGGCTGTATCCTTTCTCCCTCCCAACACAGAGCTATTAGGGTACATTATTTATTTGTTGGTTGAAGGGTACATAGAATGTTATCCCTCTCACTATCCACTTGGGTGTTCCAAGATTTTCTTTCTTACCTAGACCTCATTTAGAGATGGCCATGAATGTCCTAAGCCAGTGTGTAGTATGGCTATGCTGGACTAAAGTGGGATCTCTTATGTCTGTAATTGCTGGATGGGAATTTATTTTTAAAAATCTGAAGTACTCTGCAATGCAATTTATGAAAATGATGGTACCCTGCAAATATATTGCTCCCAGTGCTGTAAGAAGGCTGTATACCCATATTGATTCTCCTTTACTCTCTACAGTCCTCTATATTGAGACTTGTATTCCCTGAATGTGGGATGTGAAATAGTGGAAAGCAGAGTTGGCTACCTAATTTGCAGGGCCCAGTGCAAAATGAAAATATGGGGCCCCTTAAAATAAAGGTGTTGTTAAAGGTAGTAATATATAAGCATTTCCCTTTCTTCTGCAGTCTCTCTTTGGACCTATCATGCTGGTTTTTTAAATTTGCTATTGAATGTCACACACCTTTGGGCACAGGTACATTTGCTGGACAAGTGCAGACCCTCACAGGTGCCTGTGCCCACCCTGCAGTCCACTGCCACAATAATGCACCCTGTCCTGGCTGGGGGTGGGAAAGCCAATCTCCTCTTCCCATGTGTCTGCCTTCCCAACCCAGAGCAATGGGTAACTACCCAGAGATTACAACCTGTCAGAGCTGCTCAGTACCTGGATTGGGGTGAGTGAGCAGCTCACCCCAGCCAATCCCCACCTAATGCACCACAGCACTATCAGCCTGGGGCAAAATACCTCCTGCCATGCCTTACCCAATATGCCCTTGGGCAACATGCCCAACCTCAACCTCTGTGAATTTGTGCCCAGGCCCCTGCCAGGGGAGGAAGCTGGCAGTGGTCACCAGGCAGGAGTGGGGAGAAAGAAGCTGGGTGGCACTTTGGGAGCCGAGGGGGGCAGATCACGAGGTCAGGAGATCGAGACCATCCTGGCTAACATGGTGAAACCCGGTCTCCACTAAAAATACAAAAAATTAGCCAGGTGTGGTTGCGCACACCTGTAGTCCCAGCTACTCAGGAGGCCTAGGCAGGAGAATCGCCTGAACCCGGGAGGCGGAGGTTGCAGTGAGCCAAGATCACGCCACTGCACTCCAGCCTGGGTGACAGAGTGAGACTCCGTTTCAAAAAAAAAAAAAGGTGGGTGGGATCTGTAGTGACAAAGGTCGCAGAGCTGGCAGCTGAGAGCCGGTCCTAAGAGGCAAGAGAAGGGACCACGTACACCTAGGCCTCAAGCCCCAGTGTGTGTTCCATTGCCCCATCAGACTTCACTTTCCAACCTCTTTTAAATGATTTACAAATCTACTTATTTTAAAAAGCTGTCCAGACCTTTTGTGTTTTTCTGTGCCTGCAAGGACATTTTACTAAGTTAACATAATGCACAGATAATTCTTTGCCTGATGATATTTTCACTCACAATGTTACTTAGACCTTAAGAAAGGTAAAGAAGACTCCTTCCTTTCAACAACTCTGTACTGGTGTATCCAGCACCATGAAGCTCTGAGGCCTCCTCTATTCACTGAAACAGGAGAGCAGACAGGTAGAGTATAAGGAAGTGGAGAACAAGTTTGTTTGTTTTTCTAATAGCTGACTCTAGAATTCTTTTAAGATGACTGTCTGTTAAGGAAAAAAGTCTTTTCTAAGCTGCCCGGGGTAGAGGGTGAGATACAAAGGTTACTTGCACAAGCGCTAAAAGTTGCTTGCTTGCTAAATTGAAGTGCGTGAAACAAAGAGGAATTTGTCTTGCTGAAAGCGGGAGTGAAAATGCATAATGGAGAGGGATTCTCCCTGAGATGACGGAAGGCTCTACGCTCTGGGTGGTCTTTCTATCTCTGGGAGATCCAAATTTATAGAATGTGGGATAATTTTTTTTTCTGAGGTGAAAATACAGAATCTTAAAAATAATAGCCAACACACTTCTCATTCCCAGTAATTCTTGTCCTATAGCTTGACTGCTTCAGGGAAAACACAAATAATGGTGAGAACAAAGAAGTCTTTGCTTAGCTTTGACTTTCAAAGTAGACCAAAGGCAAAAAAAAAAAAAAAAAAAAAAAGAGTGCAGTAGAAACAATAATCTGGAAAGCAAGGTTTTCACTTGCAAGAGCCAGGCTATTTCGGAAAGGAAAGGAAAAAAAAAAAAAGATTTGTGATTCTGAGAAGCTAAGAAACTACTAAGGACTGAAGGGGTTCAGGTCATGCCACCCAAAAACATGCCACTTCGGCATAAGGATTATTTGAGCTGAAGGCAACTGAGAATCAACAGATGCAGGAAGTGTCCTCTGCTCTCCTCTCGTTTGCCTAAAAGTAGGGAACACATTTTCCTTGTGAAAGTATTGTCCTATAACAGAACTTAGGTCTGGCTATTCACAGTTTGAAAAGCCAGATACATGAGATGCCAAGTGTGGTGAAAGGAAAGCAGTTTTAATAAAATGCTAGCAGTTGAGGACATGTCCGGACTCGAGTCTCAAAATGATAACTCAAATTTTAAGGCTGACTGAAGGGGTTTATAAAAGGGAAACCTGGTGTGGGAAACACGCAGGAATCGTATAGAGTACAGGTCTGCATGTCTTGTTCCGATGGCTATCTTGAGTTACTGTCCACCTGGAGTACTAGCTGGTCCCATGTCGACTGTGACCAGGTTGTAGATTAACCACCTTGAGGTAATCTGCAGCTGGGTCTCCAGGCCTGGGCTGTTTCAAGATTAGCCCCTGGAATTTCTTTTCTTTTTTTTTTTTTTTTTGCCCTGTCCCCCAGGCTGGAGTGCAGTGGTGCGATCTCAGCTCGGCTCACTGCAAGATCTACCTCCCGGGTTCATGCCATTCTCCTGCCTCAGCCTCCAGAGCAGCTGGGACTACAGGCGCCCGCCACCACGCCCAGCTAATTTTTTTTTTTTTTTGTATTTTTAGTAGAGACAGGGTTTCACGGTGTTAGCCAGGATGGTCTTGATCTCCAGTGATCTGCCCACCTCGGCCTCCCAAAGTGCTAGGATTATAGGCGTGAGTCACCGCGCCCGGCCAGCCCCTGGAATTTCTAAGCAAGCATACAGTTAGATAAGCATGTATAAGTTGGTCATAAGGTCATGGTATAAGGCAGTGTCCAGGGGGAAGGAGAGAAAAAAAAAGGAAAAAAACCTTTTAAATACACTTTAAGGCTAGTGGGAAGGCTTTAAAATACATTTTAAAGCTGACACTCTTGGTTACAACTCCCCACTGTCAAGTTCCATTTCATTTCTATGGAAAGGGGGTGATGTGCTCCATCTAGGTACTTCCTGCTGAAACGGGGTGCAGTTAAGGTGCAGTGGAATGGAACCTCACCACTTGGAGTGGAAAATATTTGTGAGTCCATGGGCTTAAGGAAGAGATCTGCTAGAGCATCATGGTGAGTGTGTAACTGCAATAGAGTCTACAGCAGCAGAATAAACCTAGCCCTATAATCATGGCTAAAATTATGAGCAACTTTTTTTCACCAAGAGGGGCCTGATCCAAACCATGAGGAGAGCCACTGACTTAGGACATTGTGGGATAAGACATAGCATTAATTTGCTTATGCATGTCTCATAGGGCTGAGGATTTGTTTCCAGAATTATCTAGGATGTACACATACCACTCAGTCTTAATTATAGTGCACATTCTCCCCTATCAATCGTGCTTGGAGGTCCTGTGGGAATATGACAACATGTTGGCTGAACTTACATATTTAACAGGTTGCAGGAGGGGCTAGGAATATTCATGAAGGTGGTCCTGACCCATGTGCATTCAACAAATATGCATGTAACATATGACCCATGTTATTTTGTGGTGGAGACTTAATATTTAAACGTATTACAATTAGGTCCTATACATTAAAAGGTCTTTTCAGGGCAGAAAGGCACGCAAGTGTGCAATTTCTGTAAACCAGCTAGAACTAGCCCATAGTCCGTGGTCTTCTATCAGGTGAAAATTATTAAAGTCAGTCTCGTGTTAATTAAATCTGTAGTTATGGCTGATGGAACAGGGGCTGGGGGCCAGTGAGTTTGAGGCCAGTGCTTGTCTAACTGTTAGGGAAAAAGAAAACCCTTGTAGCAGCTAGAACACAGCTTACTATTTTTTTTTTTTTTTTTTTTTTGAGACGGAGCCTTGCTCTGTCACCCAGGCTGGAGTGCAGTGGCGCGATCTCGGGTCACTGCAAGCTCCGCTTCCTGGGTTCATGCCATTCTCCTGCCTCAGCCTCCAGAGTAGCTGGGACTACAGGCGCCCGCCACCACACCCGGCTTTTTGTATTTTTTTTTTTTTGTAGAGACGGGGTTTCACTGTGTTAGCCAAGATGATCTCGATCTCCTGACCTCGTGATCCACCGGCCTCGGCCTCCCAAAGTGCTGGGATTACAGGCGTGAGCCACCGCACCCGGCCAGCTTACTCTTTAAGTGTAGGCATGTATCACTTAACCCCTGCCTGCATGGTCTTAGGTCCTGTTTATAATTTGGTATTTTGTTGTTACAAGAGTCGGTTTTGTCGGTCTTATAATCTCTATTTTAATGTTAGTGGTGGTCACTTGTGCCTAAATTCCAAAGGGCGGGGGGTGGGCACAATGAGGTGTGTCCAATGCCCACTTCCTGCCATACCCTGATAGATTTTCAGGGTTTTGGGGATCCCGTTTGGCCAAGAGCGGGTCCATTCAGTCTGTCGGGAGGCTTAGGATTTTATTTTTTTAGTTCATATTCCTTTTATGGTCAACATATGCCAGAGGCACTATCGATATAAACAAGTCAATTTTGTAACCTGGTTTTTTGGCTTTTGGTTTTGGTCTCTTATGTTGCTTAATTAAAGGAGTTTTCTGAGCGCCTGCCCACCTCCATTCCCATTTGGCCTAAAACATTGAATTGGCTGTAAGTCTTCTGACTCTAAATCCCTTGGCCATAGGGGTCCCACTGAGGAACGTGATGGACCCAGGGCAGCCAGCCACACCACCCCTGGCATCGATATGGGACAAAAGAAAAGCTTGGCCATCGATAATGCCTCTGGGGTTTAGGGAGCTTCTAAGTCGGTGAACACATCCACGTGCTAGAAGGATGGTACATCCCAACTCCAAAGGGATAAAGCCTGCACTCAGGACCCTTCTAGACCTCCCCCTATGTATCGCTTGTTCATTTGTATCCTTTAGAATAAACTACTAGTAAGTGTAGCATTTTCCTGGGTTCTATGAGTCATTCTAGTAAATTATCAAGTCTGAGGAAGTATTGGGAGAATGCCTGACTAATCTGGGGGCCTAATACTTGCAACTGGCATCAGAAATGAGGGCAATCTTGTAGGACTGAGCCCTTGAATCTGTGGAATCTGATCCTAATTCTGGGTAGTTAGTGTCAGAATTGTAGGACACATAGTTGATGTCAGAGAGTTAGAGAAGTGTTGTTGGAAAAGATACCATTTATTTGGTGTCAGGAGGGAAAAAAGCTCTCAGGCCCCTGCCAAACTTTAACACTGTTACTTCTAATTGCACCTTACTCGCATCACATTGCAATTCTATTAGTCTGTTACTAGAACATGACCTGCACTCTTGATTTTCACGTGACACCCCCTATTCTATCACAAACACAACTAATTACTTCATGGACAACATTACTTGTGATGAAAAGCCTTCCCAGATTCTTATAAGAATTTATCTTTCTCTCATACTTTAATGTATCTTTAATAATGGCACTTTCACAGTCTATTTTGTGTTAGTGGGGGCAAGAAATGCACAAAGAACTAAAAAACTTTTTATCATATGAGGGACATTCTACAAAATACCTGACCACTTTTCCTCAAAACTGTCAAGATCATCATGTCCAGACAATCAAAAACGAGGAAATTCTAAGAAACTAGTACAGCCAAGAGGAGCCTAAGAACACACAATGACTAAACATAATGTAGTATCCTGGCTGGATGCCTGGAACAGGACACCAGGTTCAAACCAAGGAACTCTGAATAAAATACAGATAAACAAAAACCCATTGTGGATAATATAAATAAACAGGAAAAACAACTGTTCTTGAACAATCTAAAAACTTACCAGAATTAATTTACATACAAATCATTAGAAGTATGGCCAGTAAAACCACTATTTGACTACATTTTGTTAGCTCTTCAATTTATATATATTTACATATATACTATATATATATACATATATACTACATATATATTTACATATATACTACATATATAATTTTTTTTTGAGACGGAGTCTTGCTCTGTCACCCAGGCTGCAGTGCAGTGGCACGGTCTCGGCTCACTGCAACCTCTGCCTCCCGGGTTCAAGCGATTCTCCTGCCTCAGCCTCCCGAGTAGCTGGGACTACAGGCACCCGCCACCACGCCTGGCTAATTTTTTGTATTTTTAGTAGAGACAGGGTTTCACGTGTTAGCCAGGATGGTCTTGATTTCCTGACCTCGTGATCCACCCGCCTCGGCCTCCCGAAGTGCTGGGATTATAGGCATGAGCCACCGTGCCTGGCCTACTTTATATATTTAAAAGGAATAAAGCAGCATGTCTTTAAAGATAAGATTTTGAGTAATTTGGTAAGGATTACCCTATTTTTTCTCCTAAATTAGTAAAAAGTATGTATGTGTTCAAGGAATGAATAGTATTATGGGGTGGGTGCAGTGGCTCATGCCTGTAATCCCAGCACTTTGAGAGGCCAGGGCGTTTGAGCCGAGTTGAGATCAGACTGGGCAACACAGTGAGACCCCATCTCTACTAATATACAAAAAATTAGCCAGGCACGGTGGCGGGCACCTGTAGTCCCAGCTACTCAGGAGGCTGAGGCAGGAGAACCGCTTGAACCCAGGAGGCAGAGGTTGCAGTGAGCTGAGAACGCGCCACTGCACTCCAGCCTGGGCAACAGAGTGAGACTCTGGTTCACAAAAAAAAAAAAAAGAAAGAAAGAAAAAAAAAATTAGCCGGGCATGGTGGCATACTCCTGTAGTCCCAGTTATGTGGGAGTCTGAGGTGGGAGGATCACTTGAGTTCAGGTCAAGTCTTCAACAGATGAGTAAAACTGCCTTGAGTTTATCTTTTTTTACACTCAAAGGTGACTTTCTTTGTAAGTAAGTTCCAGAAGATCAAGATATTCTGAAATGCAGGAATCAGGTATCATTTTTGTTGGTCTTAGAAGAAACTAGAAGTTACAAGTTTATCTGTAACTCAACTTTTTTACAGATGGACCCCTGTAGTGACTGACAGCTACAGTCCTCAGGGTCCGGGGAACTCAATGCTGCCTGCCCACCTATGCATACACCCCAGCCAGCATTCCCAGAGATGGGTCAGTGCCCTGGACCTCAATAGAGGTGCCTGGGTTTCCTGGGGGTCTGCACAGTCTCTGTGAGAGAAGAGCTGTGATGAATTCTCCAGGGTAAGCCTGAAGACCAGGGGTTCTCAATGTATAGCTGTAGGATTGCTTAATAGCTGGTGTTTATGAATGCCTGGAATGTGACTGCTTACCTTTCAACTCTTTCACATATGGGTAAACTGAGGTTCAGAGAGGTCCAGAATGCTGCTAAGGTTAACTATATAAAGAGTGGAGAAGCTGGAGTTTGCATTCCAATCTGTTAACCTTCAACAACCCTACTCCTTCTGCTTGGCTAGTGTTTCTAAAGTGTGCAGATGAGGTATACAAAATTGATTTTAAGTTTTAGTTTGGCAAGTTTAAAAATAAGAATTCTTATGTTTAACTTGAATTAGACAAAGACCCCAGTTGGCACATGAGACCTGCAATTCTGTAGATATCATTGCTTAACATATATAGTGTGTATATTAAAAAAAAAAAAGTCAATTTGTGAAAATATTAAGGTGATACGTGAACACAGCCCTCCTGAATAAATCTAATTTTGGAGTGCAGGGTCCTCCCTATCATTCTGCTTAAATTGACTACGGCTTCTGATCCTGGCCTGCCAACTCTATATTTATTTAGCGCCCAGTTCTCCAACCAACCCCTGTATTACTGAGACTGAATTATGAAATAGTAAATATTCACACTGCAGTTTTGTGAAAAAAGCATGCTTAGTTGCCAAATACTTTGTCCATTTAGTCTGAGTTCTGTTAGTCTCTCAGGTTCCTCTAAAAAACATATACATTTTTAAAATTAACCAATAGTCAGAATTATTAACCAATAATCAGAATTTGTAGGTATTTCCTTTAAGGTGTACAAAGTCAAATGAGAGTACATATGTCTGCTTTTCAAACTAGGGTACACATAAGGGGCAAGTGTTAACCAAGATTACCATGATGTGTCTTTCTAGAGGAACTATTACAATATCTCAAGGAGGTTAAGATTTTTGTATTGCAATGAAATGCGGAATGAGAATGCATAATTTATATTACGATTAATGATACAACATGAGACTAAACCAGTTCAGTGTCATGACTGAACAAAGTTTAAGTTTGTGTTAGCAAAAAGCAATGTGAAAATGCAAAGCAGTGTTCAAATGTAAGTCATTACCCTTATCAAGTTTTAGAATCCTTGGTCTCCAGGAAGCCAAATAGCCTCAGGACTTATCTTGCAGGGTTGTATTTCCTCAAGGCTATCAGGTAGGTGAAACAGTGTAAACTGAGGAAAGTGTTTTAATAATGATGTATGAATTATCCAAAGAAAGTATATTCTGAGAGGTCTTCTGAAAAAGCTATTCTAGAATCCAGAGGCTCAGCTGAAGACACTGATGATAATCCTCACGAAAGAAAATAATCAGATGTGGGCTCTAAATTCCCCTCAAACCAAATGACAAGCTCCCTATATATAGCTGGGCCTAATTACTATAACCACTGTCTCCCATGACATTTCTTTTGCTTTTTCTACTTATCCCGTATTACTTTAGTTAGATAAAATATTCCAGGTGTCTTGCTTATTGCTATATTATCCACTGTAAAGGTATTTTATTATTATGCCAATATTAAGATTTTCTTCTATGAATAAAGCCAACATCTTTTTATTAGCAAAGTGCTAACAGAACTGGACCAAAGAAATTACAATTCCATTCTCATTTCCTGTTATAACTCCACCTAAGATATCTTAAATGCCTGCATACATCACAAAGCCTACCAGGGGGTGGTAAGTGATTTTTCAATTAGAGTAACCCTTCAGTTTTCAATGAAAGAAATCATTATTGCATTTCTGCTGAAACTAATTACTTGTATCTTTTTTTCTTTCTTTTCTTTCTGAGGCGGAGTTTCAGGCTGGAGTGCAGTGGCGTGATCACAGCTCACTGCAACCTCTGCCTCCTGGGTTCAAGTGATTCTTCTGCCTCAGCCTCCTGAGTAGCTGGCATTACAGGCGCATGCCACCATGCCCCGCTAATTTTTTCTGTTTTTAGTAGAGACGGGGTTTCACCATGTTGGCCAGACTGGTCTTGAACTCCTGACCTCAAGTGATCCACCTGCCTTGGCCTCCCAAAGTGCTGGGATTACAGGCGTGAGCCACCGCGCCTGGCCACTTGTATCTCTTTTATCTCACTTCCTTGGAAGGGTTTTCCAAATGCAGCAACCCTACTTTGAGTAACACATTGGATCTGTTTAGCATACTACTGAAACTCAATATCCACAATGGGAGTAACAGCTAACATTCAATGTTATTCTGTGCCAGGCCCTATTATAAGCCCCTATTATTTAAAATCCATATGTCAACTCGTTTACACCTCACAAAACTCTGAGGCAGGTATTACTTGTATTTAACAGATGCGGGGGTTAAGTAATTTGCCGATGGTCACACAGCAGCTGCACTCCTCTACTGCCTCTCTTCGTGTTCTACTTTATGTTAGTCTACTGTTCATCTGCTGGTTCCACAAATTAGATGTATGCTTATATTCTCAGTATTGGTTTTCACAAAAAATGCTGTATGAAAGCAAATGACATACATACTTTGTAAGCTTTCAAATGTTACATAAACGTCAAATAGCTTATTAAAGAGAAATACTACTGGCATCTATAAAGAACCCAAAAGACAGATGATAAAATGTAACGCTTACCTCTTCTAACTGCAATGGTTTGGGAACTGAAATCTATTTTCCTGGAACAGGAATGGGATTCTTTCCACAACTATTTAGGAACACTCCCTCTTATCAGATGGAAAAAAAAAAATGAAGTGCAAATCCTTTTTCTGGGACATTTAAATCATACTTCTCTTCCTTTACTATTCTCAAGAGATGGTTGATCTGAATTGCTAATTGCCCAAATACTGCTAGTACAGAAATGCAATATTTAAGGCTTTAGACTATTTTCCTTCAGTTCTCTGCAGTCGCAGTGAAATACTTCAAGCGCAATTTTTGCTGAACTCTTCTTTTCAGCAGTGGAAAAGCTGCGGAAATGGAAACTTACCCCCAACATATTTCAATTTGGAAGTTCAACTTCAAAGAAAAATCATAAAAATGTAAGTTTTATTGAGTGCCTATAGTGTGCATGGGCCTTTATTAGACACGCCAAATTCAGGCACAACAGACACAAGATCCCTGGCCTCAGGTACCTTATGATCTAATTAATAGATATTAGAAACAGTAGAAAGACAAGTTACACGTCAATGCCCAATGACTAGAGTCAACATTAAAGAGTTGTAATTTAAGTAATCCAAACTGACATCTAATTCCAAAATCATTTATAAAATGTATTTGGCTTTGGAATCCACAGGACTTCAAACAAGCAAAGTTTCACTGCAGATAGTCACAAAGATGCAGATACACTGAAATACTTAAGAGCCTTATTAATGATTTTTGTTATTTTGGATCTTCTGTTTTTTTCTTATTATGGTCCGAAGCCTCCTTAATACCAATTTATCAGACAGAAGCATGTCATCTTGTTGTTCAAGATAATCCAGTAAATTTTCAGTCCATTCAAGTGCCGCTTTATGGCTAATATGCTTCTCTGGATTCAGTTCTGTTTTTCTACTCTTACTGGAAGGCTTTTGCTCAGCAGCCTTGGTCTGGTCCTCAGCACTTTCACTGTCAGTCAGCACCTGACAGCTTGAGTCACTGCTCCGAGAGTCGAACCACTGATCAATATTCTCAATGTCAACATGTTCACATTCTTCTGTGTTCTGTAAAACTGTTGCTAAATTAGCTGCTAAAATGGCTCCTTCATCAATGTTCATACCTGAATTCTCTTCATTGCCAGGGAAAAGTTTTTTCCATGCTTTGGTTATGGTACTTGATTTTACCATGTTCCAAGCTCTTGACACTTCATAAATTGCATCCAACACTGTCAAGTTCTTCCAAAATATTTTTGGGTCATTTCCTTCATCCATGTATTTCTGGAGAAGTCCTGCTCGATAGTATCTTTTTACAGTGGCTAGAACTCCCTGGCTCATTGGTTGAATCAGACTTGTGACATTTGGTGGCAAATACTTCACAATTATTCTGCCATCATCTGAACTCAACATTTCTTCATTTGGACGTGCTGGGGGGAAATCTAAAAGAAGCACTGCTTTTTCTAAAAGTCCCTTGGATTTCAAATGCTTCTGTACCTGTGGCACAAAGTACTTTTCAAACCACTGTCTGAAAACAGACTGTTCTATCCATGCACCTTTTTGACTGTAATATGTCACAGGAAGGTTTGAAAGGTCAGTGCCTTTGAATGCTCGGGGCTTTTTGGCCTTCCCCACAACACAAAGATTAAGTTTGTGTAAACCTGTGGCATTTGCGCAACACATAATGATGATTCTCTCTCTGCTTGACCTACACCCAGAAGTACTTTGGTCAGTTTCAAGAGTTAATGTCCTTGATGGTAGACATTTCCAAAACAATCCAGTTTGATCAGCACCATAAATTTGCTCTGGTTGTAGATTCTCTTTTTCAACAAATTCCTGAAAGCTACCACAAAATTCTCTGGCAGCAGTTTCATCTCCTTTTAATTTTGTTCCTTTACCAGCAGCCTTTGGAATACCATGGCGCTGCTTAAATCGAGTTAGCCAGCCTGACGATGCATTAAAATCACCTTCCATTCCCAAAGCATCAAAAAAGAACTTGGCTTGTTTTGCACAAATCGTTCCGGACACTGGAATCCCATCTGTTTTCTGTTGGTTAAACCACTCTATCATAACTCTATCAAGCTCCTCGTATGTTGATGACTTCATAGATTTACGTTTGGATACTCCACTGGTAGGATCTGAACTGTTTGCATAGTTTATAATCCTTTCTTTGTTCTTTTTAATATCACGAACTGTGGATTCACCAATTCCGTACACCACGGAAAGTTTTTTGAAAGAGATGCCTTCCTCAAGTTTCTTAATAATGTCAAGCTTGTCCTTAATTGTCAACACCACACGCTTACGTTTCCCCAACATTTTAAGTGTCTAATATTTTAGGTGATTACTAGAACAAGATAATTAACAACTAAGATTTGAATACAAAGCAACTAGAAAATGAGTTCGTAAGATTCCTCCTCTCACTTCTAGGGCCTAGATGGATAGTGACCAATTTCCTGACAAGGTCTACGTGAATCTACTTGCTATTTTAAAACTTACAAACTTCCTACAACAAAGCCTAGCGCCAATTAACTCTTATCTTCTATCTTTCTTCCTCCTCAGGGTTCAGGGTCTTTCATGAAGTGCAATCACACTAGAGGCTAGAAACTGTACTGGTAAGGCTTCTAAAACAGTACTATTGCATACTCAATTCTTGCCATCCTTGCAGGTAATGTTCTTTGCCAGAATAGCCACTAAATCTCAGGTGGAAGTATTTTAGGAAATGTGCTAGGGAGTAAACAGTTTAAGTCAAGAGAGGACTTGCAAACTTGACATACAGGAAAATACAATGGGAAAACTCACCCTCTGACTATGTGGTCTTTGTCAAGCAGTGGATTGTATGGAATGCTGTCTCTCTAGGCACGGACTCTGCTATAGGTTGCGCAAGTGAGTGCTTGTGGAAATCATACGCAAGAGAAGATGACCCGGACAGAAGTGAACAGTGCAAATAAGGTGAAAGTGGAACAGGCAGAAAACTCTACTTTAAAAGCGACTTAAACCTACTAGATTTGGCAGCTGGAAAGGAGGATAGTGGACATGTGATGTCACATTACTAAAGAAAGCATCAAAAAAACTGCATCGGTGGAAATGAGGACCCAAGGTAGAGGCTATGGGGTGGCAGGCTCGGTGAAGATGATGTTACAATAATCCTGGTGAAAGACGATCCTCGATGGACCAACAGAAGCAGTTCCTGTGGGGGCTGTAGAGATACTCGGAGGCTCCGAAACCTAAAGGAAAATACCAAAAACATTTTCTTTCAATTCAACATCAGGATCTGTGGCATTATCCACATTTATCCTGCAACTATGTTGAGAAAATTAACGCCTCCTATCAATGTGATAGCTAAATACGACAAATAATGCTTTCAGGCATAATCTGGGGTGACAGAGAGAGGGACCTGAAGAGCCTACCTCCTGAAATTAAGAGGTCAGGGAGAAGCCGTGTTAGCGAGGGCCTCTCCCCGCTGGGCGAGCTTCAGAGCGCGGGACGTCTTTCCTCCCGCGGAGGGAGCCCGGATTCCGCCTGGACGCCGGCGACCAGGATGTCACTGCTGCAGCCAGCCAGCCAGCGGGCGGCCGCTTGGCACAGGGAACGCCAGTCCGCCGGCCCCGGGCATCGCCCTGGGACCGCCTGCGCGGCGCCCAGACCACACTAAGCGCAAATGGAGTCTCCTGAGGCAGGCTGGCACTGGTGGCCCGGCAGCGGCGAGGGACGAGCGGAGAGGGACGAGCGTCGCCGCCGGAGCCGGAAGGCGGGGGATTAGAGAGCACGCGCGCGCCCCCGCAGAACGTTGTGCCGGCGAGGGGGCGGGGCCTGCGCGGGTGAGCGCACGCGGCCCGGGGGAGGGGACTCCGGCGAGCGGGCGGGAGGGGCGGGGGCCCGGCAGGGGTGCGTCTCTAGGCGCTGCGTGGGTTCCACTCACCGCCTGGCCGTTTCGGGGCCGCAGTGCCTCCCTGGCCGGCAGGGGGAGGCACACGCTCGCCTTGTCCTGGCGCTTTTCCCAGTGGCCCGGCTCTGCCGACGAGGCTCTTTTCTCCCTAGGGGGAAATTTTAAAATCTCACCCCCCCAGTGCTGGGGGGAAAGCGGAGGATCCTCGCGTGCCGGGAGCGGGCTGCGAATGGGGCAGGGCGAGCGCACGTGGGGCGTGTTTACAAACAGCAGCCGCGCCGCCTTGCGGAGGCGGTCCAGGTGTCGGAGCCCAGAGTCAGCGCGCGTGGAAAGTGCTAGCCCGAGCGAGGATCATGAGGCACGGTAGGAGCCGGCGGACGTGGGTTCCGGGCAGGAGCTGGGGCGTTCGCTCGGCAACACCCAGCCGGACAAGCCCAGGGTGCCGAGGCGCGGCGGGCTGCGGTAGAGCCGAGTGTCGGGTCAGCGCTCCCCGGTGCTGATGCTCCGAAACTCGTCACAGTCGCTGTAGAGACGGACCCTTTGCAAAATCGACAGCACCTGGGAGACCCTTGAGCCAGTGGGAGGCGTCGTGGTAAATTTCCTGCCGTGCCTCGACGCCCGGGGCTTCTCAAGTGGAATCGGGGAATTGCGCTTTGACTGATACTCCCTTTATTTGTTTCCAACGGAGACATCTGCGGAAGGGTCACCGCCTTCCTGGAGGAGAGAGTGGTGCACCTCCACCTTGCACCACCTGTTTCCTGGGAAACGCGGTCAGGCTGCCTTCCTTTCCGTCTTGTGTGTGCGTGTCAGTTTGAAAAATTGGAAATTCTTCAGTGAATTATCTCTTCCATATGAACATAAATGTAACCTTTTCGTTAACACAAAGTAACATAGTAATTCGTCATTTCTTTGACAAGGCCATATACTGTTTCTGGAATTTCAGAAACTTGGAGATGGAAATCAAAGCGAGCATACTGTAGAAAACAGATGTTGATTCTAAGCCTTCTGTTTGACTCCGCCGCCAAAACTGCTCAATTGCCTTTCTCAACATAGCAGCCTTCCACTATCTGGCATGACAGAAATTCTTTGATCTAGTTATGTTGTGAGGTTGTAAGTGGCTTTTGGAGAATACCTGCTTTTAGACCTCCCCTCTTCCCTGCCTTCCATTTGGCTTCCAACAAGCCAGTCCCTTTCTGGAAGTCCTGGTTGCCTGTTTTGGGTACATTATAACTTACTTCATGGTAGTTTTATATAACTTTACAAAATATTCTTATTTTCCCTGATACCTGTGAAGAGCGTGAAAGACTGCTAGAACAGCACTTTACCGACTGCCACCCATGTGGAAATGAGGCAGCCTGTAACCAGATGTCAGCCGCCTGCCTTTCCGCCTCTCCCCCGAGTCTGCTGGAGTAGCTGTGTCCCAGGATATTTAAATACAAAGGAATCCTGCCTCTTACTCTTCCTCTCTTTTCCACAGTATCTCTAGGATTTAATTTTCTTCCAGATACCATTTGCATTTTTCTCTGTTCCTCCTGGATTCTCCAGTTTGCTGTTTTATGTCTTATAGCTGTTCCCTTTTTATCACCTTGTGTAAGTTCAAATCTGGATACAGCCCACATTTCTAGATTTTCTCAAAACACCGCTTGACTCAAGGCAATTGTATTTAGTAGACTTTTACTAAGATTTTACTCAAGGCAATTGTGTCTTTACACAAAACAGTTTTATTGGGCAAACTTTCTCCTTTTGTTGGGGGAAGGGGTGGCTAGTTGTGGCAGACATATTACAGCACAAGGGGGAGAGGACTTAGAATGTTAAGAATATGTATATATACACACATATATATATAATAAGAATATATGTATGTGTATGTATGTGTATTTTTGAGACAGGGCTTCTCTCTGTTGCCCAGGCTAGAGTGCAGTGGTACGACCATGGCTTGGGCTCACTGCAGCCTCAACCACCTAGGCTCAAGCAGTCCTTCTGCCTCAGCCTCCCGAGTAGCTGAGACTGTAGGCTACAGGTGCGTGCCATCATGCCCAGGTAATTTTTGTATTTTTTGTAGAGATGAGGTCTTGCTATGTTGCCAGAGCTGATCTCAAACCCCTGGGCTCAAGTCATCCTCCCACCTTAGCCTTCCAAAGTGCTGGGATTACAGGCATGTGCCATCCTGCCTGGCCAATAATAGATTCTTAAGGTGGTGAAACTACTCTGTACAACTGTAATGGTGGGCACATGTCATTAAACATTTGTTCAGATGCACGGAATGTACAACACCAAGAGTGAACCCTAATGGAAACTATGGACTCTGTGATAAAAATGTTTCAAGGCAGGTTCATCAATTGTAACTGATGTTCCACTCTGGTGGGCAATATTGATAATAGGGAGGTTATGGATGTGTGGGGGCAGGGAGTATGTGGGAAATCTCCCTATCTTCTGTGGAATTTTAGAACCTAAAACCATTCTAAAAAATAAAGCCTATTTCTTAAAAATGTAGGTTCAAAAAAAAATGAGAATGTTGGGTGCCTAAGGCAAAGTTGCCTTACTCTTTCTCATGTACTATATGCTCAACACAGCACACACCAAGCAGTTCTCCACTGGACACAGCTGGGTATCCTATAATTCATTTCAATTCTGATACCATCTGCCTGGAGTGTCCCCCCAACTTCAAATTCCAATTCCAAGTAGTAGGTTGTTGTCAGGTTCCAAGCCCAGCTGGGGTCTGAGGGGAGTTGGTGGACGGGTGGTGGGTAGTTGAAAGGACACTTGGGGGACCATAAGCAGTTGAGATACAGCTTTATTCTCTCTCTCTCTCTCTCTCTCTCTCTCTCTCTCTCTCTCTCTCTCTCTCTCTGTGTCAGCCTTTGTTTTGGCCACCTGCTCCAACTGCGGCCTCTCAGCGCTGGCTCCACCGCTCCTGCCACCCCCACGCCTGTAGCTGAGTTCCCCATTGTGCTTGCCGCTTCCTGACTCCCCTCCCAGCCACCTGCAAGGTGGCCCAGCTCTCTCTTACAGAGTCAGCAGTCCAGTTATATTGCTCACAGACAATAGTGGCTCAAAGCCAGTTGATGAGCCCACCCATAATGTGGTTACATAACTGTGATTATGTAATGCACAGGATTGTGCACCTGCGCTCCAGTCCCACTGTGTCATGCAGCACTAGATGTTTGCCTCCGCCAACTCTTGTCTGCAGTGCAGCTATTTCCCTTACACTCCATCCCCTAGGCCAAGGGAGTCCTCTTAGTGGAGAAATGTGTCCATAGGGCAGCACCCTGGACCTATAGGCCACAGCAGCAGTACATATGTGCCCTGGAGGAGGATTCCTTCCTTGGCCATTCCCCTACAAATGGTCAATCACAGAGGCTGTATTAGTCTGTTTTCATGCTGCTGATAAAGACATACCCGAGACTGGGAAGAAAAAGAGGTTTAATTGGACTTACGGTTCCACATGGCTGGTGAAGCCTCAGAATCATGGTAGGAGGTGAAAGGCACTTCTTACATAGGTGGCAGCAAGAGAAAATGGGGAAGAAGCAAAAGCAGAAACCCCTGATAAGCCCATCTCATGAGACTTACTCACTATTATGAGAATAGCACAGGAAAGACTGGCCCCCATGATACAATTACCTCTCCTTGGGTTCCTCCCACAACACATGGGAATTCTGAGAGATACAATTCAAGTTGAGATTTGGGTGGGGACACAGCCAAACCATATCAGAGGCCATACATTAAATTCCCAAGCCCTCCCTCCAGGGGGCTACGATGGCCATCCATCTGCAATGGGTGGCTTGGAGGGTCCATGGCCAAAACCAGGTTTTTGTTCCCCTACCTTTAGGGACATTGAGGCAGGCAACAACAAATTACCACTTGTCACCATAACTGGTTGGAGGAGGTCATCCTTTCTCCCATAGGTCTTGCCACATGGCCCCGCCCCAAATGGTCCGGTGACCAGCTAGCCAATTCTGTAACTTCCAGGTAGTTAACCACAAGGTTAAGCCTTAATAAACTGCTCAGCTATCAGTGCAGATTATCATAGGTGTCACCTTTTTGGTGATCACCATTCACATTGTCCTGAGTTTGGCCCACTGACTACTTTGTCTACACCCGGTATCAAACCATATGGTGTCAGTACTAAGCTGAACCGCACACAACAGTGGTCCAGGCAGCAGTAGCACCCCAGTTGGGTCCATCCATATATCATGCCCCATGGGGGATGGGGTGGGGTGCCCCTCTTTAAACAGTGATGGCTCAGGGTTTAGGGGTACCTCAGGCTGACCCATAGCCCTATATTGCATCAGGAACACAGGTCCCAAGACTTCTTGCAGTTCTGCTAATAAGGGGCTTGTACTCAGAGGACTCCGCTGTTCTAAGTAGACACCCCACTTTGCTAAAGTGGATGTCTGTGCCATCCCAGTCCCGGGAGTCATTACCCATGAACATATCCACCCCACTATTGGGTAAGTCATCTGCATGATGACTGTAGTCCGTCCCATCACACTCTCATAAGCCTGAAGGGCGGCATATGCAGCTGCTAACTGCTTCTCTATCAACGAATACTGGAGCTCAGCTCCCTTCCAAAGTTGGAACCAAAAGCCTCCTGGCATTCTAAAGCAGTCCATGTGCTGACATAGGCCCCAGCCAGAATCATCTGTGGTCACATGCACATCAAGTTCAAATGGGCACCCCTGGTTAATCACTTCTAGGGCCTACACTTGCTGCTGAATAGCCTGCTTGGCTGCCAGAAAGGCTGTCTCAACCTCCTTATCCCAATCCCGGGTAGCCCCCTTTTTTGTCAACCGGTACAACAGTTTTATCATCTGAGCCAAATGGGGCACAAATGCCCACCAGTACCCCAGGAGGCCCATAAAAGTCTGCAGCTGCCTTACAGTGGTGGGCCAGGGATATGCCTGGATTTTGTCTATGACGGCCTCTGATATGGCTTTCGTCTTACCCAACCAGATAGGTAACTCTTAAGAATTGGCAGTCAATCCAGGCCCTGGGATCTGGGATTCATTGACGGCCCAACCGCATGCTGCCAACTGTTGCAAGAGAGGTGCTGCCA
Source organism: Homo sapiens (assembly GCF_000001405.40). Taxonomy (NCBI): domain Eukaryota; kingdom Metazoa; phylum Chordata; class Mammalia; order Primates; family Hominidae; genus Homo; species Homo sapiens. The sequence goes on along the minus strand of NC_000004.12, from coordinate 89,106,348 downwards.
CTTCTAAATCTGCAAGAGAATCAGAGGTTAGCATAATATCATCTATATAATGGAATAGGGGACTCTCTTTGGACATTTCTAGGTGATTAAATCTGTGACAACGAGGCCATGACATATCGGTGGGGCTACACACATAGTCCTGGAGCAACACCGTGAGAGTCCATTGTCATCCTTCCCATGTGAAGGTGAACTGTTCCTGGCTCTCTAGAGCAATGTCAATTGAGAAGAATGCATTGGCCAAGTCCACCACATAGTGGTACTGTCCCAATTCCATCGTCAAGTGGTCCATCAAATCCGTGATAGATGGCACAGCTGCCAAGCAGTGTAAAATATCCACCCCCAGAATATATTCAGGTATGGGAGAGACGTACACAGTATAAACAGGGAGCCAAGTGGCCAATACCAAGGTGCAAAGGTACAGGTTTCACTTTCACTGACTAGCCTCCATAGCCATTTATGTATGCAGCTTTACCCGGAAACTTATCCGGGCTCCCATAGACAAGACTACAATCTGTGCCAATGTCTACCAGCACCAGCACCTGCTATACATTGGTGGGGGACCAGTGGATTGCTAATTCCACATGTGGCCTCTGGTCATCTGGTGTCCCCCCAAGCCGGGTATCTCAGCCAGCTCCCTAATCAAACACAAAAGGCTCTATACCTCTGCCTGTCTGTAAGTAGTCCTTGAGCCAGAGCATCTATCTGGGTGGGCATTTCCGGAATTGCTGCTTTGGGGTCAATTGCCTCCACGAAGTTACCAGCACTTCCCAGGTCGGTAGGGGCTCCCCCAGATGGTGCCAACACTGTTTGCCTAACTCCCACAAATCACTGGGGGTATAGGCACTATATGAAGCATGCTCCACCATGGTAGGGGATTCCTGGGTCTGCTTTTTGGGCCCAAGTGGCTATTCATGCTCTATTTTCTGGTGGACCATAGGGTTAGCCCGCAGTAGGGGTTCTTCCCCCTCAGTATCAGACCAAGCGGGAATGTCCAGCTGGGAGGGTGGGCTCAAGCTGTCACTTATGGCAGTTCCCACTTCTTATTCCAAACTGTGTATCTGGCCCTCCAGGCGCTTGGCTTGCATCTGAAGGTCCCTTACCTGTGCTGCATCCTGCAGGGAGTGGGCATGCACTGACCATAGTGCAGTCAAAAATGCCCATCTGACTCTGCTGGCAAAGGCATGCTCCTTCTCGGTGCTGTGTGCTTCCAGGTGTTTCAGTACCTTCTCTGTGCTCACAGGGGACCCGTCCACTGCTGCCCATGTTTCTACTGGAGCCCATCCTAGCAGCACAGCCACATAGCCAACCCAGGATCACTGGGGGCTGAGGACACACTCACCTCGGAATCCTGCTGACTACACCAATTGTCAGGTTCCAGCCTGAGCTGGGGTCTGAGGGGAGTTGATGGATGGGTGGCGGGTAGTTGGAAAAACACTCGGGGCACTGTAGGCAGTTGGGATATGGCTTTATTCTCTCTCTCTATCAGCCTTTGTCTCAGCCACCCCCATACCTGTAGCTGTGCCATAGCCCTTCTCAGCGCTGGCTTTGCAGCTCCTGCCACCCACATGCCTGTAGCTGTGCTCCCCAGTGCACTTGCCACTTCCTGGCTCCCCTCCTGGCCACCTGCAAGGTAGCCCAGCTCTCTCTTACAGAGTTAGCAGTGCGGTTATATTACAGAAAATGGTGGCTCAACGCCAGGTGATGAGCCCACCCATAACATGGTTACATAACTGTGATTATATACTGCACGGGATTGTGTGCCTGTGCTCCAGTCCCACTGTGTCATGCAGCACCAAATGTTTACCTCAGCCTACCCTTGACTCCAGTGCAGCCACTTCCCTTACAGTTGCCACCTATACTTGTGAAGGACTAGCTGTAAGTTGCGATTCCCATGGTGCCCCTCCTTGTGTTCCATTAATTTGCTAGGGCAGCTCCTCACTGAACTCAAGGAAACATTTTCTTGCATTTGCTTGTTTATTATAAGGGATAAAACTCAGGACCAGCCAAATGGAAAAGATGTATAGGGGCAAGATATGGCAGGGTGGGAGGCACGGAGCTTCCATGCCGTCTCTGGGCTTGCCACCTTCTCAGCACTGGATGTACTCAACCTGGAAGCTCATCAGATTTGTTGTTCAAGTGTTTTTATAGAGCTTCATCTCCAGCCCAGTCCCCTTCCCAGATGCCAGTGAGTGGGGCTGAAAGTTCCAGCCTTCTAATCATTTGGTCTTTCTGCTGACCAGCCTCATGCTGAGGTTATCTAGGGGCCTCACCCTAAGTCACTGTATTAGCATAAACTCAGGTACCATCAAAAGAGGGTTGGTATAAATGTCAAAAGACACTCCTAACATTCAGGAAATCCCAAGGGTTTTAGGAGCTCTGTGGCAGGATCTGGGGAAAAAACCAAATATATTTCATATTATACCACAGCATTATTGTTTTATTAAGAGCCCAGTTGGCCACAGGGAACTTCCTATTGTCAGTTCTTCTCTTTGGGTCACAGCATCCTTCCATCTTGCTATGCCATTCTTTTCTTTCTTCCCCCAACATTTTTCTATCTCAGGGTCCCCTCTCTTCTCTTTTTTTCCTTCTCACCTGCTTGTGAACGCTCAAGATTTTTTTCACTTCATTATGCAGAGCAATTTTGTATTCTTTTATCTCTTTTCTAACTTCACTTACCATTCACTGTGGTTTATCTCTAATGAAAAGTCATTTCAGTCATTGGGGAAGTTCTGTCACCCATATGTCTCTTTTTTCTACATATGTGCAACTCTCTTAATCCTTGTAACAGTACTATGAGGTAGATGTTACCTATGTTTTATGTACAAGAAAGTAAAGGCTAGGCTGGGTGCAGTGGCTCACACCTGTAATCCCAGCACTTTGGGAGGCCAAGGCAGTCAGATTGCCTGAGCTTAGGAGTTTGCGACCAGCATGGGCAACACGGTGAAATCCCGTCTTTACTAAAATACAAAAAATCAGCTGGGAGTGGTGGCGTGTGCCTGTAATCTCAGCTACTCAGGAGGCTGAGGCAGGAGAATTGCTTGGACCCGGGAGCCGAGCTCCTGCACTGCTCTCTAGCCTGGGCAATAGAGTGAGACTCTATCTCAAAAAAAAAAAAAAAAAAAGAAAAGAAAAGAAAGGCTCAAATGTGGGTAGCAGAACAGGGATTTGAGCCCAGTTACATTTGGGTTTAAAGCTCCATGCTCTGCCCATGCTATCACAATAGAAGTATTTATGTCAAAGACATGAAAAGAAGAAAAGTATACTGTAATTATTTATTCTTGCAAAATTAAAGTTATTTATTAAAATAGAATATTTAACATGAACTAATAAAAATGGCTTTCTACTCATGAAAGCACTGCAAGTCTGCAATAGTGTTCATTTGCTTCATTGGAATGAGAGTTTTCTGAAAACTATCCCAAATCACCTGAAATTAGATTGTTTCTTATCATTACAAGCCCTAAATTTTCTGCTCTGCTGAGATAATACAGACATACAAATACCTTACATGGACTTTGAATTATTAGTAGTATTCCTTATGCAAGATAGCTTTGTTATAGAATAGGATATCTCTAGGTAGATTTACATTCTTAGTTTTTAAGGGACTCTTTTTTGTTTTTGGTTTCCATTTACTTTATAATTGATTCTCATTCACTTGAAGATTTTTGTTTTATGATACCTAATAAGCTTAAGATGAGGACATGGGCCAGACGTGGTGGCTCATGCCTGTAATCCCAGCACTTTGGGAGGCCAAGGCGGGCAGATCACTTGAGCTCAGGAATATCAGACTGGTCTGGGCAACAAGAGGTGAAGCCCCGCCTCTACAAAAAATACAAAAATTAGCCAGGTGTGGTAGTACATGCTTGTAGTCGAGCTGCTGGGGGGTGCTGAGGTGGGAGGATTGCTTGAGCCCAGGAAGTCTAGGCTGCAGTGAGCCGTGTTCATGCCACCATATTCCAGGCTGGGTGACAAAGTGACACCCTGCCTCAAAAAAAAAAAAAAAAAAAAAAACATGAATTTTTTTTTATCACAATGCTATTATTCTATGTGTAATAAACTTATTTAATATAGAATAGTATTTGCCTTTAGTAACTTAATTATTTAGTGCCAATAATAAATCAGTGGTTTGCACAAAAACCATTTACTGTCACCTACCTTAAGGGACATAAAATATTGAGGGGAATTTTCCAGATAAAATATAATTTATTCCTCTTTTGAAGTATGCAGGGGGATATGGGTCTGTTAGGGCAGTGGTCCCCAACCTTTTTGGCACCAAGGACTGGTTTCATGGAGGACAAACTTTCCACAATGGAGGAGGTGGCGGATGCTTTCAAGATGAAACTGTTCCACCTTAGATCATCAGGCATTAGATTCTCGTAAGGAGCATACAACTAGATCCCTCGCATGCGCAGTTCACAATAGGGTTCGAGCTTCTGTGAGAATCTAATGCTGCTGCTCATATGAAAGGAGGTGGAGCTCAGGCCATAATACTTGCCCATCTGCCACTCACCTCCTGCTGTGCGGCCCAGTTCCTGACAGGCCACCAACCGGACCACACTGGTCTGTAGCCTGGGTGTTGGGGAACCCCATGTTAGGGAAAACAGGATGTGAAACGGTTCTCATCAGTAAAATGAAAGCTTTTCCTTTGACATCTCTTTCAGCTCAAACATTATTTTACTTCATATTATAGACGAACCTTAATTAGAAAATATATATAAAAAATATAAATAGAAAAAGATATCCTTTTGCATAAAGGTAGGGACACTTCTCCACTTGAAAGTGTCTAGACACAAGTGAAAGTTCTGATTACTCACTGGAAAATCCCAGATCATTTTTAAGAAGTTGGTAAGTTACAATACTGAAAGATAGTGAGTTCTGAGACTCTTGAGTCATGTAGATGCCCAGTGGGGAACTTTTAAACTTTGTTTTGTTTTCTTTGTTTCTTGGTTGGCTGGTGGATGGTAGGTTTTCAGATGGCTGGGAGCATAGGCAAAGGTAAGAGAATGAGTTCCCAGGAGGGTAGAAAAGATTTAGTGGGGTTTAAAAAAGAAGTGAAAATTATTGGTGGCGATGCTTAAAGAAAAGTTAGACTCGTTTCCTGAAAATCACTTAGATGTAAATTGAAGAAACCAGTGAATTGGCTGATTGGTATGAGAAATATGAGTAGGAAATGTGAATGAAAATTATATACCCTGCTTACCTTTCCAAGCCTGCCCAATTTCCAACATTCTTTAGAGGAGCCCTCAATTCTGTCCCAGGTTGGTAAGGTCAGGTTAACTGAGAGCCCATTGTGCGTCACACCACTCATTCTCCCTCTCCTCAGCACATGCAGCTTCATAATTTTGAGCTTTTCATGCTTCCCCTTTAGTCTGGGAAGCTTTCTTCTTCCTCTGTACATCCGTACGTCCTTCCAAGTCCTACTTTGTCCCCAAAGCCACATTTATCAAGGTTGCTCTTCAAACCCTGTGGGTTGGAATCACCTGGAGTCCAATATATAGATTTCCTGGGCTCACACTGGGGATGAAGCCCAGGAATCTTTATTTTCAGTGATCATCCCGTGTGATTCTATTACACCAAAGTTTGAAAACCTTTTATGGTTAACAACTGTTTGAATATAAAATTCCTCCCTTATAACATATTCTTTTGGAAGGGAGTTTTTCTTCCTCCTCTTTTTTCTTCTTATTAAATTGTACACAGTCTTTGAAGAACAAGATAAGATACAGAGAAGCAAAAAGGAAAATAATAATGCCAACATATAGAGATAACTATTCTTAACATTTTACTGTATATCCATTACTTTCGTTTATTTGAGACAGAGTTTCGTCCTTGTTGCCCAGGCTGGAGTGCAGTGGTGTGATCTCGGCTCACTGCAAACTCTGCCTCCCAGCTTCAAGTGATTCTCCTGCCTCAGCCTCCTGAGTAGTTGGGATTACAGGCGTCCGCCACCATGCTCAGGTAATTTTTGTGTTTTTAGTAGAGATGGGATTTCACCATGTTGGTCAGGCTGGTCTCGAACTCCTGACCTCAGGTGATCCACCTGCCTTGCTCTCCCAAAGTGCTGAGATTACCGGCATGAGCCACCATGCCCAGCCTCCATTACCTTTCCTATATCAATTTAACTATCCTATAGTCCCACCTTAGCCTCCCGAGTAGCTAGGACTAGAGGCATGCACCACCAGACCAAGCTAATTTTTATTTTTTGTACAGATAGGCTCTTGCTTTGTTGCCCAGGCTGGTCTCGAACTCCTGGCCTCAAGCAGCCCTCCCACCTTGGCCTCCCAAAGTGCTGGGATTTCAGAGCTGATTCACTGTGCTTGGCCCTTTATATATATGTACTTTTATACGTGCTTTTTGCAGTAATGTATTATAAATCTTATATTGTGATTCTCATTAGCCAAATACCACCAAGAACACACTTGTAACCAAAACTAGGCTTACTACTCTAGCAAGGGAGAGTCATACCTTGGAAAACAATGGGTATCGCATTAAGAGGGAGTCAAGAGAGGCTTATTGTAGGATTTGGGCTTAGCTAAGGTGATTTTAGGGAAGGTTCAAGAAAGAATCTGTTCTCAACTGGGTGTTGTCAGAAAGCAGAAGCAATTTGGGTATTGGGTATATTACAAATTTTTATCTAGGAAGCTAGAGGAAGAGAGAGAGGCCAGAGCTGTCACTAGAGAAGTTATCCAGGAGAGCAGGATGTTTGGTTATTTTTGTGGTTACACAGTATTTTTCCCCCATCCCCTTGTTAAATTTCTATTCAAGCAAGATTATGAGGTGATCTTGTTTTTGTCTTGTTTCACCACAGTCATGGCAGGTCCTCCTCTGATGTTGATTTCCACAAAATTATTTAGGTTTCATAGGGTAAATACCATGCCTACCTTGTTCATAGCATTCAACACATTCTCAAAGGATTCATGATCCAAAAAAATTTAATAATCCTTGAACTCATTTAGGCTTACAGCTATTCCTAATTCATTTGATTAGATGTATCAGGACATAATTCTACCTTCGTGAGATTCTCTTATGCTTGAAAAAGACAATTACAGTCATCTATTGCTTAATGATGGGGATGTGTTCAGAGAAATGTGTTTTTAGGCAATTGCATCATTGTGTGAATGTCATAGAGTGTACTCATACAAACCTAGATGGTATAGCCTACCACATACCTAAGTTATATGGTATAATTTGTTGCCTCTGGGCTGTGAACTCTACTGTACTGTACAAATCCTGTAGGCAGTTGTAACACAATGTTAACTAGTTGTGTGTCTAAATATATCTAAACGTAGAAAAAGTACAGTGAAAATATGATATTATAATCTTATGGGACCACCATCATATACTCAGTCTGTCATTGACTGAAATGTCATTATGTGACCCATAACTATATTAACACCTGGCTTGAATGCTTGTCCATCCAAATAATCCCTTCAATGCTTCATGATAGTGTTTCTTAAACTCCAATCAATTTTAGACAGGTTTCTCAACTTTTCTTCACTTATACAAATCCTGTACCATTAGCAGTAATACCCCATTGTCCCCAACACTCCCTTCTGCTCTTGACAACCACTAACCTACTTTATGTCTCTATTTTAGTTATTTTATATAAACGGAATCATATAATATGTGTCCTTCATTTAGCATGTTTTCAAGGTTCATCATTTTATAGCATGTATCAGTATATCATTTTCTTTTACTGCTGAATAATATTCCACTATATGGATAGATCACATTTTATGTATTCCTTCATCAGTTGCTTGGTTTCTGCTGTTTGTCTATGAACATTCATGTACCAGTTTTTGTGTGGACATATGTCTTCATTTCTCTTGGGTATATAACTATGACTAAAATTGCTTGATCATATGGTAACTGTCTGTTTAATCTCCTAAGGAAATATTTTCTAAAGCAGCTAGATTATTTTACAAAAAATGTATGAGGCTTCCAAATTCTCCACATTCTCACCAATACTTGTTATTATCTGTCTTTTTTATTATAACCATCCCAGTGGGTGTGAAGTAGTATCTCACTGTGGTTTTGATTTGCATTTCCCTGGTGGCTAATTATATTGAGCTTCATGTCATGTGCTTATTGACCATATGCATGTCTTTTTTTGGAGAAATGTCTCTTCAGGTCCTTTACCTGGTTTTTATTTGGGTTGTAATAGTTCTATGTTAAATGTTGCAATTTACTGTTTCCCTATTGGCTTTCTTAGAGGGGAAGCATAAGAAATAAACTTTTGAGAATTATCTCTGTATTTAGCCCAACTGATGTTGAACATACTGCTCATGATGTACTCTATCATTTTATTTCAGGATTTATTTGATAAAGTCTGGCTATATTTAATGAAAAAATATGACCAGATGAAATTTGACTTCTTTTGTCTGACACAAGAACTAGATATGTCCATTTTAACATTGACTTCTATAAATCTGTATGCTTTATTTTGTGTTTACTTGCTCTATTAATTCACCTTGAATTCTTACCACTTTTCTTCTCCTATCCATTAAGTTCTATTTTAAGTATGTTTTAATGGTGAGTCTCTTTTTATATTATAATTATCTTGACCATTGTTTGGAAACATGTAGCGTAAACTAAAATTAAGAGACTTGACAGGCAGTGCATCTTAGTGATAAAGCTTATGGTTCCTGAAACAGTCTTTGGTTTGTACTTCTGACTGCCACCTACCACCTATGGAACTTTGGGCTGGCTATATAAAATCTTTCACTTATGGAAAATGGGAATAAAGATCATACTGATTTTTTTTTTGTTTTTGAAGAATGAACTGAAATGGTATGTATACATTGTTTTGCAGAGTGTCCAACACATAATAAGCACTAATACTAGCTATGATTTTATTATTTCCTAGATCTTCCAACCTGAAGGAAGTACTCACATTTTCTTAAGCTCCTAAGGAGGCTTTGAAAAGAGATATAGATAGCTAAAAGCCAACTACAGTGAGAAATGTCAGATTAATTTATATACCCATGATGAATTGTAGACTATTTGCAAGAATGGAATATATATATATTCCATCATATATATATATATTCCATCATATATATATATTCCATCATATATATATATTCCATCATATATATATATTCCATCATATATATATATTCCATCATATATATATTCCATCATATATATATTCCATCATATATATATATTCCATCATATATATATATTCCATCATATATATATATTCCATCATATATATATATTCCATCATATATATATATTCCATCATATATATATATTCCATCATATATATATATTCCATCATATATATATATTCCATCATATATATATATTCCATCATATATATATATTCCATCATATATATATATTCCATCATATATATATATTCCATCATATATATATATTCCATCATATATATATATTCCATCATATATATATATTCCATCATATATATATATTCCATCATATATATATATTCCATCATATATATATATTCCATCATATATATACCATCATATATATATTCCATCATATATATGTATTCCACCATATATATGTATTGTCCATCATATATATGTATATTCCATCATATATATATATATATATATGGAGAGAGAGAGAGGAGAGTTGTAATTAAAAGGGGGTTCACAAAACTACCTGAATATTGTCTGTTGAAAATTCTCATTAATCCAAAACAGATGCACATTTTCTGCCTGTGTTTTAATCCTGAATCACAGCATATTACATATACTGTGTTTTTGGCAGATTTATAGCCTGTCTGAAGGTATCTGAAGTAGATGATAAAGATATAAAATGTGTAACGTAATTGACAGTCTTCAAATAGTTATTCTTTTTTTATTTTATTTTATTTATTTTATTTATTTTTTATTTTATTTTATTATTATACTTTAAGTTTTAGGGTACATGTGCACAATGTGCAGATTAGTTACATATGTATACATGTGCCAAGCTGGTGTGCTGCACCCATTAACTCCTCATCAGGCATTAGGTATATCTCCTAATGCTATCCCTCCCCCCTCCCCCCACCACACAACAGTCCCCAGAGTGTGATGTTCCCCTTCCTGTGTCCATGTGTTCTCACTGTTCAATTCCCACCTATGAGTGAGAATATGCGGTGTTTGCTTTTTTGTTCTTGCTATAGTTTACTGAGAATGATGATTTCCAATTTCATCCATGTCCCTACAAAGGACATGAACTCATCATTTTTTATGGCTGCATAGTATTCCATGGTGTATATGTGCCACATTTTCTTAATCCAGTCTATCATTGTTGGACATTTGGGTTGGTTCCAAGTCTTTGCTATTGTGAATAGAGCCGCAATAAACATACGTGTGCATGTGTCTTTATAGCAGCATGTTTTATAGTCCTTTGGGTATATACCCAGTAATGGGATGGCTGGGTCAAATGGTATTTCTAGTTCTAGATCCCTGAGGAATCGCCACACTGACTTCCACAATGGTTGAACTAGTTTACAGTCCCACCAACAGTGTAAAAGTGTTCCTATTTCTCCACATCCTCTCCAGCACCTGTTGTTTCCTGACTTTTTAGTGGTCGCCATTCTAACTGGTGTGAGATGGTATCTCATTGTGGTTTTGATTTGCATTTCTCTGATGGCCAGTGATGATGAGCATTTTTTCATGTGTTTTTTGGCTGCATAAATGTCTTCTTTTGACAGGTGTCTGTTCATGTCCTTTGCCCACTTTTTGATGGGGTTGTTTGTTTTTTTCTTGTAAATTTGTTTGAGTTCATTGTAGATTCTGGATATTAGCCCTTTGTCAGATGAGTAGGATGCGAAAATTTTCTCCCATTTTGTAGGTTGCCTGTTCACTCTGTTGGTAGTTTCTTTTGCTGTGCAGAAGCTCTTTAGTTTAATTAGATCCCATTTGTCAATTTTGGCTTTTGTTGCCATTGCTTTTGGTGTTTTAGACATGAAGTCCTTGCCCATGCCTATGTCCTGAATGGTACTGCCTAGGTTTTCTTCTAGGGTTTTTATGGTTTTAGGTCTAACATTTAAGTCTTTAATCCATATTGAATTAATTTTTGTATAAGGTGTAAGGAAGGAATCCAGTTTCAGCTTTCTACATATGGTTAGCCAGCTTTCCCAGCACCATTTATTAAATAGGGAATCCTTTCTCCATTGCTAGTTTTTGTCAGGTTTGTCAAAGACCAGATAGTTGTAGATATGCGGCGTTATTTCTGAGGGCTCTGTTCTGTTCCATTGATCTATATCTCTGTTTTGGTACCAGCATCATGCTGTTTTGGTTACTGTAGCCTTGTAGTATAGTTTGAAGTCAGGTAGCATGATGCCTCCAGCTTTGTTCTTTTGGCTTAGGATTGACTTGGCGATGTGGGCTCTTTTTTGGTTCCATATGAACTTTAAAGTAGGTTTTCTAATTCTGTGAAGAAAGTCATTGGTAGCTTGATGGGGATGGCATTGAAGGTATAAATTACCTTGGGCAGTACGGCCATTTTCATGATATTGATTCTTCCTACCCATGAGCATGGAATGTTCTTCCATTTGTTTGTATCCTCTTTTATTTCACTGAGCAATGGTTTGTAGTTCTCCTTGAAGAAGTCCTTCACGTCCCTTGTAAGTTGGATTCCTAGGTATTTTATTCTCTTTGAAGCAATTGTGAATGGGAGTTCACTCATGATTTGGTTCTCTGTTTGTCTGTTACTGGTATATAAGAATGCTTGTGATTTTCGTACATTGATTTTGTATCCTGAGACTTTGCTGAAGTTGCTTATCAGCTTAAGGAGATTTGGGGCTGAGACAATGGGGTTTTCTAGATATACAATCATGTCATCTGCAAACAGGGACGATTTGACTTCCTCTTTTCCTAATTGAATACCCTTTATTTCCTTCTCCTGCCTAATTGCCCTGGCCAGAACTTCCAACACTATGTTGAATAGGAGTGGTGAGAGAGGGCATCCCTGTCTTGTGCCAGTTTTCAAAGGGAATGCTTCCAGTTTTTGCCCATTCAGTATGATATTGGCTGTGGGTTTGTCATAGATAGCTCTTATTATTTTGAGATACATCCCATCAATACCTAATTTATTGAGAGTTTTTAGCATGAAGGGTTGTTGAATTTTGTCAAAGGCTTTTTCTGCATCTATTGAGATAATCATGTGGTTTTTGTCTTTGGCTCTGTTTATATGGTGGATTACATGTATTGATTTGCGTATATTGAACCAGCCTTGCATCCCAGGGATGAAGCCCACTTGATCATGGTGGAAAAGCTTTTTGATGTCTGCTGGATTCGGTTTGCCAGTATTTTATTGAGGATTTTTGCATCAATGTTCATCAAGGATAAAACCGCTCAACTACATGGAAACTGAACAACCTGCTCCTGAATGACTACTGGGTACATAATGAAATGAAGGCAGAAATAAAGATGTTCTTTGAAACCAACGAGAACAAAGACACAACATACCAGAATCTCTGGGACACATTCAAAGCAGTGTGTAGAGGGAAATTTATAGCACTAAATGCCCAAAAGAGAAAGCAGGAAAGATCCAAAATTGACACCCTAACATCACAATTAAAAGAACTAGAAAAGCAAGAGCAAACACATTCAAAAGCTAGCAGAAGGCAAGAAATAACGAAAATCAGAGCAGAACTGAAGGAAATAGAGACACAAAAAAACCCTTCAAAAAATTAATGAATCCAGAAGCTGGTTTTTTGAAAGGATCAACAAAATTGATAGACCGCTAGCAAGACTAATAAAGAAGAAAAGAGAGAAGAATCAAATAGATGCAATAAAAAATGATAAAGGGGATGTCACCACCGATCCCACAGAAATACAAACTACCATCAGACAATACTACAAACACCTCTACGCAAATAAACTAGAAAATCTAGAAGAAATGGATAAATTCCTCGACACATACACCATCCCAAGACTAAACCAGGAAGAAGTTGAATCTCTGAATAGACCAATAACAGGCTCTGAAATTGTGGCAATAATCAATAGCCTACCAACCAAAAAGAGTCCAGGACCAGATGGATTCACAGCCGAATTCTACCAGAGGTACAAGGAGGAACTGGTACCATTCCTTCTGAAACTATTCCAATCAATAGAAAAAGAGGGAATCCTCCCTAACTCATTTTATGAGGCCAGCATCATCCTGATACCAAAGCCGGGCAGAGACACAACCAAATAGTTATTCTTTTGGAAATATGTTTGAAATATATCTTATTACCTTTGTTCTACTTTATATCATAAGGTTTAAAAATCATAAAAATTGAAAAGAGGGGTCTAACTGCCATTCCTATTATTTGAATTTATTATATCACTCAACTTATCTAAGCCCTGATGCCTCAATTCTGAAAAGTGGTAATAGATGTTAATTAACTATCTCTTTTTTCTTGGATTTCCATATTTTTTCCTCTTGCTTTGTTACATGTGTATATTTTCCCCAGCCCCTTTCTCTGAACATTTAAGCTTGTAATATTGACAAACTTAAGTTTTTTCTTCTTTCTTTTATCTTCTACATTGTGTTCTGTGTCCTTTGGGGATATAATAGTGGGATTGTTTAAAATCTTGGAAAGTCCCTATCGGCAGTATGCCAAAATTGATACACTGATTACATTATTGCTGTGGTTAGGAAAGGTTTATGGGATTATTAAGTTCGTCGTTTTGAAATTGATTATATTTGAATTTTTTCTTATTTTAATGGGTAGTTTTCCATAGTGTTAAAAAGAAATAAAACAGGCTTACTTATTTATACAACAACATCTGCTACTATAACACAGGAATTAGTTTTGCACTAACCTCGTTTTTTTTTTCTGAGTTTTTTTTTTTAACCAATAGGTGATTTTAGTTAATTTTTCATTGCCACTGTCACAAAAAAGTTTTTAGATAGTTTTTTTCCTGATGGATGGTTCACATGCAATAGTGGGGCTTTACCTACCTCCCTCCCTCCCGTCCTTCCTTCCTCTGTCCCTCCCTTTTTCCTTCCTTTCTTCCTTCCTCCCCCAACCTTTCTTTTTTGCTGTTTTTTTTTTGAGACAGGGTCTCGCTCTGTCACCCAGGTTGGAGTGCAGTGGCACAATCTCGGCTGACTGCAGCCTCAATCTCTCAGGCTCAGGTAATCCTCCCACCTTAGCTTCCTGAGTAGCTGGGACCACAGGTGTGCATCACCACATTCAGCTAATTTTTGTATTTTTTGTAGAAACGAGGTTTCACCCTGTTGCCCAGGCTGGTCTTGAACTCCTGGGCTGAAGCAATCCACCTACCTTGGTCTCCCAAAGTGCCGGGATTACAGGCATGAGCCACTGCCCCCGGCTCCTTCCTTTTTTTTTGAGCTGAAAGATTTCCTCCCCTTTGTATAGTTTGATACTCCTTGATGTAAGTGACTAGGAAATTGATTTATCGCAAACTAAAGTAGGTAATTGCTTGGCCATTAGGAGTTTTGTTGTAACCCAATGAAGAGGAACAAACATTGTTAAGTTATAAAACAGTGATTTAGCAGCAATTTATGTCCATAAATAATAATTGAACTGTTGTTGTAACTATAGTAATATGAAACATTGTTATTAAGCAGTTAACTGTTAGAGACAAAGGGAAAACTTTCCCTTTACCCTCTGAAGGTTTGCTGAAAGTCAGCGGACAAAAGACAGATTAATAGGTGAAATGGCATACAAATTTATTAACATGCTTAGGGGGAGAACCACAGAGTGATAACCTCACCACACAATGGGGTACAGATGGTTATATACCCTTCTTAGGGTAAAGAGAGATGGAGGAAGTGTGTATGATTTGAGGTGGGTAGTAAATGATTTTTAGGGGAATTGAATTTTAGGGGAATTATGGGCTTGAAGAACATATACTGGTCTGGGACAAAGTCTGTTGGGGCCACAGAAGAGACAATGGTCTGTGACAAAAATCTGTCCAGGTATGTTAGACTTCAGTCTTTCTTCCCTCAGTATGAGCTTAGTTAATAAAAACTCAGGGAAGGGACTAGAGGTCATTGTTTTCTTCTTTGGAAGATTTGGACTTTGGGCAGATAAGGGAACTTCAGGGACTCCATCCTGTGCTTTGGGACAGACAGAGGATTGGGAGAACGGAAGAGGAAGGGAATGATCAGAGAGACCTTGAGGCTTTTTCTTCAGTTCAGCAAGTCAGAGCACCATATTTTGGAATATCGGTTCCTGAGCCTCAACAGCTGGTGCATGAATGCACAAGAATCCTAAAGCAATGCCCCCTCCATCTTTCCTGATAGTCATGATATCCTAGCATATTATGAATCATATCAGTTTTAAGGCTTTTAGAATTATGTTTTATTTATTGAAAAATCCACTGGAGAGGAGCATAGTGTGTGCAGTAGTCTATGACACATGGGATGCTCTTAATAAATATTTGATCGTTGAATGAATAAATAAGTGCACTATTGTGTTCCTGTTCTATTCTGATTGTACCTCTTTCCAGCTGTGTGATTTGATTTCTATGAGTTTCAAATGTGTTTCATCATAAAATGGAAATAATGCATTTATATCCTAGCTTTTTTTATATTGATTAAGCAAATGCATGTAAAATTCCTTGTTTTTAATATTTAAAAAAACTAACTCTTGAGGACACCTTTATTACTAATATGATTTGTGTATATAATGTTTTTGTCAGTTGGGATATTGGTCCCCAATTGCAATCGACAGTGATGTTCATTATACATCATTACCCTAAGCCTAATCATAATTGGAAATCAGATCTGTTCCAAAGAGAGGGATTTACTGATACTAATTTAATGCATTAAAAAAATTCCTTTTCAGAAAGTAAAAAACAAAACGAAAATCTTGTAAGCTTCTTAACATACACAGATTTCAGTCAGAGAAGCATGGATTTAAAACCTGTCTTTGGGAGGTTCTTCCAACATGACTGAATAAGAGCAGCTCCAATCAGCCGCTCCCAGCGAGATCAACACAGAAGGTGGGTGATTTCTGCATTTCCAACTGAGGTACCCAGCTCATCTCATTGGGACTGGTTAGACAGTGGGTGCAGCCCATGGAGGGCGAGCCAAGCAGAATGGGGCGTCGCCTCACTAAGGAAGTACAAGGGGTCAGGGAACTCCTTCCCCTGGCCAAGGGAAACTGTGAGGGACTGTGTCTTGAGGAACCAGACACTCTGGCCCAGATACTACACTTTTCCCATGGTCTTCGCAACCCACAGAACAGGAGATTCCCTAGGGTGCCTCTGCCACCAGGGCCCTGGGTTTCAGGCACAAAACTGGGCAGCTGTTTGGGCAGACACTGATCTAGCTGCAGGAGTTTTTTTTTTTCGTACTCCAGTGGCTCCCTGTCTTGGCTAGCAAGACAGAACTGTTCACTCCCCTGGAAAGGGGGCTGAAGCCAGGGAGCCAAATGGTCTAGCTCAGCGGATCACACCTCACGGAGCCCAGCAAGCTAAGATCCACTGGCTTGAAATTCTCGCTGCCAGCACAGCAGTCTGAAGTTGACCTGGGACGCTCCAGCTTGGTGGGGGGAGAGGCGCCCACCATTACTGAGGCTTGAGTACGTGGTTTTCCCCTAAAAGCGTAAACAAAGCTGCCCAGAAGTTTGAACTCAGTGGAGCCCACCACAGCTTTCTTTCTTTGAAAGAAAGGCAGCAGCCCCAGTCAGGGGCTTATAGATCAAACTCTCCTCTCCCTGGGACAGAGCACCTGGGGGAAGGGGCAGCTGTGGGTGCAGCTTCAGCAGACTTAAACGTTCATGCCTGCCAGCTCTAAAGAGAGCAGCAGATCTCCCAGCACAGTGCTCAAGCTCTGCTAAGGGACAGGCTGCCTCCTCAACTGGGTCCCTGACCCCCGTGCCTCCTGACTGGGAGACACCTCCCAGCAGGAGTCGACAGACACCTTATACAGAGGAGCTCCGGATGGCATCTGGTGGGTGCCTGTCTGGAACAAAGCTTCCAGAGGAAGGAGCAGGCAGCAATCTTTGCTGTTCTGCAGCCTCTGCTGGTGATACCCAGGCAAATAGAGTCTGGAGTGGACCTCCAGCAAACTCCACCAGACCTGCAGCAGAGGGGTCTGACTGTTAGAAGGAAAACTAACAAATAGAAAGGAATAGCATCAAGATCAGCAAAAAGGATGTCCACACAGAAACCCCATTCGAAGGGGTTCAGAGAAGAACATAAATGACCTGACGGAGCTGAAAAACACAGCATGAGAACTTCGTGAAGCATTCACAAGTATCAATAGCTGAATTGATCAATTGGAAGACAGGATATCGGAGATTGAAGATCAACTTAATGAAATAAAGCATGCAGACAAGATTAGAGAAAAAAGAATGAAAAGTAATGAACAAAGCCTCCAAGAAATATGGGACTATGTGAAAAGACCAAACCTACATTTGATTGGTGTACCTGAAAGTGATGGGGAGAATGGAACCAAGTTGGAAAACACACTTCAGGATATTATCCAGGAGAACTTCCCCAACCTAGCAAGACAGGCCAGCATTCAAACTCAGGAAACACAGAGAACACCACAAAGATACTTCTTGAGAGGAGCAACCCCAAGGCACATAATCGTCAGAGTCACCAAGGTTGAAATGAAGGAAAAAATGTTAAGGGCAGCCAGAAGGGAAGGTCAGGTTACCCACAAAGGGAAGCCCATCAGACTAACAGTGGATCTCTCTGCAGAAATCTTATAAGCCAGAAGACAGTGGGGTCCAATATTCAACATTCTTAATGAAAAGAATTTTCAACCCAGAATTTCATATCCAGCCCAACTAAGCTTCATAAGCAAAGGAGAAATAAAATCCTTTACAGACAAGGAAATGCTGAGAGATCTTGTCACCACCAGGCCTGCCTTACAAGAGCTCCTGAAGGAAGCAGTAAATATGGAAAGGAAAAACTGGTACTAGCCACTGCAAAAACACACCAAATTGTAAAGATTGTCTACACTATGAAGAAATTGCATCAACTAATGGGCAAAATAACCAGGTAGCATCACGATGACAGTTTCAAATTCACACATAACAATATTAACCTTAAATATAAATGGGCTAAATGCCCCAGTTAAAAGTCACAGACTGGCAAATTGGATAAAGAGTCAAGACCAGGCGGGTGGATCGTGAGGTCAGGAGATCGAGACCATCCTGGCTAACATGGTGAAAACCCGTCTCTACCTAAACTACAAAAAGTTAGCTGGGCATGGTGGCGGATGCCTGTAGTTCCAGCTACTCGGGAGGCTGAGGTAGGAGGATGGTGTGAACCCGGGAGGTGGAGCTTGCAGTGAGCCAAGATAGCACCACTGCACTCCATCCTGGGTGACAGAGCAAGACTGTTTAAAAAAAAAAAAAAAAAGAGTCAAGACCCATCAGTGTGGTGTATTCAGGAGACCCATCTCACGTGCAAAGACACACATAGGCTCAAAATAAAGGGATGGAGGAATATTTACCAAGCAAAAGGAAAGCAAAAAACAAAGTAGGGTTTGCAATCCTAGTCTCTGATAAAGCAAATTTTAAACCAACAAAGATCAAAAGAGACAAAGAAGGGCATTACATAATGGTATAGGGGTCAGTGCAAGAAGAAGAGCTAACTATCCTAAATATTTATTCACCCAATACAGGAGCACCCAGATTCATAAAACACACTCTTAGAGACCTACAAAGGGAATTAGACTCCCATACAATAATAATGGGAGACTTTAACACCCCACTGTCAGTATTAGACAGATCAACGGGACAGAAAATTAACAAGGATATTCAGGACTTGACCTCAGCTCTGGACCAAGCAGACCTAATAGACATCTACAGAACTCTCCACCCCAAATCAACAGAACATACATTCTTCTCAGCACCATATCACACCTATTCTAAAACTGACCGCATAATTGGAAGTAAAACACTCCTCAGCAATGCAAAAGAATGGAAATAATAAACAGTCTCTCAGATCACAGTGCAAATTCTTAATCAGGATTAAGAAACTTACTCAAAACCACACAACTATGTGGAAACTGAACAACTTGCTCCTGAATGACTACTGGGTAAATAACGAAATTAAGGCAGAAATAACAATGTTCTTTGAAACCAATGAGAACAAAGACACGACGTACAAGGATCTCTGGCACACAGCTAAAGCAGTATTTAGAGGGAAATTTATAGCACTAAATGCCAACATCAGAAAGTGGGAAAGATCTAAAATTGACACCCTAACATCACAATTAAAAAAACTAGAGAAGCAAGAGCAAACAAATTCAAAAGCTAGCAGAAGACAAGAGTCAACTAAGATCAGAGCAGAATTGAAGGAGATAGAAACACAAAAAAACCCTTCAAAAAATCAATGAATCCAGGAGCTGGTTTTCTGAAAAGATTAACAAAATAGATAGACCGCTGGCCAGACTAATAAAGAAAAAAAGAGAGAAGAATCAAATAGACGCAATAAAAAATTATAAAGGGTATATCACCACTGATCCTACAGAAATACAAACTACCATCAGAGAATACTATAAACACCTCTATGCAAATAAACTAGAAAATCTAGAAGAAATGGATAAATTCCTGGACACACACACCCTCCTAAGACTAAACCAGGAAGAAGTTGAATCCCTGAATATACACCAATAGCAAGTTCTGTAATTGAGGCAGTAATTAATAGCCTACCAACCAAAAAAAGCCCAGGACCAGACAGATTCACAACTGAATTCTACCAGAGGTATAAAGAGGAGCTGGTGCCATTTGTTCTGAAACTATTCCAAGCAATAGAAAAAGAAGGAATCCTCCCTAACTCATTTTATGAAGCCAGCATTATCCTGATACCAAAACCTGGCAGAGACACAACAACAAAAAAAAACTTTCAGACCAATATCCCTGATGTACATCAGTGTGAAGATCCTCAATAAAATACTGGCAAACCAAATCCAGCAGCACGTCAAAAAGCTTATCCACCACGATCAAGTTGGATTCATCCCAGGGATGCAAGGCTAGTCCAACATATGCAAATCAATAAACGTAATCCATCGCATAAACAGAACCAATGACAAAAACCAAATGATTATCTCAATAGATGCAGAAAAGGCCTTCGATAAAATTCAACAGCCCTTCATGCTAAAAACTCTCAATAAACTAGGTATTGATGGAACGTATCTCAAAATAATTAGAGCTATTTATGCAAACCCACAGCCAATATCATACAGGCAAAAGCTGGAAGCATTCCCTTTGAAAACTGGCACAAGACAGGGATGCCCTCTCTCACCACTCCTATTCACCATAGGATTAGAAGTTCTGGCCAGGGCAATCAAGCAAGAGAAAGCAATAAAGGGTATTCAAATAGGAGGAGAGGAAGTCAAATTGTCTCTGCTTGCAGATGACATGATGGTATATTTAGAAAACCCAATTGGCTCAGCCCAAAATCTCCTTAAACTGATAAGCAACTTCAGCAAAGTCTCAGGATACAAAATCAATGTGCAAAAATCATAAGCATTCCAATATACCAATAATAGACAAGCAGAGAGCCAAATCCTGAGTGAACTCCCATTCACAATTGCTACCAAGAGAATAAAATACCTAGGAATACAACCTACAAGAGATATGAAGGACTTCTTCAAGGAGAGCTACAAATCACTGCTCAAGGAAATAAGAAAGGACACAAACAAATGGAAAAACATTCTATCCTCATGGATACGAAGAATCAGTATTGTGAAAATGGCCATACCGCTCAAAGTAATTTATAGATTCAATGCTATCCCCATCAAGCTACCATTGACTTTCTTCACAGAATTAGAAAAAACTACTTTAAATTTCATATGGAACCAAAAAAGAGCCCATATATCCAAGACAATCCTAAGCAAAAAGAATAAAGCTGGAGGCATCACGCTACCTGACTTCAAACTATACTGCAAGCCTACAGTAATCAACACAGAATGTCACTGGTGCCAAAACAAATATATAAACCAATGGAACAGAACAGAGGCCTCAGAAATAATGCCACACATCTACAACCATCTAATCTTTGAGAAACCTGCCAAAAAAAAAGGAATGGGGAAAGGATTTCCTATTTAATAAATGGTGTTGGGAAAACTGGCTAGCCATATGCAGAAAAACTGAAACTGGACCCCTTCCTTGGACTTTATACAAAAATTAAGATTGATTAAAGACTTAAACATAAGACCTAAAACCATAAAAAAAAACTGGAATAAAACCTAGGGAATACCATTCAGGACATAGGCATGGGCAAAGACTTCATGACTAAAACACTAAAAGCAATGTCAACAAAAGCCAAAATTGACACATGGGATCTAATTAAACTAAAGAGCTTCTGCATAGCAAGAGAAACTATCATTAGAGTGAACAGGCAACCTAGAGAATGGGAGAAACTTTTTGCAATCTCTCCATCTGACGAAGGGCTAATATCCAGAATCTACAAAGAACTTAATCAAATTTACAAGAAAAAAAAACCCTATCAAAAAGTGGGTGAAGGATATGAACAGACACTTCTCAGAAGAAGACATTTATGCATTCAACAAAACTATTAAAGCTCATAACTACTAGTCATTAGAGAAATGCAAATCAAAACCACAATGAGATACCATCTCACACCAGTTAGAATGGTGATCATGAAAAAAAATCAGAAACAATAGATGCTGGAGAGGACGTGGAGAAATAAGAATGCTTTTACACCATTGATGGGAGTGTAAATTATTTCAACCATTGCGGAAGATAGTGTGATTCTTCAAGGATTTAGAACTAGAAGTGTGATTTGACCCAAAAATCCCATTGCTGGGTATATACCCAAAGGATTATAAATCATTCTACTATAAAGACATAAGCACACGTATGTTTATTGCAGCACTGCTCACAATAGCAAAGTCTTGGGACCAACTCAAATGCCCATCAATGATAGACTGGATAAAAAAAATGTGGTGGCTGGGCGCGGTGGCTCACAGCTGTAATCCGAGCACTTTGGGAGGCTGAGGCAGGTGGATCACGAGGTCAGGAGATCAAGACCATCCTGGCTAATAAGGTGAAACCCCATCTCTACTAAAAAATACAAAAATTAGCCGGACGTGGTAGCAGGTACCTGTAGTCCCAGCTACTCAGGAGGCTGAGGCAGGAGAATGGCGTGAACCCAGGAGGTGGAGCTTGCAGTGAGCCAAGATTGCGCCACTGCACTCCAGCCTGGGTGACAGAGCGAGACTCCATCTCAAAAAAAAAGAAAAGAAAATGTGGCACATGTACACCATGGAATACTATGCAGCCATAAAAAAGGATTCATTCGTTTCCTTTCAGGGACATGGATGAAGCTGGAAACCATCATTCTCAGCAAACAAACACAGGAACAGAAAACCAAGAGGGAGTTGAACAATGAGAACACATGGACACAGGGAGGGGAACATCACACACCAGGGCCTGTTGGGGGGTGGGAGGCTACGGGAGGGATAGCATTAGTAGAAATACCTAATGTACATGACAGGTTGATGGGTGCATCAAACCCACCATGGTACGTTTATACCTATGTAACAAACCTGTACATTCTACACATGTATCCCAGAACTTAAAGTATAATAATAATAATAATAATAAACCTGTCTTTGTCCATTACTGACTGTAGAAGTCTGAACTTCTCTAAGTCTCAGTCTCTCATTTGGCACATTTGAATAATAATACATATACTATGAAATTGTTCTGATAACTAAATGAGATATATTTGAAAGCCCTTGGTAATAAATGAATGCTGATAAATATTCCCTATACTCTCTCACAAATTAAAAATACGTTCTAATTCTAGTTCTGGGTACTATTATTCAAAATATGTATTTTCTTGTATTGCTCATGACTCTTTTTTTGAAATAAGTTTTTTGGTTTTGTTTTTTACTTTCTGAAAATCAGTTTTGGATTTTCTTTTCTTGAAGAATATAAACAGCATTATTTCATAGACACTGTGCCAGCCAGTTTTAAAAATGAAAATATATTCAAGAATTGACTTTGTCTTAAAAAAAAGTCAAAAGTAATTGGTTCAAGAATTTCAATTAACCTTATTCAGAGGTAAGGCTCAAAAAAGTTAAGTAAATTCTTCCTGATAAAAAGAGGTTGAAATTAAGGACCCAGTTATTAAGGGTTTACAAACATATTTTTCCAGGAGCACTGTACTCCTATTTTTTTCTTCTCTGTCTAATTTCTCTTTACACATTTATTATTCCTAACTGTTCTTCCTTTTTCAGCTCTCTGAACTTCTTTCTCTAAAATCCCTTAGAAATAATATCTGTGCTCATATATTTCACCTCTTTTTCTGATGACACTCATGTAATTCTTGTTTCTTGTCCTAACTTTTAAGTAGCTCCCAGAGTGTTTCCAGAGGCAACTCAGATTTATTACCACGTGTTCAATGTATTGATTGTACAAATGTGTATGTTAAGAAGCTTGTAAGGGACTCTGCATGGTAGCACATGCCTGTAAACCCAACACTTTGGGAGGCTGAGGCATAAGGATCGCTTGAGCCCAGGAGTTTGATACCAGCCTGGGCAACATGGCACAATCCCCATCTCTACAAAAATTAAAAATTAGCTGGGTGTGGTGGTGCACTCCTGTAGTCCTAGCTACTCGGGAGACTGAGCTGGGAGGATCACTTGAGCCTTGGAGGTTGAGGCTGCAATGAGCTGTGATCGTGCCACTGCACTCCAGCCTGGATGACAGAGTGAGAGCCTGTCTCAAAAAACAAACAAGAAGCTTACCGGGAACACCACACACACACACACACACACACACACACACACACACACACACACACACACACACACACACACACAGCGAGAGGAAGAGAGAGAGAGAGAGAAAATACTATGCCACGTGCAACTGTTATACTAATGGTTTAAACCATGAATATGCACACATAAAGGAGTGATGTTAATAAATCTAGTGACATTGGTTCTGGGCATTGAAATATGTGTATGAATTCTCCAAGCAGAAAAAGGATACAAGGACTTTTCTACTAGGAAATGTAAGATCATGAACAAAGGTTCTGAAGTGGGAAAATACATACCTTGTTTAATTTGTGGAGCAACAATGTATTAGTTTCCTTATTGCTGTAGCCATTACCACAGACTTAATGACTTAAAACAGCACAACTTTATTCTCTTATAGTTCTGGAGGTCAGAGTCTGAAATCAGTGGCACTTGGGCTAAAATCAAGGTCTTTCTTGATGCTCTAGGGGAGTCCTTGCCTTTTCCAGCTTCTAGAGGCCACCTGCATTCCTTGGCTCATGGCCTCTTCCTCCATCTTCAAGCCAGCAGGATCACATTTTCAAATCTAAGAATAGATCACTGCCTCTATGGTCACATTTCTTTCTCTGACTCTGACCTTCCTGCCTCCTTCTTATAAGGACCCATGTGATTAAATTGGATCCAGATAATCCAACATAATCTCCGCATCTCAAGATTCTTAACTTAATCCCATCTGCAAAGCCCCTTTAACCATGCAAGGTGACATATTCCAAGGTTCTGAGGATTAGGATGTGGACATCTCTGTGGGGAAGAGAGGCATTATTCAGCCTACCTCAAGCCTGAAGGCCAGAATTTAAGGTGTATAATGGAAAAAATGCTAGTATGGGATTAGATTTTGAAAAACCTATAAAGCTGTGCTAAGAACTTTGAAATTTAATCTATAGCCCAGCAACTTTTATTCTTGTAAAAGGTTAAAAAGATTAAGATGGATGCTCACTTTAATGCACATACACCCCAAATTCAAATACTATTACATGGTAATCACAGATCCTCCACAACCATTGATGAATGGAGGCCCTAGACTTAACAAGAAAGAGAAATCGCAGGAAAGTAGCATAATAAACTTTGATTCAAAAATATATGGTGTAGTTGGGTACCAGAGGAATGCTGGTGAGGTCCTGAATTTTAAAAATGGCTGTGGGAACAGAGGAAATAGATCTGAAAAATTTTGTAGAAACAGAATAAATAGGCATAGTGATTTTCTGGAGAGGAGTTAAAGAAGCCAGAGAAGACTGCAGCAACCTTTCAGAAAATATACATGAAAATGATCCTAATGTACTCTCCCTACTGAAATTTTCTCCTACCATGTGACTGATTTCTGGAGTCTGCCTGAAACCAAGAATCACTTTCTGTTTCACAATTAATTGATTTGTTCCATTAGTAGGGTAACCATATAATACATAGTCCAAAGTGGGGCAGTTATCTTTATAACCATTTTAAAAATTTAAATCAAACTTATTTTTTAAATGCCAACTTAACAATTGGTATTTCTATAAAGCTTTCATTATCTAAGGTATAATCACTTAAGTAATACAGTTTCCTAGACCAGAAAATGAGGAGAATTGTAGATTACTTTTGAGGAGAGACAAAAAAAGTTTCAAGTTTCTTGTAGTTCTTTTTTTTTTTTTTTTTTTTTTTTTTTTTTTTTTTTTTTTTTTGAGACAAGGTCTCACTCTGTCACTTAGGCTACAGTACAGTGGCACAATCATGGCTCACTGCAACCTCGACCTCCTGGGCTCAGGTGATCCTCCCACCTCAGTCTCCTGAATAGCTGAGACTACAGATATGCACCACCATGCTTTGCTAATTTTTTGTAGAGACAGCGTTTT
Source organism: Homo sapiens (assembly GCF_000001405.40). Lineage (NCBI taxonomy): Eukaryota > Metazoa > Chordata > Mammalia > Primates > Hominidae > Homo > Homo sapiens. Next base: position 89,080,810 of record NC_000004.12, on the reverse strand, counting down.
GCCATGTTGCCCAGGCTGATCCCAAACTCCTGGGCTCAAGGGATCTACTCCCTTCAGCCGCCTAAAGTGCTGAGATTACAGGTGTGAGCCACTGCACCCGGCCTCTTGTGGTTCTGCATTTATGCAGTAAGTTTGTTTGAAGAATGAGTCAACACTGCTGGTGCCTTGCTGTTATTATTTAGGATGCTGGAATGCTGAAAGAAAATTACATGTCTGAAAGAGGAAAACAAGAAACCCCCTTGGTGGATAGACATTTCTTATTGTTACTTAAGGATGTGGTAGTCCAGAAAATCCCTGGAGAAGTGTTCCTTGGAATATCCGTACATACTTTCTGGAGGTCTTCCTCTCGTGAACTGGATGATTTGCGTTGGAATTATAGGTGGAGGAATAAAGCCTGATTGCCAAGGTGAAAATATATGTGGAGGATGGTGAACCATCTTCCCAGTGAAGACACATAAAGGACCATATCTGAATGTTGTTGAATGCTCTATTTGGAAAAGTTCCTGGTGACATCATGGACTTTGGTTTATGTTCTAGTGATATTATTGTACTTATAAAGTTAGAGTTTCATCTAAGTCTGAATATTTAGTTTTTTCTTCTATTAGTTCTTGTTTTTTAAAGGTATTTCATCACCAAGTACAGAGTTGGACCCATTTAACTTTTCACCATTTGCCTCCCTTTTTGCTGTTCTTGATCACTCCTTACAAAGGTGGGCATCTCTTGATTCTAGGTCATCCTGCTCTCTTTTAAGGTGGCTAAACTTAAAGAATTTTACATTTCAAATACTTTGGTAAATTGTATATCTGTGTGTTTTCTCTCTTTCTCTATATAGTTGGTATTGAGTGTAAATTTCTGCCCACAAATTAGAGAACTAACAAAATCCAAGGATCACTGACTATGTCATCACCTGCCAAGAAAATCTGACGTGATGAGGGCTGAAATTCAAGTTTTCAGCTCCTGTGATCTTATATAGCTTTTTAAGGAGATGCTAAAGCATGATGATGAAGCCGACCACAGTCCCTTTATGACCCCACAGTTCATTGTTGAGCTGTCTCTGTTTGCCATTGTCCCACAAAACAACAACAAACAGAACACCACAGCTCTGCTCAGAATCAAATCTGCTTCCACATATGTACCATTTCCAGCATTCTTCCTTCATTTGTGCAGATCCATTCTTTCATCTGCTATTACTTCCCTTCACACAAAAAACTTCTTTTTGCATTTCACTAGTGTGAATTTACTGGTGACATATTTACTTTGCTTTTACTTATCTGACATGTTTTTAAATTTTACCTGGATTGTTTGAAGAATATTTTCCCTGGATGTATAATTCTATAATTCTAGTTTTGTAAGCCCCCTTCCTTCAAAGCACTTTATATATATATATATATTAATCCATGGTTTTCTGGTCTCCATTATTTCTCATAAGAGAGTTTTTGTTCTTGTTGTTGTTCCACTAAAACTAACTATCTTTCTCCAGTTGTTTTTAAGGTTTTCTCTTTAACTTTCTGTGATGGTTAATTTTGTATGTCTATTTGACTTGGCTAAGGGATGCCCAGATAGCTGGGAAAACATCATTTTTGTGTGTGTCTGTGAGAATATTTCTGGAAGAGATTAGCATTTGAATCAGTAGTCTGAGTAAGAAGATATATCTTCACAGCTGTGAGCAAACATGTAATCTGTTGAGGAACTGACTAGAACAAAAAGGTGGAAGAAGGGTAAATTCACTTTCTCTGCTTGAACTGGGACATTCATCTTCTGTCCTTGGACTTCTGTGCTCCTGGTTCTCAGGCTTTCGGACTCAGACTGGGACTTACACCACTTGTTTTCAGGCCTTCAGGTTTGGACTTGAACAGAACCACCAGATTTCCTGGACCTGCAGCTTATAGATGGCATATTGTAGGACTTATCAGCCTCTATAACCACATGAGCCAATTCCTCATAATGAATCTCTTTTGACATATCTCTCTATATATCCTATTGGTTCTGTTTCTCTGGAGAACCCTGACTAATACACTTTTATTTTTAGAAGTTCATTGAAAACTTGTGCACTTTTCTTTATCCTGAAGTATGCAGGGCCAAAGTTAACATTTTGTTATCAGCTTTGAAAAATGTTAGTCCTTATTTTCATTTTTTTTTTAGCCTAGTTCTCTCTTATAGCTCTCTCTGTGACTCTGATTAGACTACTTGATCTTATCTTCCAGGTTACTGACATTCTTTCTTTCTTTCTTTCTTTCTTTAAGGTATTTTGATCTTTCTGCCTCCATTTAGAAAATTTCTACCGATATATCCTCAGGTTCACTGAGCCATTCTTCTGCAGTGTCCAATCTGCTATTAAGCTTTCCAATGAAGTTTTGATTTTTGAAATTTCATTTTTTAGTTCTAGGATTTTTTCATTTGGTTCTTTTCTTAAAAAAAATTCTATTTATTTCATGAAATATATTAATACTGCCTTACTACTTATATCCATCTTTTCCTGTAAATTCTTTAAAATATCTTATAATAATGTTCTTAAAGTCCTTGTGTGCATATTCTATAACTGGGCTTACTTATATTGATTACATTTTTTCTCGATTATATTTTTGATTATTTTGTTCTTGATTATTGTGGTTTTTTTCCTAACATGAATGCTTAAATAGCACAGGCCTCAGCCCTTAACAGCTTGAGTTCAGTGTCAGCCCCAGACATGTTGTCTGTGGTATTCAGATCTGCCTATTTAGATAGAAGTCTTGATGTCTCACATCTTAGGATCCTGGGGAGGGGAGGACTCCTTCTGACACCTGGCAACAGTCTTTGCTGCTACTTCATTTGGCCTCAACTCTCCCACAGCAGTTTTAAGAGTGAAAGGAGACACTATTAATAATTACATTGAGTCAACAAGCAAAAATGGGAACTTTCTAAGACAGACTGAATTATTAGTTATTACTCCAGTGTTCTGGACAACAAACTTAGACTCATTTTTCAAGCTTCTCTTTCCTTGACTAGCATGGCATCTGTTTGTCTCATACACAAAGTCAGTTATCAGTCTTATGAGTTCTTACTTCAAAATACATGTGATTTATCCTGATTAAGGGAGGAGGCCACCCCTCATATTGTCTTATGCCCAATTTCTGCCTCCAAAGAAAGAAGAAGTAAAAACTAAAAGGCAGAAATGAAATCCACAGGCAGACAGCCCGGCACCTGGTAGTTAAAGATCGACCCCTGACCTAACTGGTTATGTTATCTATAGATTCCAGACATTGTATGGAAAAGCACTGTGAAAATCCCTGTCCTGTTCTGTTCCAATCTGATTATCGGTGCATGCAGACCCCAATCACGTACCCCCCTGCTTGCTCAATCTATCATGACCCTCTCACACGGACCCCCTTAGAGTTGTGAGCCCTTAAAAGGTACAAGAATTGCTCACTTGGGGAGCTTGGCTCTTGTGACAGGAGTCTTGCCGATGCTCCCGGACGAATAAACCTCTTCCTTCTTTAACTTGGTGTCTGAGGATTTTTGTCTGCTGCTCGTCCTGCTACATGACAATCTAAATTCAAATCATCTTGTCAGCTGAATTATTAATAGGGTCCATTTATCTGTAATAAGTCTCCTTCTCATTGTAGCATATTCCAGACTTCCAGATTAACTGGCATTACTTTCATTGAGGTACTCATTCTATTTAAGAACCTACCATGGTTCCCAATTGTTTATGAGATCCAGCCTAGATTTCTTATTCTGATATTTCAAGCCCTTTCTTTTCATGTTCATGTCTATCTCTGTGCTCATCATACAAAACCATACTGGAATGCCCTCTCCCGCTTCTGCCATCCTGTCTTAGTCCACTTTATGCTGCTGTAACCGACTGGGTAATTTATAAAGAAGAGAAATGTATTTCCTCACTGTTCTGGAGGCTGGGAAGTCCAAGATCAAGGGTCTGGCATCTTGCAAGGACCTTCTTGCTGCATCATCCCATGGGGGAATGTAGAAGGCAAGGACCGTGAGAAAGAGAGAGAGAAGGGGACCAAACTCATCCCCTTTATAAGAAACCAACTCCCATGATAACAAACTCATCTCATGACAATAGCATTAATCCATTTATGAGGGCAGAGTGCTCATTGCCTAATCACCTCTCATTAGGATCCACGTCTTAATACTGTTGCTTTGGGGATTATATTTCAACACATGCTTTTGGGGGGACACTTTCAAACCATAGCACATCCTAATCTATAACTTCCTTATAAGTCAGTGCAACACCTACTTTCTTGTAGCTCTAGCTACTTTCACTTCCATCTATTACATTTTTTCTGAATTAGAATTCACAAGTACTAAGAGCACAAATTCTAAAATTGATTATACAACTTAGTATATTGTATTTGCTAATTGAAGGATTAAAACCTAAGTGCCTGCAGGGGGCATGAGGTAATCATAAACTGTGAAGCCGGCAGAGTGAAGAACAATAGGTATTAAGTGTTGATTGCTACCAATAGTAATTTCCACTTAGGTATATGAACTTTTAAATCACGATGCAGGTGAGACAAAATGGCCAAACAGAATGCCTCCCCAGGGCTTGCAACTTGTGTCCTAAATTTTTAGCCATATACTTTGCAGCTCAAGTAATACACCATTTCCTGTACATTTCCTGTACTCCATTTAGCCATAATTCCTAGAATGGTAATGAGTACATAATGTACTTATAAAATGAAAAAATTGAATTATAGCTTTAGCAAACCTATGGGGAAAATAATGAAAACTGTTTTCAAAAGAAAATGCAGCTGTTCCCTTGTTTACCAGACCTGAGGTTTGGGTGATCATCACAGATATAGTGCTTCCAATTCCTAAGTCAACTCCCTTGCCCATTTTTTTAGGGGGCTGAATTCTGATGCTTATATGGAGACTGGTATAGTGGATCTGCTTTGGCTACCAGAGGAAGATAGGGAACAGTATTGAGCAGAATGACCTCAACAAATGTCATATCAAACATTATGATTGTGGGGTAGATAGGGCTGGAAGAAGGAGTACTAGTAAGGCAAGCTAGTGAAGAAGTAATAGAAATGCAGGCCAAACAGTGGAGCTTAAATAATGGCCCATGGAATTGGGATGTCTAAACTATGGATTGTGTCAAAGAATGATGAGACCAATATTCAGTACCTGAAATAAAAAGAGAAAGCGAATTTATGGACTATTGTAGTAAGGGAAAGCCATGCTGGTCAGGCAGGCTTTTCTGAGTATAGTAGAGTATTGATCCCATACAGCAGTCCCGTCTTGTCTGTGAGGGATATGTTTCAAGACTCCCAGTGGATGCCTGAAACCGCAGATAGTACTGAACCCCATATATACTGTTTTCCCTATACTTACTAACTTGTGATAAACTTTAATTTATAAATTAGGCACAGTAAGAGATTAACAATAACTAATAATAGAACAATTATAACAATGTGTTATAATAAAAGTTACACAAATATGGTCTCTCTCTCTCTTTCTGTAAATATCTTATTATATTGTACTTACCTATTTCAGACCACAGTTGATTGCAGATAAGTGAAACTGTGGATTGGGGGTACTACTGTATAGGGTTTTTGGCAAGTGTGGAAATTAGGATTGGTGGATTTTCAGGTGTTTGAGCAAATGCCTGAATGGATTGAGATCATCTGAAGGAGAGTAGTCACTCAAGTGAGATGGCTGTTGATTGGCTGGCACTCAGGGACATGTTTATCAGACCACCCTTTTTTATGTTTTTTTTGGTGCTCCAAGTGAGGCATGAAGTGAACGCATTCTTGGTTGGCCAGAGTGAGGGGTTGTCACTGATTGGTGGGCTTGCAAAAGTGAGTTTATTGAGGCAAATTGCCAGTTGATTGAACACATTTATAATTAGTTATGCTCTGTTTTCATAACTACAGAATAATTGATTTTTTCCTAAGAGTGTGAGGTTCCCCCACTGCCCCGCAACATAGGATGGGAATACCTGTAGAATTCATAACAGAGATTGGTCATCAGATTGTGAACTGACCTTTTTCAGGGAAATCTTTCAAAAAATGTGGAGAAAGAAAGAATAGGCCCAACTTCAGGTAATAGGGCTTTTGTAACACAGTAGATTAACAAACCCAAGACCTATTTCCTGCTATTTTCCAAACAACCTAAGTGTATAGACTAGTACCTCTATGTGAATATGAGGACTCTTATGCCCTCTAATGTTCTTGAATAGCCTAGATCAAGAGTTGGCAAACTTTCTCTATAAGCAGTCAGACAGTAAATATTTTAGGCTTTGCGGGCCATGGGCTCCATCTCTGTTGCAGCTGCTCAACTCTGCCATTGTAGGTGCCAAAGCAGACATACACTTACATAAACATGTGGGTGTGGCTGGATTTGGCTCACAGGCTGTAGTGTGCTGACCCTGGCCTAGAAAGTAATCTTTCAGATGTATCTACTTTCAAGATTGGAAAACCAAAATATCAACTTCCTGACTGGTCCAAAGAGAGTACATCACTATTAAATATTTGCTGACTGACTTCCATCCTGTCAGGTGGGATACTGCTGACTCTGGTCCAAGCTGGTATACTCAGTGAGAAAGAGCTGGGATGGGGCCATAGTTGGGGCTCAGAGTGGCTGAGTTTGGAGGAAAAATCCTCCAACTCCCTGTTTCCAATGTGGCTTAGGGTGGTTCGTGCTGTTGCTACCATACCCACCTCTGCACCTCCCATGATGCTTTCTGATCCCTACTACACGGCTGACAGTACTGTCTCTGTAGGCCACTGCTCTTCTGAAAACCATTATTTCTACTCCAGCTGAAGAGATTTTGTCCTTTGAAGACTGATAGCTCTGTTAGCTAATACCATAAAGCCTGGCTTTGAAGCATTTTTCACTATTTTGGAGGCTAGAGACTAGCCTGGCTCTTTTAGCTTCCTCCATTAAGAGGCATTCCCCAGTTGTCCCAGGTCAGAGGCTGGTTTCAGTGACAGTGTCCTTGGGACCTGACCCTCAATTACAAAGTCACCTTGACTCCCTCTTCCGGGGTATTCAGGGAAGATCTTGAAAACTGGACATCCTTTGTCTTGCTGCAGTATTTCAGAATTTCCAGGAGTAGTTATGAAATTAGCTCACCATAGTGGGCTAGTCAGAAAAGCACTTTTTAAAATTCCTGTATCCTTTCTGGAGAAAAAGTAGTAACTCATATCAGCAAATGTCTTGGCTGTGGCTTCTATATCTTAAAGTTCTTTGTAAATCAACACTCAGGACTCAATATTAAGTATATGACACCTAAGAGACCTTTCTGGGCTTAATTGAGCTCTAACATCATTTGTGTACATTTTGGGGTCAGGAAAAAATATTTCAGACTCTGATTTCAGATATATTCCATGGAAAAACAAACATTATTTGAAGTGCACAGTGTCTTTTAGTTAGTGCTTTTTGTTCAATGGCCTATTCAGGGTGTTTTTTCTTTTTTAAGGTTTTGATGGGTTTTATTTAACAGGACCTAAAACAATGTTGTCATGGGGACAAAAATCTCTTTTTAAATTGCTTATTGAAACATTAGTCATGTGAGTTCACAAAGATATGATAAAAATTTTATCACAATACTGTTTAGTTAGAAAAGCACTGGACTGTGTCTCCCCCAGATTCCCAGTGCACATTCCCTTTGACATGTTGACATTTCTGAAACCCAGCAGCTGAACTTGCTTTGACAATTGGCCAAGCAGATGGTGCTCTCAACCTTAGTCCCAGCACCTGTTTCCCTAGATTCCATCCAGCCTGTAAACTCAGTTCCAATGTCACCTGCCACATTCCAGATGGGACCAGGTTGTATGTTCTCGAACTTCTTTGTTCTCTAGTCTCTAACCCTCTGAATCTCCCAAGGGACACTGTGTGGTCTCACCACTTCATTGCCCCTTCTATGAGCATTGTGGGGTAGAGCAGAGAGTGGTCATCCTCAGGGGCCATCCCAATGCTAGTTTCTTGAGATGCCAGATTCCAGGCTGTGAGGTCAACTAGATGCCTGTAGAATACTGGAGTGACATGGAGCAGCTGCTGCTGTTGGGGAAAGCGGATTCCTACCTCATGGTCCACTCCCACACACCCCAGCAAAGCAGTGGCCACATGCAGAGGGTGTCCTGATCGATTGTTAGTTCACAGACATCCATGTCCTTTGAGAAAAGGAGATGACAGTCCTTTGGCAAGAATCTTCGACCTACCCCTCATCCAGGAAGGGTGCCTATGGGGGTGTTCAGCTAAGAGAACAAGATCGAGGAGATTCCCTTCCCCTGCGGTGCCTCTGCCCAGCCTCACCTACTCCACTCAATTTCTTTACAAGGAATTGCAGGAAAGCCTGGAAGTATAGACAATGTAGCCTTAGGAAATTCCATTCAGGTGGTGCTATTCCTGCAGAAGTTCTTTATTGTTTTTACTGTGCTGCTGGTACTTTATTCATCACCTCCGCCAATCCCTGGTGGGAGTACTTGCTTGCACTCCTAGCACACTCAGGCAGTGGATAGCTCACTTAACCTTTGTTGAAAGAATACTAGGTCAGGCGCGGTGGCTCACGCCTGTAGTCTCAGCACTTTGGGAGGCCCATGCAGGTGGATCACCTGAGGTCAGGAGTTCAAGACCAGCCTGGCCAAAATGGCGAAACTCCTTGTCTACTGAAAATACAAAAAAATAGCTGGCCGTGGTGGTGGGCACCTGTAATCCCAGCTACTTGGGAGGCTGCAGGAGAATCACTTGAACCCGGGAGGTGGAGGTTGCAGTGAGCCAAGATCTCACCATGCACTCCAGCCTGGGTGACAAGAGTGAAACTCCGAATCAAAAAAAAAAAAAAAAAGAAAGAATATTTTATTTTTGCAAGTGAAGTCTAGTCATCACAGAGAATAATAATTACAAATAAAAATTTGGTAGGCACAGGACTAATTTTACTTTATAATGGTATAAGAAGTTATGAAAATTAAGACTTGATTTTTTAAATCCTAATATCAGCCTTAGGAAATAATATAATAGTTAAAATAATTTGTATATACCTATTATAAATAACAGAAATATATTAGAAATAAAATGTATGTATACTTATGAGAAACAATGACAAGATGTGTAACTTTTGTGGTATGATCTGCTGACACCAAATGTGTGGAGTTTTTTCTCCACACCAACCAATTCTCCAATACCAGCTGGGTGTTCTAGAATTCAGTTCAATTCTGGCACTATCTGGAGTGAGTATCATAATCTCACAAGCTAAGGGCTCAGTCCCGTGAGACTGCTCCCGCTTCAGATGTCCCACAAGACTCCTACAAAGCTTCCTGTACTTCTCAGCCACAAATGGGGATTCTTGCAAGTCTCTGCTTGTGTTTGTTAATTTTCTACAATGGATCACGTAACTCAGGAAGAGTTTACTTAAGTTAGTGGTTATAAAGGATACAGAAAGAGATGCATAGGGCAAGGACTGTAGGGTGGGGGTGCAGAGCATGCCAGACACACCACTCTCCCAGCACCACCATGTGTTCACCAACCTGGAAGGTCTCCCAGCTCCATTATTTCAGGGGTTTTATGGAGGTTTCAGTATGCAGGCTTGGTTGATTAAATCACTGACCATTGGTGATTGACTGAATCTCCAGCCTCTTTTCCCTCCCTGGGTGTCAGGGGTGGGGCTGAAAGGTTCAATCCTCTAATCATGCCTTCAAGCTATCCTGAAGCCATCCTGTACCAGCCCCCATCCTGAAGCTATAGGGGCCCCCAACCACTAGTCATCTCTTTAGCATAAAAAATATACTCATCACTCCAGAGATTCCAGGGGTCTTCAAAGATCTTGTGGTAGGAACCATAGACTAATACCAAATATTTTAACAAAAGATTCTCCTATCACCTTGTCACTCAGAAAATTCTAAGGGTTTTAGGAGCTCTGTGCCAGAAATCGGGAGTGAAGACTTAATACATATTTCTTATTATATCACAATATCACATGCTCTAACTTGTTCTACCTTTACTGAATGTTTCTGAAATTTATCATGAAGAATTTATTGGAAAGAAAAGCATAAAATTTTGAAAAATATGGATAAGAGAGGGCTATTTTTATCAGATATTTAAGTGATATTTAATGATATACTTATTCAAATATGATGATAGTGAGACTAGAAGAAAGAAAAACAGATAAAATATATTAGCTTGAAAAAGACCCTGGTATGTGCATGTGTAGGCATTGTGTTTGTATATGAATTTCATATGTAGTTTCAATAATATGAAATAACTGGAAAATGGGAAATTTGCTCAACAAATTGGGCTCTATCATTTTGTTAGTATATTAGCCAAATATACTAACCACTATACATATACACACAATAGCATATATGAGAGTTTTATCTTTTTCTCATGTAAGAGTCTAGTTGGTCTGGGATTGCAAGGCAGCTGTACTTCATAAGGTTGTTCAAGGATCTAGATTCCTTCCGTTTAATTACTCTGTCATCCCCTGGGACATTGTCCTTCTTCTCAGTGATTGAAGCTAGGTTTCTAGCCCACCTGCATTGCAGCTTGTGATAAAAGGGAAAGAGAAGAAATGTGTAGTAAGGGGGTTTTCTGTTAAGCATGTGACACAAAAGTTGCAAATACTTATGCATTCACATTCTGCTAATGAGTACATGATTACGTGACCATATCTATCTACATGAAAGGTCAAGAAATTTAGTCTGTAACTGGACAACAATGGGCTCAGCCACAGCTAACAGGGAGAACAGGATCCAATAGTATCAGAAAGATTGGGTTCTGAAGATTGTTAGCACATCTGGGTTGTGGTAGTTAGATGAAAAGTAAAAAAATCAGTTTAGATCCTCATATTTTACTGTATTTCAAAATAAATTCCAAATAGATATATAATCAAACCATGTAATAAGCATCCAAAAATGTTAGTTTTTATTACCATTTTCCAGGTACTATACTAAGTGCTTTTTATGGACTGTATTATTTAATCCATGCAGTGACCCTATGTTAAAAGAAAAACTTTAAACATATTAAATTTGAGCTTAATCGAGCAAGAAAAAAGAAACAAAAATGATTCATACTGAAATAGCCTCCAGAATCTAAACAGATTGAGACTTCAGGGCTGCTGCATGGTCGATAAGATTTGTGAACAGGAAAAGGAAAGTGGTTAAGTTAGTGCTTATAAAGGATACAGAAAGAGATGCATAGGGCAAGGACTGTAAGGTGGGGGTGCAGAGCATGCCAGACACACAGAAAACAGAAGTGAGGTACAGAAACAGCAGGATTGGTTACAGCTCAGCATTTTCCTTATTTTAACTTGTTTTGAACAGTTGACTACCTGTGACTTGTTGAGGTATGGCTGCTGGGATTGGCTGAGACCATTGTGCCTGTAGTACCTTATTTAACTACTCCATAACTTAACCCAGTAGAATGAGTTTCCCTATCACTGGAGATGTCCTCAGGGATATCACATAAAGGAAATACATTTTCTTTCTTTTTTTTTTCTTTTTTTTTTTTTTTTGAGACAGAGTCTTGCTCTGTTGCCCAGGTTGGAGTGCAGTGATGTGATCTTGGCTCACTGCAAACCTCCACCTCCTGGGTTCAAGTGATTCTCCCACCTCAGCCTCCTGAGTAGCTGGGATTACAGGCGTGTGCCACCACGCCTGGCTAATTTTTGCATTTTTAGTAGAGACGGGGTTTCACCATGTTGATCAGGCTGGTCTCCAACTCCTGACCTCATGATCCACCTGCCTCAGCCTCCCAAAGTGCTAGGATTACAGGCATAAGCCACTGCACCTGGCCAGGAAATACATTTTCTAATAATTTCTTTGCTATTGTGACAGCAGCAGCTTTTCTACTTGGGAAAGCCTCTACCCAATTAGAAAACATACAGACTATTACAAGAAAGTACTGATACCAGTGAGGGTGGCAACTGAATGAAGTCCATCTGGAAATGTTGAAATGATCCATCAGTGGTGGAAATATGCCACCTGAAGTCTCAATTGTTTTCCCTGGATTATGAGTTTGACAACCCAAACATAGGTTGTAAACTATTTTAGCAATTTGGGAAGTCATGCCAATTGTGTCTATTCCATAATGAGTTATAGAGTACAGAACTTTTAACAATGGAAGCTTCAAAGACTTAGGAAGGCCCTCTGTGAGTCTACCCTTAACATAAAATTTATATCCAGTTAGATACCAATTTTGTTTTTCCAAATCAGATTAATTGTAGTGTTTATTAAATAGGTCATCATAAGAGAGTAGACTTGGATCAATCTTACGGAGTTTTTCAAATTACATATTCTAACAGTTTCATCACTACCTGATTTAGCATAAAAATCTGCTAGGACATTCCTTGATATTTAGGTGCAGTTTTACAAGTATGGGCTTTTATCTTAATGGCAATCTTTAATAGTAACAGGATAGCAGAAAGGAGTTTATCTAGTTGGAGTCTGTTTTTGATGGGGTTTCCACAAGAAGTGAGAAGCTTTTAGTGTTTCCATAATGTGCCCAAATCATGTACTACTTCAAAAGCATATCTACTATCTGCATAAGTATTTACTGACTTGTCTTTAGCTATACAACAAACTCTGGAGAGAGCAAAAAGCTCCACAGGTTGAGCTGACTTAAATTGAGGAAGAGTTTCCTTCTCTGTTAGCTCATTTTGCTTCGTAAGGACATAGCCTGCCTGATATTTTCCTTCTGAGTTTTCGGCATGGGACCCCTGAACAAAAAGTATTAGTGCAGGATTATCCAACAGAGTGTTTTAATCAATGCGATGGGCCACTATTTCTGATGCTACACGTAATGTATTTGTGACCTTCACCATCATCAGGCAGAGAGAATAGAATAGCAGGATTAAGTAGACTATAGCATTTTAGATGGAGATTGGAAGGAGATAGGAGAATTTCATGTTAGTTTAATTGCTGAAAAATGCTGAGTTTGGTTGGAATTTAATAGATTTTCCACAGCATGTGGGACTTGCAAATTATCTTCATTCCCTGAAATCAGCTCAGATTAAGCTTCTACCAACATAGCTGCTGCTGCTACTGCTTTTAAGCAATTAGGCTATGCTTTAGCTACTGAGTTTAGTTGCAGGCTATAATAGGCAGTGGGCCTATTTTGCCTTCATGTTCTTAGGTAAGAACTCCTAATGCCTGATTGTTATGTTCATGGACAAACAAGGTAAAATATTTAGTATAATTAGGAAGTCCTAAAGCTAGGGGCTGTTTTAAGGCCAATTTCATTTGGCTAAAAGCCTACCCATGACTATTTTCCCAAAGGCTCTGGTATTGCCTTTCTAATGAGCTCACACAATGATGATGCCATTAAGGAACAATTTGTGACCCAGCAATATCCTGCAAGACCAAGAAAATCTCTTAATTGTCTTTTGGTTGCAGGCTAAGAAAAACTTTGAGTAGTTTTTATTCTCTCAGCAAGAAAGAAATCCTTTTAGCATCAAGTCATGTCCCAAATAGTGAACGTTTTCTTCTGAACACTGGTTTTTTCACTGAAACTTTGTGACCTTTATGTTAGTTGCTGTAAAAAGTAAATTGAGTCAATTTCAGAGATCTTTAGTGGGAGATTATAACAACAGGTCATCTACATACTGAATAAGAGGAGTATTTCAGGAAACTATAGGGTTATAAAGTCCTGATGCAATGCCTGGGAAAAATATGAAGAGGCTTCAATAAACCCATTACAGTCTGGGTGTACTGCTGATTTTTCCAATGAAAGCAAACAAGTGTCGACTCTATGAATTGGAATGCTAAAGAAGGCTGAATAGAGGTCTATTATTGTCAACCACTTTGAATCAGCAAGGGCATTAGATAATAAAAGTATTAGGATTTGGGACTACAGGAAACCTTAGTATTACAATTTTATTAATTTCCTGTCAATCTTGAACAAATCTCTGACCTCATTCATTGATTTTTTTAAGTGGTAGAATTTGAGTGTCACAAGGACTGGTACACAGAATTGTAAGTCTTTGTTTAATTAAATCTTCTACAGTTGGTGAGGGCCCTTGAATTGCTTCAGATTTTAGTGGATATTGGGGTAATTTAGGCCAAGGTTTAGAATGATCTACTTGAACTTTTATAAGTTCCACACTTTTAATCCTCCCTATATCAGTTGAGGAAGAGACCCATAAACATTCAGGTATTTTAAATAGGTCAGGGGTATTATAAGCCTGAATTTCAAACTTACCAATTTCTAGCTGTAGTGAGCATAATATTTCTGGTTCAGGAGAGTCCAGAAATTCTAACATTAGTCTCCCTCTGAGGAGAATTTTTTTTTTTTTGTGACGGAGCTTTGCTCTTGTTGCCTAGGCTGGAGTGCAATGGTGTGATCTTGGCTCACTGCAACCTCCACCTCCCAGGTTCAAGCTATTCTCCTGCCTCAGCCTCCCAAGTAGCTGGGATTACGCATGCACCACCATGCCAGGCTAATTTTGTATTTTTAGTAGAGATAGGATTTCTCCATGTTGATCAGGCTGGTCTTGAACTCCCAACCACAGGTGATCCTCCCACCTTGGCCTCCCAAAGTGCTGGGATTACAGGTGTGAGCCACTGCACCTGGCCGAGAATTTTTTTTTTAATTGAGACAAGGTCTTGCAATATTGCCCAGGCTGATCTTGAAGTCCTGAGCTCGAGTAATCCTTCCACTTCACCCTCCTGAAGTGCTGGGATTACAGGCATCAGCCACCATACCCAGCCAGAGGAGAATTTTATATGCTCTTTTGGCTTTGAAATTAAGTCTTGCCCTAGCAAGTTTTCTGGAGCATTATCACATGGTAAAATATATGTTTTTTTTTAAATGACCCTAAAGTCAATTGGACAGGTTCAGATATGGGAACTTCTTGAGCTTGATTCGAAACTCCAGCACAGAAATGACCTTCTTATTCTGAGGGATTTGTTCATGTATTAAAGTGGGATTTATGGTAGATAAGGTGGCTCTAGTATCCACCAGGATTGTACAAGACTCTCCACTTATTTTAACTTGTTTCTTTATGTTTATTTAAGAGTATTATTAGGAACAGTTTGCTGGAGAATACCTTAGAACCTCTTACGTGTTGATTATCATCATAAGAGTTAAAATCTCTTGGGCTCTCTCTCGTGGTCTAAAAGGAGGCTTATTGGTGGACTGATATAAAACCCAACCATCTCTTTTCCAGTGTACAAGGTGGAGACACCTTGGGGTAAAGAATTTCTTGTTGTAGGACCTCCTGATTGTGATTTAAAATAAAAATGTGAAAGTCCCTTTAGTCTTGGTAACTGTTGTAATTGGAGTGACATAGGCTTGTTAGCTTTTTGGGTTTTTTCTTTCTCTAGAGTCCTCTCAAAATGTTCAGCTAAGGCCAACCATTTAGTCATATCTGTAATTTCCCATCCTAGTTTATGTTTTTTAATTAAACTACTAAGTTTAGGACAGAGTGCATTTATAAATACAACAGTTAATGCTGTTTCAGTCCCTGCAGGAAATACTCATTGTATTTTGAGCCCAGAGTGTTTCACAAATAGTGTTTCTAAGTGAATTCTGTAATCTGAAACTGGGTCATCCTTTTTGCCTGAAAGATTGTGTGATGAACCAATCAATTTTTTGTGGAAGAATCTTATGAATTGAATTTAAATGGTTTTCAGCAATTTTTCTAGCTCATTTTGGCCCTCTCCATGAGGAGGTTTTGGAGGAGTCTTTAATACCTTCCTCGCATTTGTCCCATTCTGCCTCTATGATTCATTTTCACACTTCGTAAAGCCCTAATATCATGTGAGTAAACTGGCAAAGATGAGGGAGTCCTGGATCATAAGCTCCTATGAGGATTCCACATTCCTTAGTAAAGTTTTGAGGATTTTCCCTTAGATCAAGGAAGTCCTTTACCATGACTCTAAGCTTAGACCATGAGTAAAGGTTATGGCAGAAAGGCCTGGCTGATCAGAGGGCCTTGCTTTGTACGGAGTCTAACTTCTCTTATCACCATCTTCAGGGTGAAAGGGTAATTTAGCAAAGAGGTTAGTGGACACTCAGAGTATTTAGGTAGAGTTGGATAAAGAGAGGGAACAGTTGGGGTTAGTTTATGCAGAGTATAGTCCTCTTTCATCTGTTACTTAAGCTTATTTGTTTTTTGCAAAGAATATTTTAAGGAGGCAGTTTTAAATTTATTTAGTCTTGTAGATGCTCTGCATACCAATTAAATAATACATCCCATTGTTTTTGTGGGTTTTTCATTTTTTTCCTAATATACATTTCAAATAAATAATTTTATCCCAATTAAAACTTCCCCACTGTGGCCATCTTAATTTTAAGTTGTCTCTAGTAAGGTTAGCCCGTTTTTCTGAAAATGGTTAAGGTATGGCTGCTGGGATTGGCTGAGACCCAGCTATGAGATCCAGCTATTGTTACAGAAGCATACTCCTAAGTTAGGTTTTCAGCTTGTTTGCCTATAAAGTTAGGTTGTGGTTTATTCATAAGAACTCCAGTTTGTGAGTCTGGAGGCTTTCTGAGGCCAAATTTAGTTTGACTTAACATCCTATAAAAGAGACTGTGATGAGATTCCAGTTGATAAGTGGGAAAAAAATGAAAACAGTTCACAGAACAGAAAATATAAATGGCTAATGAGGATTTTTTATATCGTTAATTTCACTGAAAAGAAAAATGAATGTAAGTTTAAAATTGAGAAACCATTTTCACTTACTGAATAGTTTAAAATATTAGGAAATATTTTATAAAATATTCATTCTTGGGTAGGGTAGCTTGTAGAATAGAAACTGCCAGAGCCAGTGCATGTCAGGAGCACTGGCCTAGCCCACATTCATGTTCTTTGTATTCCAGAAATTTCACTTTCAGGAATCTTTACAAGAAAAGAATCAGAGCAAGGACAAAGCATTACTTACTGTCACACACAGATAAAATCAGAAACTATGTAAATGTCTAAAAATGGGAGAATGACTAAAGAAACTGTTGTGTGTACAAAAAGTAATACCACTTCTGATTTAATTTGCTTATAGTGTTAGTAACATGGGAGCATGCGTGCCTCTGATACAATTTTAAGTGAAAAAAATTAGGATATAAAATTATCATAAATTAGATCTGCATTATGTTTTTTAACAAGCATAGAAAATATATTGGAAGTAGATATGTTAATTTTTGCAGCAGCCAGCACTGAGACTCACAACAGCCTAACATGCTAAGCTCCCTGGGCCAGGGAAGGGTGACACTCATTTCTATAGCTTGAGGCTGCACTTTTCCCCTGCTAGGGCCAGGGAGGCTGGACAGCTTGGTCCCACGACTTGTCCCCACAGCCCAACAAGCCAGCTGTGGCAGTCGGCAGCTAGAGTGCCTCTTCAGGTCTAACCCTGACCCATCCTTCCTCAGTGGGCAGGTCTTCCCTGCAGGATCTCCAATAACTCCAGCCAGAGGCTGAGGGACAGAATTTGGATCTCCCGGGGCCCAAGCCCATAGTGGGAGGGGTGGCCACAGTCTCTGTGGACCAGCAGACTTAGCCTCTACTCCTGGTAGTTCTGAGGAATCCAGGCAGCCCAGACAAGTGGGTTTTGCCCCAGCAAAATACAACCTCTCCACCAAGGGACAAAGTGCTTCATTAAACGGTTCCTGCTCCCCATGCCACCCAACTGGGTGAGACCCTCCAACAGGGGTTGTCAAACATCCTATACGGGATCAATCCTACTGGCATCAGGTTGGTGCCCCTTGAGGTCAGAGGTCCCAGAAGAAGGAGCAAGTACCCATCTTTGCTGCTCTCCAGCCTCCTTGAGTGACATCTCCAGGCATGGGAGTGAATCCGATGAATAAGGCCTGAAGCAAACCCCCAGCAAACTGCAGCAGCCCTACAGAAGAGGGACCTGACTACTGAAAGAAAAACAAGCAGAAAGCAACAACAACAGCATCAACAACAACAAAAAGGCCCCACAAAAACCCCATCCAAGGGTCAGCAGCCTCAAAGACTGAAACTAGACAAACTCACAATGATAAGAAAGAATGAACAAAAAAATGCTGAAAACCCAAAAGGCCAGAGTGCCTCTTCTCCTCCAGATGATCACGTCTCTCCGTCAAGGGTGCAGAACTGGATAGAGGATGAGACGGACAAATTGACAGAAGTAGGCTTCAGAAGATGAGTAATAAAAAACTATGGTGAGGTAAAGGAGCGTGTTCTAACCCAATGCAAAGAAGCTAAGAACCTCGATAAAAGGTTACAGGAATTGGTAATTAGAATAACCAGTTTAGAGAGGAACATAAATGACCTAATGGAGCTGAAAAAAACAGCATGAGTACTTCGTAAAGCATACATAACTATCAACAGCTGAATTGACCAAGTGGAAGAAAGGATATCAGAGTTTGAAGACTACCTTGCTGAAATAAGATATGCAGACAAGAGTAGGGAAAAAATAATGAAACGGAAGGAACAAAGCCTCCAAGAAATATGGGACTTCATGGAAAGACTGAACCTACAATTGATTTGAGTACCAGAAGGAGAAGGGGAGAATGGAAACAAGCTGGAAAACACAATTGAGGATATTATCCAGGAGAACTTCCCCAAGCTAGCAAGACAGGCCAACATGCAAATTCAGGAAATACATAGAACACCACTAAGACACTCCATGAGAAGAGCAACCCCAAGACACACGATCATCAGATTCTCGAAGGTCAAAGTGAAGGAAAAACTGTTAAGGGCACCCAGAGTGAAAGGCCAGTTTACCTACAAAAGGAAGCCCATGAGACTAACAGCAGAACTCTCAGCAGAAACTCTACAAGCTAGAAGAGATTGGGGGTCGATATTCAACAATCTTTAAGAAAGAATTTTCAACACAGAATTTCACATCCAGCCAAACTAAGCTTCATAAGCAAAGGAGAAATAAAATCCTTTCCAGACAAGCAAATGCTGAGGGATTTTGTTACCACCAGGCCTGCCCTTCAAGAGCTCCTGAAAGAAGCACTAAATATGGAAAGGAAAAACCAGTACCAGCCACTGCAAAAACACACCAAAATATAAAGACCAATGACACTACAAAGAAACTGCATTAACTAGTGTGCAAAATAACCAAATAGCACCATGATGACAGGATCAAATTCACACATAACAATACTAATCTTAAATGTAAATGGGCTAAATGCCCCCATTACAAGACATAGACTGGCAAATTGGGTAAGGAGTCAAGACCCATCAGTGTGCTGTATTCAAGAGACCCATCTTACATGCAAAGACACACACAGGCTCAAAATAAAGGAATGGAGGAAAATTTGCCAAGCAAATGCAAAGAAAAAAAAAAAAAAAAAAAAAAAAAAAAAACCAGGGGTGGCAATCCTAGTCTCTGACTAAACAGACTTTAAACCAACAAAGATAAAAAAGACAAGGAAGGGCATTACATATTGGTAAAGGGAACAATTCAACAAGAAGAGCTAACTATTCTGAATATATATGCACCCAATACAGGAGCACCCAGATTCAGAAAACAAGTTCTTAGAGACCTACAAAGAGACTTAGACTCCCACACAATAGTAGTGGAAGACTTTAACATCTCACTATCAGTATTAGACAGATCAAAGAGACAGAAAACTAACAAGGATATTCAGGATTTGAACTCAGCTCTGGATCAAGTGGACCTAGTAGATGTCTACAGAACTCTCTACCCCAAATAAACAGACTATAAATTGTTCTCAGTGCCACATGGCAATTATTCTAAAATTTACCATGTAATTGGAAGTAAAACACTCCTCAGCAAATGTAAAAGAACTGAAATCATAAACAGTCTCTCAGTGCAATCAAATTAGAACTCAGGATTAATAAACTCACTCAAAACCACACAATTTCATGGAAATTGAACAGCCTGCTCCTGAATGACTTCTGGGTAAATAATGAAATTAAGGCAGAAATTCAAAGAAGTTCTTTGAAACCAATGAGAACAAAGAACGTACCAAAATATCTGGGACACAGCTAAAGCAGTGTTAAGAGGGAAATTTATAGCACTAAATGCCCACATCAGAAAGCTACAAAGATCTCAAATTGACACCCTAACATCACAAAAGAGTTAGAGGCAAGAGGAAACTAATCCAAAAGCTAGCATAAGACAAGAAATAACTAAGATCAGAGAAGAATTGAAGGAGATAGAGACACAAAAAACCCTCCAAAAAAATAAATCCAGAAGATTGGTTTTTTTTGAAAAAATTAACAAAATAGATAGACTGCTGGCTAGACTAATAAAGAAGAAAACAGAGAAGGAAGAATCAAATAGACCCAATAAAAAAATGATAAAAGGGATATCACCACTGATCCTACAGAAATACAAACTACCATCAGAGAATACTACAAACACCTCTATGCAAACAAACTAGAAAATTTAGAAGAAATGATTAAACTCCTGGATGCATACACCTTACCAAGACTGAACCAGGAAGAAGTTGAATCCCTGCATAGACCAATAACAAGCCTGAAACTGATGTAGTAATTAATAGCTTACCAACCAAAAAAGCCCAGGACCAGATGGATTCACAGCTGAATTCTACCAGAAATACAAAGAGGAGCTGGTACCATTCCTTCTGAAACTATTCTAAACAATTTAGAAGGAGGGACTCCTCCTTAACTCATTTTATGAAGCCAGCATCATCCTGGTACCCAAACTGGGAAGAAACACAACAACCACAAAAAAACTTCAGGCCAATACCATAGATGAACATTGATGTGAAAAATCCTCAGTAAAATACTGGCAAACTGAAACCAGCAGCACATCAAAAAACTTATCCACCATGATCAAGTCGGCTTCATCTCTGGGATGCAAGGCTGGTTCAACATACACAAATCAATAAATATAATCCATCACATAAACAGAACCAAAGACAAAAACCACATGATTATCTCAACAGATGCAGAAAAGGCCTTTGATAAAATTCAACATCCCTTCATGTTAAAAACTCTCAATAAACTAGTTATTGATGGAACAGATCTCAAAATAATAAAAGCTATTTATGAGAGATCCACAGCCAATATCATATTGAATGGGCAAAAGCTGGAAGCATTCCCTTTGAAAACTGGTACAAGACAAGGATGCCCTCTCTCACCACTTGTATTCAACATAGTATTGGAAGTTCTGGCCAAGGCAATCAAACAAGAGAAAGAAATAAAGGGTATTCAAATAGGAAGAGAAGAAATCAAGTTATCTCTGTTTGCAGACGACTTGATTTTATATTTAGGAAGCCCCATCATCTCAGCCCCAAAACTTCTTGAACTGATAAGGAACTTCAGCAAGGTCTCAGGATACAAAATCAATGTATAAAAATCACAAGCATTCATTTACACCAACAATAGGCAAGCAGAGAGGCAAATCATGAATGAACTCCCATTCACAATCGCTACAAAGAGAATAAAATACATAGGTATACAGCTATCAAGGGATGTGAAGGACCTCTTCAAGGAGAACTACAAACCACTGCTCAAGGATATAAGAGAGAACACAAACAAATGGAAAAACATTCTATCCTCGTGGATAGGAAGAATCATGATCATGAAAATGGCCCTACTGCCCAAAGTAATCTATAGATTCAATGCTATTCCCATCAAACTACCATTGACATTCTTCACAGAATTAGAAAAACTATTTTAAATTTCATCCAGAATCAAAGAAGACCCCATATAGACAAGACAATCCTAAGCAAAAAGAACAAAGCAGGAGGCATCATGCTACCTGACTTCAAACTATACTACAAGGCTACAGTAACCAAAACAGCACAGTACTGGTACCAAAACAGACATACAGACCAATGGAGCAGAACGGAGACCTCAGAAATAACACCACATGTCTACAACAATCTAATCTTCGTCAAATCTGACAAAAAACAAGCAATGGGAAAATGATCTCCCATTCAGTAAATGGTCCTGGGAAAACTGGCTAGTTATATGCAAAAAACTGAAACTGGACCCCTTCCTTAGACCTTATACAAAAATTATCTCAAGATGGATTAAAGACTTAAATGTAAAACCCAAAACTATAAAAACCCTAGAAGAAAACCTAGGCAATACCATTCAGGGCATAGGCATGGGCAGAGACAAAAATGCCAAAAGCAATGGCAACAGAAGCCAAAATTGACAAATGGGATCTAATTAAACTAAAGAGCTTTTGCACAGCAAAAGAAACTATCATCAGAGTGAACAAGCAGCCTACAGAATGGGAGAAAATATTTGCAAACTATGCATCTGACAAAGGTCTCATATCCAGAATCCATAAGGAACTTAAACAAATTTACAGGAAAAAGACAAACTACCCCATCAAAAAGTGGGCAAAGGATATGAACAGACACTTCTCAAAAGAAGACATTTATGTAGCCAACAAACCTATGAAGAAAAGCTCACCATCACTGATCATCAGAGAAATGCAAATCAAAACCACAATGAGATACTATCTCGAGCCAGTTAGAATGGCAATTATTGAGAAGTCAGGAAACAACAGATGCTAGAGAGGATGTGGAGAAATAGGAACGCTTTTACACTGTCCGTGGGAATGTAATTAGTTCAACCATTGTGGAAGACAGTATGGAGATTCCTCAAGGATCTAGAACCAGAAATACCATTTGACCCAGCAGTCCCATTACTGGGTATATACCCAAAGGAGTATAAATCATTCTGCTATAAAGACACATACACACATATGTTTATCGCAGCACTGTTTACAATAGCAAAGACATGGAACCCACTCAAATGCCCATCAATGATAGACTGGATAAAGAAAATGTGGTACATATACACCATGGAATACTATGCAGCCATAATAAGGAACAAGATCATGTCTTTTGCATGGACATGTATGAAGCTAGAAGCCGTCATCCTCAGCAAACTACCACAGGAACAGAAAACCAGACACCACATGTTCTCACTCATAAGTGGGAGTTGAACATTGAGAACACATGGACACAAAGGGGAAACAACACACATCAGGGCCTGTTGGGAGGTTGGGGGTGAGGGGAGAGAACTTAGAGGATGGGTCAATAGGTACAGCAAAAGAAAAAAGAAAAACAAATTGACAGAAAAAATGGTAACAAAAATAAAAATAGGATAGTTTCCTTTTGGCTTACCTGAAGTGGCTATTTTAGCTATTAGTTCAAATATTTGTAAATTTTAAAATCTATCAAATTTTCTAGTGACAGCATGTGGAAGAGAAAGTTATTGAAAAGTCAGTTAGCTAATTTTTCAGACTGCAAATCACATATGTAGAATTATGGTTGTCTAGAAGTATGTTGTTTATGTTTATCATCAGTATATTTTTATAAGACAACTCATACATAATTAGAAGTAGTAACGGCTACATAAAATAGAGCATTTTCATTTAAAACAATTCTGATGGGGTAGCATGGAAGGAAGAAAATTTTGGTAGAATTTAGCTGGTTTCTAAGGAAGAGTAGAAGAGAAAACTGCCTCAGAAAAAATGAATAATGTGCCTGCAGTTTTAAACCTGAGTCTGAATACGTACATTTTGCTTAGAGCTGTGTGGAATCTGGGAAGCAAGTCTGTGTTTTCACTTTATGCACTGTTGGTTCTATTAATGAAAGCCACCAGGTGACTGGCAGTTTTCGGAGTCAAAGAAGCCTGTGTGTAGGATCTAGGGAGTCAGGTTTGAAAAAAAGATGTCAGCGACTTAAGACCCGTGTCACGTGACTCCCTCTACTTGCCAGCACTGAGGCTGTGGATCAAATTTCAACTCCAGGCAGTCCTTCCAGCCATGTGGGTTCAGCGGAAAGAGAAGCAAAACCACTCTTCCTAAAATGTTAGAAGCTGCTCTTCGCTTACCTTGGGGCCTTTGCATTGGGAGCTGTTTTTCACATCAAAGAATATGTGCTGAATGGAATTTTAGTATTTTGCTGTCGTTTTAATATTTTCGTCTGGTCTTCCTCAGTTCTTCCAGACGCTTTCTGAGAGAATGGGGGCAGGAGCTCTAGCCATCTGTGTAAGTATAGGCCTTCTTCTGTCTTCTGTGTTTACTGCCAGTTTTTAGGAGAGGGCCTTGCCTTCCTTGTTTTGATGAGATGTTTGTGTAACTTATTTTTCCTTCCCAGGAGGTGGGGAAAGATTTGTTACTTAAATTCCTATCTACTTAAATGGGTATTAGGCAGGATTTGGGATGGCATTCAGCATATTTGTGCACTTTAGTTTCCAAAAAAGGTGAAAGATGCATGCTGATTTATTCCGTTAAGTCAACTTGATTTAAAGTAGAGCACTTTCAAGCATTTTAGACTTTCTTGTCCCTGAATAGTTAAACATGAATGCTTCATTATAGCTATTAGAGAAATCTTGTGGCTAGCTTGAGGAGGAATTGAAGTAACCATTAATTTATTACTTTTGAGTATGTGTGTGACATTTTTCTGTTTTATATTTCTATTTTCGTTTAGTAATTCTGGAGTTTCTGTTTCAGCATGATTGCTGAAAGTGATGGTGGAGAAGCTCAGTTGATAAATGTTTGTGTATCCTTAAACTGTAGAAATGAATGGTTGTTATAACACAGTAGCATTAATAAATAACACTGAAATAAAATCCTTGGGAAAATGTGCATATTTCTGGAGTTTTAGAATTTTTAGAATTTATGAATTTCTAAATTATTCTGCTGGTGCTTGTACAAAACCTTTTGTAATAATCAAAAATTGTCAATTATATAATTTGCAGAATGCTGTAATTTAAATTTTGATTGTACTATATAGAAAATGCATATATCTGTATGAGAATTACACATATTTATGTTTCAAGTTGCTATTGTATTCCATAGGGACATTTTATTTTCTAGAATGTATTAAATGAGAAATATCTTCTTCCTTATTATCACCTTAACTGCTCACTTAAAAAATCACACTCAGGCCAGATCCTCTTTTTTTGTGTGTGTTTCAGAAAGAGCTGCAATTTGCTGTAGCTTCTGATGGCATTCTGAAGTGTTTAGAAATATCTGAGCAATTTTTGACACACAGACACCAAATGGTCACCAAATGGTCACCAAATGGTAGACCAGCCCTATAGATTAAGTTTTCTTAGTGAAACTGCAGGATGACCTTGTTTCCAGGCTCAAAACTTTTCAGCACCATGTATGTCACTCTGTCTTCCTTTTAACTCTGAGGCTTAGTAGCATCCAGGTATCCATGTGGTTATTCTTTTTTTATCACCCCAAAGAGTTTCCTTCAAAATCTGATTTATCTATGTGTAAAATACTGACTTTTACTTTACTGCAGAGGTGGCCCTTCTATTTTTCTAGCTTTATAAAAGAAACAATACAGAACTGAAAATGTGTAGAATGAGGCAGCAGATAGGTCATGAAGATTGGTAGTCATCTCTGATTGTCTGATTAGATCTTTACTTCTTTCCCTTGACCTGCAATATATTGATCTCTACCTTGACTGGAATGCACACTGACTCATGTATAAAACTTTATATTTTCCCTTAATTTATATCCAAAGCATGTATAAAATTTCAGTTAAAGTTGACATAAAAATCACACAGTGTAAGAGATTATTCACTCTGGTAGATGAGTAATTCTCAATCATTTCTACCCTTCTCCTTAAGGTTGGCCTTTGATTGTGCTGTCTTGGTTTTACTGTAGGAGGAAATACATTTTCAACAGTTGTACCATAGCATATCTGGAAAAAGATAGCTTTTGGAGAACAACAAAAAAAATTTTAAACATCGTGACAAAAAAGGGAGAACTAAGTCACACATTAATACATTCAATGAGCTGATACACTACTTTTTACTTTGTGTAGGAGTGAAGAGAAAGCTTTTCCTCTGCCCTTTCTGCAATTTTATTGAAACAATTGGCAATAGATTAATAGGAGAAAAAGAGTTACAAATTTATTAATATGTATATGGATATGAGAGCCCCTCAAATATGAGATTCAAAGAAGGGCCAGGTGGTTGAAGCTTAAATGCCTTCTTTTTGGGGAAGAGAGAAGTAGGGAGCTGCAGGTAATTTTAGAGAGGTAGTAAATAATTTTTAAAGTGAATGAATGGGTTCAAAGAGCATGGCCTGGGACAGCGTTTCCCTGAGCTATGGTGAGGTGGTGGAAAGGTGAGGGGTGGAATGAAGGTTGTGTTTTTATGCAGATAAAGTCTCCCAGCCAATCTCTTGGAGCTGTCCTCAGAAGAATAGATGAAAAGTCAGTGTGGATATGGTGACAGCTTTTAGTCTCTTTTCTGATGGTTAATTTTTCATGGTTATTTGATGAGATTCTCAGGAAGTAGATCTTAAGACAATTGCATTTCTTTTGGAAAGAAGCTTCCTTAATCAGATAAGGAAATTCCAGAGAGAGTCACTCTCAGTGCTTTAGGAAAGAAAAAGAGAGACTGAGGGAGGGCAGGAGAGTGGAAAGGCAGAGAGAGACCTTGGTTCTGAGGCTTATTTCTGAGACATTTTAATTAAAAATACCCAGCATGCCAAAGCACCATATTTTGGGGTATAGCTTTTTGAACCCCAACATTTAGGACTTACATACTTATACATATATGTAGCAACTACTGAAATATCCTGCTGCTGAAGACATTAATACTTCAGACAGTATAATGAGTACTAGATATCTGTAGTACGTACGTGTGTGTGTGTGTGTGTGTCTGTGTGTATCTTTGTGTGTCTGTATGTGTGTGTGGACTCTTGAAGTGGGACACAAATTGGTTCCAATAAACTCAGTTTCTATGTCCATTGACTAACCTACTTTATCTTCCTCATTTCTTTTCTTTTTTAAACTCTTTGCCATGTTGTTAGTGTTAAGAAATTTTGCTGCTCATGATACTGTTGTAGGCTCAAAAATGTATTGCCAATCATGTGTACAAAGAAAATTTAGCTGCTTTACTGTAACAAATCTATTTTATTTTCAGTAAACCACCTATTCTGAGGTGGTGTAGGGAATTACAGTTGCCAGTTCATGTTATTTTAGTCTCTTCTAATTTTAAATGTCACTTTTGGATGATTCTGTTTCTCTCAGGTGAATCCTGAGTCAGATTTTCTGCTTCTCCTGCTGTTCTATCCAATGTGGCATCAGGATATATTAAAGATTGGTGGGCTGAAAGTGGGAGTTTGCATATTCTAGTGGATGAAGAAGGAGGAGTTGAAATGCATGTGTAGATTCTTATACTCTGGATATTATGATTTCTGGTGAATTTAGGTCTCAAATCTATGACTGGTCAATTTGTGAATTGGTTCTCTTGGTAATATCAGTGCCTAACAGTCCACCCCACCTGATTTGTCCCCAGTTCATGCTGGTGCTGATAATTTCAAGAATGCCCCAGGCCTCGTAGCCTTTCTCTCTAACTTGGGGACCTCTGCTTCTGTAGTCTTACCGCCTGGTACCATCAACTACCTTCCATGTATCCCATAGCGCAAGCAGGAACGTACAGTCGCGTTACAGAAAGGTCATATACCAAATTAAAATATGCCATTCATGGGATTTATTGAATCAACTTAAATCACAGCAAGAAGAAAGAGGAAAAGGATGAGGTTAGGTTTATCTTCTTTGACAGGGCTTAAGTGGGAAGAAAGGACCACACTCCCTGAATTCTGTGTTATTTAACGTTCAAATGTCCTGTTGCTCTTGCCTTCTGTGCCACATCAGCCTTTCCTGATCATGGTAATTATCAGTTCATGGAAAGATGTATGGCAAACACCATTCTGATGAGGTCACAGATGGAAATGAGGAACATGTTGTTGGAAACTGGAGGAAACATGATTTTTTGTTATAAAGTGGTGAAGAATTTGACTGAATTGTGTTTGTGTTCTAGTATTTTGTGGAAGGAAGAACTTGTGAGCAATGAAATTGGATATTTAACTGAAGCAATTTCTAAGTAAAGTGCTGAAATGGTGGCTTGGTTTCTCCTCACTGCTTGTAACTGTTTAACTGCTTATAGTTTACTCAGAAGAATAGATGAAAAGTCAGTGTGGATATGGTGACAACTTTTAGTCTCTTTTCTGATGGTTAATTTTTCACGGTTATTTGATGAGATTATAGTTTAAGCAGTTTCCTCCCCCTTGGTTTCTCCTGACTGGCATATGGTTCTTTGTACATATGTGAGAAGGGATAAATGACCTAAAGATGGAGTTGTTAATCAGAAAGGAAGCAGAACTTAAAGATTTGGAAAATTCTCAGCCTATCGATACTATTAAAAATAAGATAGCCAGTGGGGAGAGAGAGTTCTAGGTGGGGAACACTAAAAGTGTGGCCAAGCCATTGTTTTATAAGGAAATTAATATGTATCAGCCATGTCAACAGAAGCCAGGAGGTATTCTCCAAGATAACGGAAGAATTACCCCAAAGGCAGTTTAAAAATCCTCAGAGCTATTACTCTCATCCCAGGCCCAGAGTGCAAGTTCCTTGAAGGAAGAGTAGTTTCAAAGGAGGGACTACTGTGCCTGGTGCTTGTGGGACTTCAGAAAGTGCTACCCAGGGGGTGGGGGGAGGGGGGAGGGATAGCTTTAGGAGATATACCTAATGCTAAATGATGAGTTAATGGGTGCAGCACACCAGCATGACACATGTATACATATGTAACTAACCTGCACATTGTGCACATGTACCCTAAAACTTAAAGTATAATAATAATAAAATAAAATAAAGTAAAGTAAAATAAAATAAAAGAAAAAAGAAAAAAGAAAAAAAAAAAAGAAAGCGCTGCCCAGAACCTCCTTACATCTTAGGCTCAGCTCCCACACTCTAGTGCCACACTTTATAGCTGCCCCATTGTGACTCCAAAAGGCTCAGTGAAGCAGGGTGGCTGCCCTTCCAAAGGGTACAGGCAGCAAACTTTAGTGACCACATAGAGCTGTCTCTGCCGGTGCCCAGAGTGCATGAGACATAGTAGCCTGGCTGCCTCTACATAGATTTCAAGGATGGGACCAACATTTCACGGAGCCACAGTGTGAGATTTAGGCAGAGAGTTGCTGCAGGACCAACCCACCAAAGCCATGGGGGCAGGA
Organism: Homo sapiens; assembly: GCF_000001405.40. Taxonomy (NCBI): domain Eukaryota; kingdom Metazoa; phylum Chordata; class Mammalia; order Primates; family Hominidae; genus Homo; species Homo sapiens. The sequence continues at coordinate 89,051,942 of NC_000004.12, read as the reverse complement.
GCACCTAGAGACTTAGGGGCTCAACCTCTGCCCAGCAAAGATGTGGAGGCAGGTCCCAGTGGCCTGAAGGTCAGAGATTGAGCCAAAAAGGATTATTCTTGAGCCTTAAGATCTAATGAAATTTTGTTCCATTGGGTTTTGGATTTTTTTCAGGACCTGCCATTCCTTTCTTCTTTTCTATTTCCCTTTCTTGAATGGGAGTGTTTATCCTATGCCTGACCCACCTTTGTATTTTGGAAGCACGTAACTGGTTTGATTTCACAGGCTCACAGCTAGAGAGGAGTTTGCCTCAGTATGAATTGTACCTTGAGTCTTACCCATAGTTGATTTAGATGATATTTAGATGAGACTTTGGATGTTAGACTTTTGAGTTGATGCTGGAGTGAGTTAAGATTTTAGGGACTGTTGAGATGGAATGAATGTATTTTGCATGCGAAAAGGATACGAATTTTGGAGGAACAGAGGTGGAATGCCATAGAGTAAATGTTTGTACCTCCAAAATTCACATGTTGAAACCTATTCTCCAATGTGATGATATTTGGAATTGAGGACTTTGGGAGGCGATTAGGTCATGAATGTGATGCCCTCATGAATGGGACTATTACCCCTATAAAAGAGACCCCAGAGAATTATTTGACCCCTCTGCCATGTAAAGAAACAGCAAAAAGATAGCCATTTGTGGAACCAGAAAGCCAGCCCTCATTAGACACTGAATCTGTAGGTGTCTTGGATCTTGGACTTCACAGCCTCTAGAACTGTGAGAAATAAATTTCTTTCATTTATAAGCACATCCAGTTTATGGTATTTTTTGTTGTAGCAGTCTGAACAGATTAAGACAGTCTGTTAAGCTACTTCCTTGCATATTACCCATATGTAGTTGTATCTGTCCTCCTCATTGTTTCTCTTGTTCTCTATTTAGTAGAATCAAATTTTCTTAGGTAGTACAACAGACAAATATTGCATAAGTTCAAGTTTCAAGACCATGATGGTTATCTTTGTAGTTCTTTTTTTTTGGAGATAGAAGTCTTGCTCTGTTGCCCAGGCTGGAGAGCAGTAGTATTATCTCAGCTCACTCTAACCTCCGCCTCCTGAGTTCGAACAATTCTCCTGCTTCAGCCTCCTGTGTAGCTGGGATTACAGGCACCCACCACCACACCCAGCTGATTTTTGTATTTTTAGTAGAGACAGGGTTTCACCATGTTGGCCAGGCTAGTCTTGAACTCCTGACCTCAGGTGATCCACCCGCCTTGGCCTCCCAAAGTGCTAGGATTACAGGTGTGAGCCACCATACCTGGCTTTAGTTCTAGTTTGATGTTTGGTATCAGATTCATCCCACGCAGACTACAGTTAGGTTTTCTAAATACCAAGATTAATTTCTTGATTTTTGTAAAAAAAAAGCTGTTTTTTATTTGGAGTTTTAGAAAGAACATGAGTTTTGTCCAGGCACAGTGGCTCACACCTGTAATCCCAGCACTTTGGGATGCCAATGCAGGTGGATCACTTAAGGCCAGGAGTTCAAGACCAATGTGGCCAACATGACAAAACCCCATCTCTACTACAAATACAAAAAAAATTAGCTGGGAGTGGTGGCACACACCTGTGATCCCAGCTTCTCAGGAAGCTGATGCATGCGGATCTCTTGAACCCAGGGGCAGGGTTGCAGAGATCATACCACTGCACTCCAGCATGGGTGACAGAGCTTGTGAGACTCTGCCTCAAAAAAAGAAAAAAAAAGAGAAGAGGAAAGAAAGGACATGAGTTTTGTTTGGAGACTTCCATACCTGGCAAGTCCTGGTTTTCGTCACTGACTACACTCTGATCCTAGTCATTAGTAAGCAGTGTGGTGCTGTCTTGATAGATTTTAGGTAATATCTGACCATCTGTTCAACTTCCCTGTACTATTTGTCTTTCTCAGTAGCAGACTATAAAGTTTAGACAGAAAAGATCGTATCTTATTTGTATTTCTTGCCTCTTGCTCTGGGCTAGACAGTAGTAGTTGTTAAATTAATGTTGCTCAAAACAGAATCCCATTCTCTAGATTTAGAAGTTTCACCTAAGTGTATTTTATTTTTAGATAAGTCATTGGAAGACCAAGGACATGACTGTAAAACATTTTATCTTGGCTGGGCATGGTGGCAGGTGCCTGTAAGTCCAGCTACTTGGGAAGCTGAGGCAAGGAGAATCACTTGAACCTGGGAGGTGGAGGTTGCAGTGAGCTGAGATGCACCACTGCACTCCAGCCTGGGCAACAGTGCAAGACTCCATCTCAAAACAAAACAAAATAGTAATACAATAGAACTCAGTCAAATGTTTTATTCTATGAAAAATGTAGACAGTGGCAATGAAAATTATATGCTAAAGAAAAACAGTTGTTGAAAGAGAATTTTGATATAAAGTTGCCTTATAATAAGCAATTAATTTACTTTTGTGGTTAAATTCCAAATATTTCTTTAATGTTTAGGAAAGAAGTTTTAGTTAAAATGTAAAGAAATGATGTCACAGGTTTTTTTTCCTGTGGTTTACACTGTAAAGAAATCACGTAGGCCTAGTTTTCAGCACATTTGACTTTTCTGAAACTATATATAAACAAGTGAGTCTTCACTTAACACTGTAACGCTGTAATTCTCCTACTGCATTAAGGTCATTAACTTTCAATGTGTCTTGGTAATTTTTTTTTTTTGAGTTAGGGTCCTGCTTTTTCGCCCAGGCTGGAGTGCAGTAGTGAGATCATAGCTCACTACAGCCTCAAACCCCTGGGCTCAAGCAATCCTCCCACCTCGCCCTCCCAAAGCACTGGAATTATAGGCATGAGCCACTGCACCCAGCCCAAGTCTTTGTAATTTTATAAAAATTCAAAACACTATTCTGTTTTTAACTTTACATTCCAGTAAATGTGTTGAGAAATGATGGCAAGAATAATCTTTCCAAGAACATTTTTTCAGATTTAATTCATAGTGACCTCCTACAATATGGTTCTTTTCTGTTTAAATCTTCTTTGTCTTTGTTAAAACTGCCAAAAATGATGAACAAAAGATGTAAAATAGTGACATTAATAGCTTTCCACCTTTTTCCAAATAACCAAAGGATTCTAAGTGTACAAATGTTTCTGTGCTTCCAGGTTTTTTGTACATTAGTGTAGCAGTAGTAATCACTTAAAAGTGACCCACTTCAAAAGTTATCTATTTCATCTAGAATTATTGAAAAGCAATAATATGTTATTAGACTGAGGAATATGGAATCTTTAAAAAATTTTAATATTAATATATTATTTCTACCGACAGTAGTCTTATTTTGACGGGAAGTTACCAAGCACTTGTTGACTTTCTTTTCTGTTTTATCAACAGCTCTTTTGAGGTATAACTTACATACCATAATGTATACTCATTAAAACTGTACAGTTTAATGACTTTTAGTAAATTGACCAATTGTGCAAGCATCACCAAAATCCATTTCTAGAACATTCCCACCATCCCTCCCCACCCCCACAGGACAACCACTAATTTGCTTTATGTCACTATACGTTTGCCTTTTCAGGACATTTGATATAAATGGAACTTATATGTTCTCTTGTGATCAGCTTTTTTCACTTAGCATAATATTTTTGAGGTTCATTCATGTTGTAGCATGTATTAGCATATCATTTTTATTGTTAAATAATATTCTGTTTATGATATATCACATTTTATTCATTCACTGATAGATCCTTGGGTTGTTTCTGATTTTGATTATTATCAATAATGCTGCTAGGAACATTAATATACAAATCAAGTCTTTCTGTGGATATGGATTTTCATTTCTTTTGGGTAGGTACCTAGGAGTAGAATTATCGGGTTGTGTGGTAATTTTGCATTTAACATTTTAAGAAACTGCCAACTTTTTCCAAAGTGGTTGTACCATTTTATGTTCTCACCAGTGATGAATGAGGGTTCTAGTTTCTCTATATCCTTGCCAACATATAGTATTGTTAGTTTTTTTCTTATAACCATTGTAGTGAGTTAGTAGTGCTATCTCAATTTCTTCATGAGTAATGATATTGGGCATATTTTCATATGCATATTAGCCATTGTATATCTTCTTTGGCTAAATGTGTTTTCATATTTTTTGCCTGTTTCTTAGTTGTGTCATTTTGGTTTTATTGAATTATAAAAGTTCTTTATGTTCTGGATACAAGTCCTTTATTAGATACATGATCCACTGGGTGTGGGGTTTTTGTCCTCTCTTCCAAATCACCAAAGCCGCTAGTTTTCACCGCTGGTTCCCCCTGTAGTAACACTACTGTGCCAACCCAGCCTAGGGCATGGAGGGGTTGGGAATAGGCAAGAGTGCTGCAAACTCCCACTATTCTTAAGTACACTTCATCTCCCATTCATGAATAAATGTTTCTCAATGTAATTTTTATATCTCTGATCAATTTCTAGAGCCCTGAAACTTTTTTTGTTTGGTCTGGTTTTATACATTTTTTTAGGAGAGTATTTGCAGACCTCTTCACTCTACCATCATGGAATTCAGCAATAGGTCTTGACTTGTGTTTATATAGAGAATTTAACTGTTTATAATAACCTTTAATTTTCTTGTTGTGATAGTAACACGTGTCTGGAGTATAAAATGAGGAACTGCAGGTAACTTAAGAGGAGAAAATAAGCATTATTCAAGATTTGACAACCCCCCCAAAAAAAACCACTTAATATATTTGTGTATGTCCTTCTAAAGTTTTTCTGTGATCATATAGACTTATAAAAACAGATTATGCTTGACATGAGTTTTATAGCCTTCTCTCCACCCCACCCCCGATAACAGTATATTCCAAATATCTGGCAGTCCCTTTGTATAAGATATGAGTCCTGCTCACTGTTACTTGCCCTTCCCCTGTGTTCGGAGCCTGGTTGGAGAGAGAATGACCTATGAAGAAGCTCCAGCTTTTGCTGGGCACTGCCAAATTGCCTTCCAGAAATTTGAGCCACTTTAGATCCCACCTATACTTCTTTCCAACATCCGTTTCTCTTTTTTCTTTCTTTTTTTTTACTTAAAAAAATTTATTTTTATTACTCTTTGGTTTTTACTCAACTCTTTGAGTTACTTTTCTTTTCTTTTCGAGATAGGGCCTCACTTTGTCACCCAGACTGGAGTGCAGTGGTGTGAGCATGGCTCACTGCAGCCTCAACTTCCTTGGCTCAAGTGATCCTCCCACCTCAGCCTCCTGAGTACCTGGGATTATAGGCACATGCCTCTACACCCGGCTAATTTTTGTATTTTTTTGCAGAAAAGAGGTTTTGCTATATTGCCCAGGCTGGTCTTGCACTCCTGGGCTCAAGCAGTCTGCCTGTCTTGGCCTCCCAAAGCACTAGGATTACAGGCATGAGCTACTGTGCCCGGCCACTCTTTTCTTTTTTTAAAAAATTTCTATTAGTAGAATGGATAACAAATGGTATCACATTATGATTTTTGCCCGTCTTCGATTACTAGGAATTTCACTACCTTCTGAGAAAATCTATTCCATCAATAGAAGTGACTGTTATTTCTTCTTTATATGTCTTAAAACGTGTCTCCATGTAACTGCCATTTACTTTCTCCTACCGTCTGAACCACGTGGCAGCTCTTTTAAAACCTGAATATGTTCCAACCTCAAATCTTCTCTTTTGAGTATAACTGTTCCAGGTTTTTCATTTCTTCTTCATATTACATGGTTATACTTTTATTTTATTTTTAATTTTTTTGCTGGTCTTTTCATCAAACTTTCCCAGTCATTAATTAATTGGTTAAAATTTGTTCTCTGGTAGTTTGGACAAGGAAGGTTCAGGTGTGCAGTATTCTCTTAGCCTTTGTCTGTTCAAATTGTAGCTTTTATAGTTGAAGGACAGCTTGGCTGATTATTAAATATGGCTCATAATTTTTTTTATTTTTTCTTTTTTTTTTTTTTTGAGATGGAGTTTCGCTCTTGTTGCCCAGGCTGGAGTGCGATGGCGCAATCTTGGCTCACTGCAACCTCCGCCTCCCAGGTTCAAGGGATTCTTGTGCCTCAGCCTCCCGAGTAGCTGGGATTACAGGCATGCGTCACCATGCCCAGCTAATTTTTGTACTATTAGTAGAGACGGGGTTTCTCCATGTTGGTCAGACTGGTCTCAAACTCCCAACCTCAGGTAATCTGCCCGCTTTGGCCTCCCAAAGTGCTAGGATTACAGGCATGAGCCACCACGCCCTGCCTTGGCTCATACTTTCTTTCCATAAATATTTTGTAAGCCTTTTATACTCTGCCAAGGTCAAATATTGCAATCTATAAATTTGAGGCCACTCTTATTTTTCTTTTATTACATAGTGCATGATTTTTGCTTGGCTGTGCAAAAGATTCTTTATTGTTAGTCTAATAATTTCCTTATAATATATCTTTGTGTGGACTGTTCCGGGTTGTGATGTGCCTTTCAATATGTAAACTCAAAGCACTTTTATTTAAACAAAGATTTTGTGAATTATGTCTTTAAATATTCTATTCCATTGTTTGATTTTCTTCATTGGGGATTCCAAAGAGTGGAAATGGGGCATAAAGTGGCATCAGTTAGCTGCTTTCTGTAGCTCTGAAATCATTGTGATTTCTAAAAATGTTTCATTATATCTACTTTCCTCATTTCCTCTCTGCCCCTTACTGAGGTGAACAGTTTCTGTTCTTCTTTGTGTTCTTATAATTCAGTCTTCACTTCTGAAATGTTTTTTCCTTTTCCTTTTCCCCATTTCCTGAGTTCCACCAGTCTCCACTTCACATTCTCCTATTATCTGATCACCTCTTTCCTGAATTTTTTTATTTCTGATTTGTGTTCTTTCATCATTGTGATCAATTCTTTAACTTTTTTTATTGTGATAAAATATACATAACATAAAATTTACTATTTTAACCATTTTAGATATATAATTCTGTAAGATTAAGCATATTCACAATGTTGTGCATCACTACCACTATCCATTTCAAGAACTTTTTATCACCTCCAACATAAACTTTATAACCATAAAACAATAACTTCCTATTTCTCCCACCTCCCAGCCCCTGGTAGCCATTGTCCTTCCCTCTGTCTCTATACATTTGCCTAGCCTAGGTATCTCGTATTAGTGGAACTAGACAATTTTTGTCTTTTTGTGTTTGGTTTATTCACTTTGCATAATGCTTTCAGGGTTCATCCATCTTGTAGCATGTGTCAGAAGTTCATTCCTTTTCAAGCCTGAATAATATTCCATTTTATGTATATTCTACCTTGTATTTATCCTTTCATCTGTTGCGAAACAATTTAGATTGTTTCTACTTTTTGGCTGTCGTGAATAATGCTGCTATGAACATCGTTGAACAAATGTTTGTTTGAGTCCCTGCTTTCAGAGTATGTACCCAGAAGGGGAATCATTGGATAATATAGTAAATCTATGTTTAACTTTTTGAGGAACCATTTAGTTGTTTCCCACTTTGGCTGTTCTACTTTATATTTCCACTGATGATGCACAGGGGTTACAACTTTTCCACCTCTTAACCAATACTTGTTATTTTCTTTCTTTCATTTTTATAATAGCCATCTTAATTGGTGTGAAGCGATATCTCATTGTGGTTTTGATTCTCACTTCCCTAAAGACCAGTGATGTTGAGCATCTTTTAATGTGCTAATTAGCCACATTATGTCTTATTTGGAAAAATGATTATACACGTCCTTTGTTCATTTTCGAACTGGGCTATTTTTTGTTGTTGAATTGTTGCAATTCTTTACATATTTTGAATATGTATTCAGATATATGAATTGCAAATATTTTCCCCTATTCTATAGGATTCTATTCTATGTGTTGTGTCTTTTCACTCTGTTGTTAGTGTCTTTTTTTTTGATATGGTCTCACTTTGTTGCCAAGGCTGGAGTGCAGTGGTGAGATCATGGCTCACTGTAACCTTGACCTCCTGGACTCAAGCAGTCCATCCACCTCAGCCTCCTGAGTAGCTGGGACTCTAGGTGTGTGCCACCATGCCCAGCTTGCTGGCTTGCTTATTGATTGATTGATTGATTGATTGTATTTTGTAGAGACAGGGTCTTGCTGTGTTGCCCAGACTGTCTTGAACTTCTGGACTCAAGCAATCCTCCTGCCTCAGTCTCTCAAAGTGTTGGGATTACAGGCATGAGCCACTGCTCCTGGCCATGGTGTCTTTTGATGCACAAACATTTTTAGTTTTGATGTTCAATTTATCTTTTTGTTGTTGTTGTCTGTGCTTCTATTGTCACATCCTTATTAAAATTTTGTTCTTTTTGTTAGTTTATAGTTTCCGTCTGCTTCTTGGCAGCATTTTTCTGATGAGTTGTTGTAGGAAGATTGTGATGCTTTTTTATACTTAAAAAAATACTGTTTCTATATAAATGCTGTCCATGATCCTTTTTTCCTACTCATCCTGAGTAAGATGAATTTTTGCAGGTTAGTAGCAAGAGTTTCCTATGGGGTATAGTAATAATGGGCCAAAGTAGCCTTTCAGGTTTCACAGCTCAGGAGATTCCCCCCTCTATTGCTACAAAAATGACTGTTTTCTTAATACAGCCCCTCTGTTTGCCCATCTCTCCTTTGCCTCTCAGAAGCTGGCCTGGGTCAAGAGAGCTCTGTTGTCTTTTCTTCATAAACTTGCCTCCCAAGGTGATACACTCACTCTTAGTTAGTGTATTTTTCTAATGCTTCCTGATATCTGCCACCTTGGTGTGCCTGTAGGTATTTTCTGTACCTTCTCCCGCCTCTTCTCTAATCAGCTGAGTCTTGTTCAGCTCCTTCTGACAGTGTGCTCTATCTTTCAGGTGGTAAGTATTTGTAGGAGAGTTTGAAAGCTTTCCACTGCTGGTCCTTTCTAGACTCCTGCCCCAGTGCTGATATGATGTCTGCCGTAAGCTTTCCACATCATCCTCACCTTTGGCATCACATATGCAAATCAGAGTTTATAGCTTTTCTGTTACTTCATCGTCTTCATCTGTGTGGTTTCAGAAGAAGTGATAACACAACATTTTTATTGGATTTGTCTTTAATAGGTTCTTGAACATTTCAACAGTACTAAGTACATAGAGTCTTTTTTAATAGAATGTTTTTAGTCTAATTTGAATAAATTAGTTGAACTTAATTTGTGAGCTATAAGGCGATTTAAGCAATTTTAAATAATTTTTTGGATAAAGAAATCAATGGGCTAAATAGAAAAAAACATAAAGAGAAATTTAAATGGATTATCTTTTAAAAATCTTTTCTTAAACTTTACTTTTCTGTGAATGTTTAAAGATTGTTGGGTCTTTATTTTTCAGATCATAGACCTCTTTGAGAATATGATTTCTAGAACAATTATATTTTATGTACTTTCAGGGTCTCATGATTCATGGATTCTAAGTTAAGAGCTATTGTCTTGGATCTACAATGCACATAAATAACCCTATATGCTATGAAATGTTTCTGTAAGGGTAACGAATAAGATATCTACGAACTGCTTTGAGTTTTTCAAATTAATATACTAGATTTAGAAAATTGATTTTTAGACGGCTTCAGATTTCCTTGATTTAACAACGTATTCAGTAAATAATTGACTTTCTGACAGAGCACTATTTGGGGATTCTCACATAAAATAAGTCCATAGCTAGCTATTCCAAGGTGGACATGTGCCTCTATTATGTCATCAGGCTACAAGTCCTTTTTTTCTATTTTACTGTACTTAGAGCTTAGCTTCTGGGTTGCTGCTTAATTACAGCATGGCTATTGGTCATTGTATCTGTGATCTAGGCAGAAAACAGGGACATGGGGAAAAGACTGTATTGCTCCCCTGTTAAGGAGTTTTTCTGATGGTCCCAGCAACGTCTATTTACATCTTGTTCATCAAACATATACATATGTCCATCAAAGATGTGCTGCAATGAAGGCTGGGTACGTTTTAACCGAGCACTTTGTTCCCTACCAGCGCAAACAGAATCAGAGTTCTCTTACTAAGGAAGAGAAACACCCATCAACAGGCAACTGCAAACTCTGCCACAGTATTATTTTCTTTTTTTTTTTGAGGCAGAGTCTTGCTCTGTCACCCAGGCTGGAGTGCAGTGGCATGATCTCGGCTCACTGCAACCTCTACTGCCCAGGTTCAAGCAATTCTTGTGCCTCAGCCTCTGGAGTAGCTGGGATTACAGGTGCCACCACCACAACCGGCTAATTTTTGTATTTTTAGTAGAGAAGGACTTTCACCATGTTGGCCAGGCTGGTCTCGAACTCCTGGGCTCAAGTGATCCATCCCCCTCGGCTTCCCAAAGTGCTGAGATTACAGGCATGAGCCACCGTGCCCGGCCTGCCACAGTATCCTTTTAAAGAATTGGTCACCACAAAGAAATTTTTAATCAATGTTTTCAGCATTAACTCTCTTACTGTGTGAGAAATGCTTTTACATACATTATTTAACCCATTTATGCCTAGTGTTCCATTATTGGAACGCTAAGCTTGTGGGAGTTATTTATATCCTACTGCTTAAAGTCATCATCCAGGTCTGATTTTTAGCAAGAAAAATTTGCAACCTTCGGCATAAATGGGTTAATTAAACTCTCATAACAATTTTTGTTGATACATAATGTTTGTACATATTTATGAGGTACATGTGATATTTTATTAAATGCATTGGCTGTGTAATGATCAAGTCAAGGTATTTGACTTGATCACCTCAAGTATTTATCATTTCTATGTGTTGGGAACATTTCAAGTCCTTTCTTCTAGCTGTTTTGAAATACACAATACTTGTTAACTGTAGTCATCCTACTCTGCTATCAATCATTAGAATGTATTCCTTCTTTCTAACTGTATGTTTGTACTCATTAACACCTCTCTTTATCTCCCTTATACTCACACTCATAACACTTTTAAGTAGGTGGCTGAAGGCCTGAGAGCTCCTGGAAAATCCAGGGGTCCAAGAGTGGGTCTGGTGTAAGACCAAGGGTCCAAAAGCTGAAGAACTTGAAGTCTGATGTTCAAGGGCAGGAAGCATCCAGAATGGGAGAGAGGTGGAGGGCAGAAGACTCAGCCAGTCTAGTCCTTCCGTGTTCCTCTGCTGGCAGCTGATTAGATGGTGCCCACCCAGACTGAGGGTGGGTCTGCCTCTCCCAGTCCACTGACTCAAATGTTAATCTCCTTTGGCAACACCCCCACAGACACACTCAGGAACAATACTTTGCATCCTTCAATCCAGTCAAGTTGACACTCAATATTAATCATCACAGACCGCATGGGTCATCCTTCTTTATTGTTGGGTTTGCTCTTTTCCAAAGCTGCACATTCACCAAAAAGGCTGACATTCCCAGTGAGACTATACCAGTCAATGGCAAAACCAAGATTCAAACTCAAGTTCCCTAATTTCAGATCTAGTCCTTTCCCAATGATGCCAACCTTATCCAAGCTAGTATGATTGTCTATGTCTCTATAAAATAGTAATCCTCCAATTGTTATTGTTAATTTTTAAATTGCAATTTGGAAAGAACATGTTCCTTTTCCTCTTATGCTGTCAAAAAATTGGTATGAGGTATAACTCTTTGTTAGCTGGGAGTCTCTTTGAGGGATTCCTATTTTTTCCAAATTTATTATTAATGAAAAATATCAAGCATTCATAAAAGTTGAAAGGGCACTCTGTATACTGCCCACTTAGATTTAAAAGTCAGCATTCCGTGATATTTGTACTCATTCCCTCTGTCTCTTTGTATGTTTGTATATATTTGCATATATACAATACATATACAGGCGTAGACACTTTGTGTTTGAAATATTTTAGTATTTGAAGACATCATTACATTGCATCCCTGTTGCAGCATGCACCTCATAAGGATAAGGAATACTGTAGCTGGAATAAATTAGTTCTTACATGATGTTATGATATGGTATTATACCTAAAATATTTAAAGTTACACTGTCTAATATCCAATACATTTTCACATTTTCCCAGTTGTCCTGATGAGACAATTGGCTGTTTTTATTTTTGCTTTTTTTTTTTTAAAGAGACAGTGTCTTGCTCTGTCACCCGAGCTGGAGTTCAGTGGTGTGATCGTAGCTCACTGCAGCTTCAAACTCCTGGGCTCAAGTGATCTTTCTGCCACAGCCTCCTGAGAAGCTGTGGTGGGAGGATTAGCCATCATGCCCAGATAATTAAAAAAAATTTTTTTTGGTAGAGATGGGATCTCACTTTGTTGCCCAGGCTGGTCTTGAACAACTCTCACCCCTTTTTTTGATGTCAGTTATGCTTATATAGAGGTCTCAAACTCCTTGCCTCAAGTGATCCTTCTGCCTCGGCCTCCCAAAGTGCTAGCATTACAGGCATGAGCCACCACACCTGGCCTAATTTTGCTTTTAAAAATGAGTAGACATTTTTTTGAGCAGTTTTACATTTACAGAAAATGACTAGGAAGTACAAAGTTCCCACATAATTCTTTGTCCTTACTTCCCAGTTTCTTCTACTATTATCATCTTGCATTGGTGTGGCACATTTGTTGTAATTGATGAGCCAATATTGATACATTATTATTAAGTAGATCTCATACTTTACATTAGGTTTCCCTGTTTGTGTTATGCATTGTGTGAATTTGGTAAAATGCATGATGACATGTATCCATGTTTTTCTTTAATAAATGGGGAAACAATCAAGATTCATATATTACATTTGAAGGTTGTATATTTTAACTTACTTGAAATCTAGAACCAGTCTTTCCCTCATGACATTGATGTTTTGAAAAGTCCAGGCTGATACTGTGTTAGAATGTCTCTCCTTCTGGATTTGTTTCTTTTTTTCACAGTCTCTTTTAACTTTTTCTTCTAGCTTTTGTATTTACTGTAAACTAGAAGTTAGGTTTACAAGCTAGTGAGCATCACCTTAAAGGTTTTTAGCAAGAATACTTGATAAATTATGTATTCTTTATAATGCATCACATCAGGAGCACATGATGAGAAGTACTCTCATGATTAGTAATGATAAATTGTATCTTTTGGGTAACAAGTTAAGGTGATTATAGCCAGATATAATTGCAATAGTGAATTTTTTCTTTGCAATGAGTATATAATCTGTGAGGTAATCTTTTTGACACTATGAAAATCATATTCTCCAACAACCTTTCAGTTGATATTTTGGCAGCTGCTGATTATCCTTGCTTACATTATTAAGTGATTTGTGAGAAAAAATGGTGGTTTTCTAATTGTCATTCATTCTACATTTAACTGCAGCATTCTTCTGTAAAGAAGGCCTTAACTTTTTTACCCCTTTCTGTCACTTATTACAGATTCAGAGATTTTTAATACACTATGTTATTAGTGTATTAAATATGTTAATACATAGGTTATATGTATTAATAAAAAATTTAGGTTAACTAAATATGTTATTATTTACAGTGGTTACTTTTGGTGATCTAACTGTCCTAAATTTGCCCAGCGGTGTTCCATTACAGTGGCCCATAGGTCTTGTGGACGTGTCCCATTAGGCCTTGAGCATTTTTTTTTTATTGCTTTCTGGAGTGAGATGTCTCAGGATCACCTTGCACTTTCCTTGCACTACTTTTATTTGGTGATGGGGTGGCTTTCTATCTTATACATTCCTTGTTAGATTTATTAACCCTAGCTCCAGTTCCAAAGAGTCTTGGAGCACATGGTTCTGAATTTAACCAGCAATGTAATCTGATTATCTTTCAAAGTACTTTAAATATATGGGCTTTAAATTTGTGAAGGATCACCATAAGGAAATACAGGCCATTGATTTCAGTAGTCTAAAATTGGATTTTATATTAAGTTAAACAGAGCTGCATACAGGTAATGTTGGCCCCCTTGGGCCCTCGCAGAGCTGCCAATATTAAAGGTTCTGGCAATACCATAGTGTGTCATCATTAAAAGCTCAAGCACTGGAGCCTTAAGGATCTGGGGTTATGTTCTGGCTCTAAACCTTACCAGCCATGTGTATTAGTCTGTTCTCACATTGCTATAAAGAACTACCTGAGACTGGGTGCTTTATAAAGAAAAGAGGTTTAATTGTCTCCTGGTTCCACAGGCTGTAAGGAATTGTGGCTGGGGAGGCCTGAGGAAACTTACAACCATAGTGGTAGGCGAAGGGGAAGCAGGTTCATCTTACATGGCCAGAAGAGGAGGAAGAGAGGAAAGAGGGAGGTGCTACACACTTTTAAACAACCAGATCTTGTGAGAACTGACTCACTATTACCATCCACCCCCCAGTCTAATTACCTCCCACCAGGCCCCTTCTCCAACACTGGGGATTACAATTCAAGATGAGACATGGGTGGTGACTCAAATCCAAATTATATCATTCTGTCCCTGGCCCTTCTTAAATCTCATGTCCTTCTAACATTGCAAAATACAATCATTCCTTCTCAGCAGTCCCCCGAGTCTTAATTCATTTCAGCATTAACTCAAAAGTCCAGTCCAAAGTCACATCTGAGACAAGGCAAGTCCCTTCTGTAAAATCAAAACCAAGTTGTTGTTTTTTTTACCAAGTTAGTTTCTTCCAAGATAAAATGGGGTACAGGTGTTAGGTAAATACATCCATTTCAAAAGGCAGAAATCAGCCAAAACAAAGGGGCTACAAGCCCTGTGCAAGTTTGAAACCCAGCAGGGCAGTCATTAAATCTTAGAGCTCAAAAATAATCTTCTTTCACTCCTTGTTTCACATCCAGGCCACCCTGATGCAAGGTGTGGGCTCCCAAGGACTTGGGCATCTCTGCCCTTATGGCTCTATAGGGTACAGCACCTCAGTTGCTTTCCTGGGATAGCATTGATTGCTTACAGCTTTTCCAGGCACATGATGCAAGCTGTCAGTGGATCTACCATTCTGGGTCTTGGAAGATGGTGGTCCTCTTCTCTCAGCTCCACTAGGCAGTGTCCCAGTGGGGACTCTTGTATGGGGGCTCCAATCTCACATTTCCCCTCTGCATTGCCCTAGTAGAGGTTCTCCATGAGGGCTCCACCCCTGCAGCAGACTGCTGCCTGGACATTCAGGAGTTTCAATACATCCTCTGAAATCTAGGTGGAGGTTCCTAAGCCTCAACTTTTGCCCTCTGTGCACCCATAGGCTTAATATGTGGCAGCCACCAAGGCTTATGGCCTGTACCCTCTGGAGCAGTGGCCTGAGACGTATCTTGGGCCATTTTAGCCATGGCTGGAGCTGGAGTGATTGGGACACAGGGACCAGTGTCCTGCGGCTGAGCAGAGCAACAGGACCCTGGGCCTGGCCCAGGAAACCATTCTTCCCTCCTAGGCCTCCAGCCCTGTGATGGGAGGGGCTGCTGTGAAGATCTCTGAAATGCCTTTGAGACATTTTCCCCATTGTCTTGGCTATTAACATTCAGTTCCTCTGAATGTTCAGCTGCAAATTTCTGCAGCTGGCTTGAATTCCTCCCTAGAAAATGGAATTTTATTTTCTACAATATGATCAGGCTGCAAATTTTCTAAACTTTTATGCTCTGTTTTCCTTTTATTAATGAATATAAGTTCAAGTTTCAGATAATCTCTTTGCTCATGCATATGACCATACACTGTTAGAAGCAGCCAGGTCAAATCTCGAGTGGTTTGCTGCTTTGAAACTTCTTCCTCCTGATACCCTAAATCATCTCTCTTAAGTTCAAAGTTTCACACATCCCTAGAGAAGGGGCAAAATGCTGCCACTTCCTTTGCTAAAGCATAACAAGAGTAACCTTTACTCCAGTTCTCAATAAGTTCCTCATCTCCATCTGAGACCTCCTCAGCCTGGACTTCATTGTCCACATCACTATCAGCATTTTGATCACAACCATTCAACAAGTTTCTAGAAAGTTCCAAACTTTCCTTCATCTTTTTTCTTCTGTGCCCTCCAAACTGTTCCAACCGCTGAACATTACCCACTTCCAAAGCTGCTTTCACATTTTGAGGTATCTTTATAGCAATGCCCACTCCTAGGTACCACATTTGCTGTATTAGTCTGTTCTCACATTGCTGTAAATGTGGGTTGTGACTCAAATCCAAATTATATCATTCTGTACCTGGCCCTTCACAAATCTCATGTCCTTACCTGAGACTGGATAATTTATAAAGAAAAGATGTTTAAAAGGCTCACAGTTCTGCAGGCTGTACAGGATACAAGGCTTGGGAGACCTCAGGAAACTTACACTTATGGTGAAGGCAAAGGAAAAATAAGCATGTTTTACATGGCCAGAGAAAGAGGAAGAGAGGAAAGGAGGAGGTGCTACATACTTTTAAACAACCCGATCTTGTGAGGACTCACTCACTATCACAAGAACAGCAAGGGAGAAATCCTCCCCCATGATCCAATCACCTCCCACCCAGCCCTTCCTCTAACATTGGAGATTACAATTCCACATGAGATTGGGGCAGGGACACAAATGTAAACCATATCACCATGTAAACTTAGGCAATTTTCTTTTCTTGGCACCTCAATTATCCTTTTTCTTTTTTTCCCTTCCCTCCCCTCCCCTCCTTCCTTCCTTTCTTTTCTTTTCTTTCTTTCTTTCCTTTTTGTTGTTCTTGTGCTTTAATTTTCTTATCCCAATGGAAGTAGCTAAGAGTACATAGTGATAAGGTGATTTTGAGACTTAGACACATTAATTTTTTATTTTTTGTCTTTTAAATTTTAGATTCAGGGTGCATGTGCAGGTTTGTTACAAGGGTATATTACGTGATGCTGAGGTTTGGGCTTCTATTGATTCTGTCACCCAAATAGTGAACATAATACCCAATAGGAACTTTTTCAGCCCTTTTCCCTCTCCCTCTCTCCTCCCTTTTTCTGTACCCAGTGTTTCGCTCCCACTATATGTGAGAACATGCTGTATTTGGTTTTCTGTTTCTGCATTAGTTTGCTTAGGATACTGGCCTCCAGCTGCATCCATGTCCAGAGGACATGATTTCATTCTTTTTTATGGCTGCGTTGTATTCCATGGTTTATGTGTACCATATTTTCTTTATCTATTCTGCCACTCATGGGCACCCAAATTCATTCCATGTCTTTGATATTATGAACAGTGTTGCAATAAACATATGAGCACATATATCTTTTTGTTAGGATGATTTGCTTTCTTTTTTCTTTTCAGACAGTCTCACTCTGTCACCCAGGCTGGAGTGCAGTGATATGAACTCAGCTCACTGCAACCTCCGCCTCCCAGGTTCAAGTGATTCTCCTGCCTCAGCCTCCCGAGTGGCTGGGATTACAGGCACCCACCACCACACCTGGCTAATTTTTGTATTTTTAGTAGAGATGGGGTTTCGCCATGTTGGCCAGGCTGGCCTCAAACTCCTGACCTCAGGTGATCCACCTGCCTTGGCCTCCCAAAGTGCTGAGATTACAGGCATGAGCCACCGTGCCCAGCTGATTTATTTTCCTTTGATGTATACTACCCAGTAATAGGATCTCTGGGTTAAATGGTAGTTCTATTTTTAGTTCTTTGAGAAATCTCTAAACTGCTTTTCACAGGGGATAAACTAATTTACATTCTTACCAACAGCATATAAATGTACCCTTTTCTCTGCAACCCTGACAACATCTGTTGTTTTTTGACTTTTTAATTATAGCCATTCTGACTGGTGTGAGTGAGATCTCATTGTGGTTTTGATTTGTGTTTCTCTAATGGTGAGTGATGTTGAGCATCTTTTCATGTTTGTTGGCTGCTTATATGTCTTAGGAAGTGTCTGTTCTTGTCCTCTGCTCATTTTTAATGGGGTTATTTATTTTATTCTTGTTGACTGGTGTAAGTTCCTTATAGATTCTAGATATTAGTCCTTTCTTGGATGCATAGTTTGCAAATATTTCCTCCCATTCTGTAGGCTGTCTGTTTACTCTGTTGATAGTTTCTTTTGCTGTGCAGAAGCTCTTTAGTTTAATTAGGTCCCAAATTGTTATATTTTGGCTTTGTTGCATTTGCTTTTGAAGACTCAGTCATAAATTTTTTGCCTAGCCTGATGTTCGCAAGGATATTTCCTAGGGTTTCTTACAGGATTTTTATAGTTTGAAGTCTTACACTTAAGTCTTTAATTCATTTTGAGTTAATTTTTGTATATGGTGAAAGGTAGGGGTCCAGTTTCATTATTCTGCATATGGTTAGCCAGTTTTCCCAGCACCATTTATTGAATGGGGACCCTTTCCCCTTGTTTATTTTTGAGAGACATTAATTTTAAACCATGTACAACAGTGTCTGTGATACAATCAGTCCCTTCTATGTGTTAGCTATTGTAAAAACTCAAGGCTCCTGAAATTTGTCCTATTTACTGTATTGATGAACGCCATCTTTATTCAGGTCCTAATATCATAATTATTGATGTTGCTTCTGAACATACCTTACTTTGTATTAAAGAGACCATGAAACATGTAAATAACTATTTTTCTCTGCTACAAGAATATGGAATTTGTTTCTCATTTCTAGCAAGTGCACTTATCTTTACAGCATGTGTTTTTTATTCTCACCACTATCTAGTTGGAGACAGTGTTAAGACTGTGGCCCCTGGACTCAGCTTGCTTGCCTGAGTGTGACTCCTGGTTGCACCACTTTCTTATGCGAACTGGAGCACTTTACTGGCATCTCTGTGCCTTTTGTGAAGTGGGAATCACAAAAGTATCTTCCTTCCTAGAGTTTCTTTTTTATAGGATTTAATGAGTGAAGCCGTTTGAAGTATTGGCAGCCCTGACTGGCATAGACACTAAAGACTCCATAAAAGTTCACTGTCATTATCATTTTGATTTTTTCTTATCTTTTAAAACTTTAATTTTCTATTTTCTCTGATAATTTTAATTTTTTTCTAGGTATTTTAATCAATTAGAGAGAGAGAGAGAGAGAGAGTGTGTGTGTGTGTGTTGTTACAGAACAGAAATGAGTTCTGGCTAATTTCAGAATAAAGAAACTTTACTGGAAAGTTACTGGAGCAGCTTACCAAATGGAATGAATAGTGGAAGAATGAACAATGTCAGAAAGAGTAGATCAAGGACCATATCAGCTGCAGTGATGCAGGTGGCAAATGCTGTCACCCATCTTGTTAGAGCACTAGAGTAGTACCCATTTTCTGTCTTTATGATAAGCCACTCAAGCTTCAGTGGTTTCCCGGAGAAGGGATCTGATTCAGCTGGTGGAGAGACTGAGCCCTGTCTTTCCTAGAGGCAAGGCAATCATTTTGAGTAGTATTGTTATCAAAGCTGTTCACAGTGAACATGCAGTCATTCCTCAAAACACAGTCTGGATTTGTTATTTGGAAAAAGGACAAGTGGAGACTAAGTGTCCCCAAACCACAATAAATATTTACTACAATCAGTGTATTTTGTTAACTATCCTATTTTCCAACAAAAATAAAAGCATCAACAAGGTCACCAGTACTTAATTATAAAAAAGTATACTGGTATAAAACTCAGGAGATCTGGACTCTAGGCACAGCCCTTTTTGACTGAAACCACAATTTTTTAGGTCCTGATTTTCTTACTACTAAGGCGATAGTGTAAGAATTAGAAGGCCCCTAAGGATTATTCTAACAGTAAAACCTTAAGGTTCTCTGGTTGTCTTTGTTATGTGGGAACCTATATTGTTTTTATACACACACAAACACACACACACCCCCATGAATATGCTCCAGATAGTCCAGTCTTCACACTCAAGTGATGCATGGGAATTTATATGCAAACAAAAGTTTAAACAGTTATAGGTAGACTCAGAATACCTTAATTAGTAACTTTTTTTTTTTTTTGAGACGGAGTCTCGCTCTGTTGCCCAGGCTGGAGTGCAGTGGCGTGATCTCGGCTCACTGCAAGCTCCGCCTCCCAGGTTCACGCCATTCTCCGAGCCTCAGCCTCCTGAGTTGCTGGGACTACAGGTGCCCACCACCATGTCCGGCTAATTTTTTTTAATTTATTTTATTTTTATTTTTTGTATTTTTAGTAGAGATGGGGTTTCACCATTTTGGCCAGGATGGTCTCGATCTCCTGACCTCATGATCCGCCCACCTCGGCCTCCCAAAGTGCTGGGATTACAGGTGTGAGCCACCGTGCCTGGCCCTAATTCAAGGTTTTAAACTCAAATATAGACAGAATTTCTAAGAAAACCTCGTGAATTTCTAGGAATAAATCAAGGAATTGTGATAAGTACATATAAAGTTATTTTATCTTCATTCAAAGGTCATACTTACAGATTTTAGAAAATTAGAGATGTATGGAGAATAGTTATTAGGTCATCAGAATATTCAGCAATGAAATGTGTCTCAACCATGTTTCCCTTTTAAAAAAGTAACCTTTATGGAGATATTTACCACAGGAATGATTAATTAGCTTTCCATTACTTTAAGAAGAAATCAGAATAATAATTCCTAGAAGAAAGAGGAGGAGAAGGAAAAGGATTATGACAATCAGTACTCAATGAGTATGCCAGGCACTGTTCTTACTCCTTTACATAAATGAACTAATTTCTACCTTGTACATTTCTATGACATACAAACTCTTGGTATTCCCATTTTATAGATGAGGAAATTGAGGTACACAGAGGTTATATGACTTGTGCAAGGTTATAGCTAATAAGAGTCAGAATGGGATTCAATCCAGTCTTGTTCCATAGTCTATGCTCTAAACCACTATGCTGTATTCTCTGTGTAAGCAGATAAAATAAGATAAAATTTATATAATTTAACTTCACTGTCAGCTGTTTTTAATGCTACACTGAAATTTTTTTTTAAGTTTTGTTATTACTGGTTATTTTTTAGCTGCTTGATCACCAGATATACCTGGTTGAAATTTCCCATGGATTCAGTTGAAGGAGATTGATACATTTATAAACCTACAAGAAAAAGAAATTATTAACTGTTACAAGTTTGACTTAATTAACAAAATCATAATTTCCTTGGTAACAGAGATCATGGGTTTTGCCCATACTGCTATACTACTCCATAGTAGCTACCCCATGACTTATTTATAATATTAATAGATACTAAATCTGTATTGTACCTTTACATTGGCTGAAATTTCACTGGAGAAATATGGCTTTCAAATATGACCTACAAAAGATGCAGATATGTTAGTAAAAGCTGACCTGATTCTGTAGATTACACAATTTAAAATCAAATTGAGATTACAAGTATCCTACTCAAAGATTGTAGAATTAACTTGTAATTGTCTTATGTCACATATAGCATTTATAAGTTTGTCACTATAATTGTACATAAACTGCACTATAACATTAATATAAATCTATTGTAAATTAAGGAGAGGAACATGGACCTAGAGCAAGATGAAACTGTCTCTTACTAGTTCTCTGACTTTTACCAATAACTTAACTCTGGTTTTTGCTTCCTCAACTCTAGATTGAATGTAATGTTTCTACTCTTAGGATTCTTTGGTGACTAAATGTTGGTGATTTAAGTCATTTAATAGTATTTCCACATTGGTAAGCTGCTACATTCATTCTCAGAAAGTGGAAGTTTCCTCCAATTTTACTGCCTCTGCCCCCAAATAAGACCGTTCGCATTTTGCCATCTCTCTTTTCAGTGTTTGGATTTATTAACATATATAATAACATTTATATAAGACACATCTCTAAAAATTCCTCTTTGCTTGGATGCAGATTTTTATTACAAGGAAGAAACAAACTCTTATGAATTTTTCATTATGTTATTAACTTGAGGTAATTGAATCTAAGTTGCATTTTTATTTATAATATATATAATACAATCTTGTTGAAAAATTTAAAATTGCAACTACCTAAATGTTGTTGTTTCAAAGATTTGAGGGCATTTTGAACCTCAGTAAGAACTGAGTTGATATTATGTTCCAGAAGATTACTGAGATATTTACAGATGTAATCAAATCAGAGAACTATAATGGTCATTATAGATGAAGAATGGTCATTGTAATTTTTTTTTCTGACACTTTAAATTAAAGCTACCTTAAAATGACACCGAGACAAATTTTTGTCTTTAGAAACATCTCATTGTTTCAGGATCTGCCTGGCGTTTCACTGTTCTTATAAATGTTTTATTTTCCTGTTAACCAGGTAGTGCTGGGTCACACCCCTTGGTTACTGTAGTAATATATCTTAGATACGGCAGTGTATTGCTCCCTCTCTTAGCTGCACACTTCATTTGTGGCTTTAGGTTTTTCATTACTTTTCAGTCCTTTTAACCATTATATCTGAGCAACATGTGAGAGATGTTAGAGATTTTGATTTGAGTTGAAGTAAAAATAAGACCACAACTATTCATCTTCAAACACATTTTAATTCAGGTGTTTCTGTTGTAACCATGCAACCTCCTGTGGTAAATATGACTGACTGCTCTTTTTTCTTACGCTCCTTTAAGCAAAGTAAAGCAGCGGTTCGGCTGAAAGAAGACATGAAAAAGATAGTGGCAGTGCCATTAAATGAACAGAAGGATTTTACCTATCAGAAGTTATTTGGAGTCAGTCTCCAAGAACTTGAACGGCAGGGGCTCACCGAGAATGGCATTCCAGCAGTAGTGTGGAATATAGTGGAATATTTGACGCAGCATGGTGAGTTAAGTCATGCTTTAGTCTGTTCATTTTCACAGTCCCTTGCATAAACAAATTATTTGTGTGAATTATTTCATAATGTATGATTAGGCTATCCTCTAAAGCACCTTCATTAGAATATTAAGTTATTGTGTAATATACTTTTCATTTAAAAAAGGGCATTACTGCTTAACATGATCTTGACAGTACTAATTTGATTAACCATAGAGCAATCACTTTAATTATAGAGATTTCTAGTTTGGAATGTTTCCTAGTTTTAAATGCTGAAATACACTGTTGTAATATTAATAGTCAGTTTACTAGATTAATTAAATTCCAACTGATAGTCAATAATTTTTAATGTAATCAAACACGTTTTTGGGTATCTCTTTTACCTGAGGTCAATCATGAACTTATTCAATGCCTTGACTATCCTCATACACTTAGGAGAGACACCAAAAAACTATGATGTAAAGCTTACTATGCGGAGTGGTGGGGGGTGGTTTCACTTATTTTTGGAATGATAAAGCATGTAAAACATTTGGAGAATAATATAGTACATTATACAGTAAAAAGATAAATTATATCTCATTTAGTTATTGAGAGCTGTGAAGCCCACAGCTTTTTGATGATTTCGTTTAAAATAAATCACAAATCTGGATAAGTTGAGAGAATGCTTCCATATTCCCTACATCTTTTTTTTTTTTTTATGTACTTTAAGTTTTAGGGTACATGTGCACATTGTGCAGGTTAGTTACATATGTATACATGTGCCTACATCTTTTTTTAAGAGATAGGGTCTTGCTCTGTTACCCAGGCCAGAGTGCAGTGATATGATCATAGCTCACTGTAATCTCATACTTCAGGGCTCAAGTGATCTTCCTTTCTTAGCCTCGCGAGTAGCTGGGACCACAGGTGTGTTCTGCCACACTGCCTGATTTTTTTATTTTTATTTTTATTTGTAGAGACAGGTTCTCCCAATGTTGCCCCAGCCGGTTCTGAACTCCTGGGCTCAAGAGATTCTCCCACCTCAGCCTCCCAAAGTGTTGGGATTATAGGCATGAGCCATGATGCTCAGCCATGAAGGGATTTTTAAATGTAAAACTTGAGGCTTCAAAAATATTCTGTACAGTAATCCCCCCCGCCCTTATGCATGGTTTGGTTTTCTAAGGTTTCACTCTTACCTGTGACCAATCATGGTCCAAAAATACTAACTGGAGAATTTTAGAAATAAACAATTCATCAGTTTTTGGGGGCTTTTTTTTTTTTTTTTTGAGACGGAGGTTAGCTTTTGTAGCCCAGGCTGTAGTGCAATGGCGTAATCTTGGCTCACTGCAACCTCTACCTCCCGGGTTCAAGCAATTCTCCTGCCTCAGCCTCCCAAGTAGCAGGGATTACAGATGAACACCCAGCTATTTTTTTTTTTTTTTGTATTATTAGTAGAGATGGGATTTCACCATGTTGGCCAGGTTGGTCTTGAACTCCTGACCTCAGGTGATCTGCCTGCCTTGGCCTCCCAAAGTGCTGAGATTCCAGGCCTAAGCCACTGCACCCGGCCACCAATTCATCAGTTTTAAATGGTGTAGCCTTCTCAGTAGCATGATGAGATCTCCAGCCATCCTGCCGCTTGGGACCTGAATCCTCCCCTTGTCCAGTGTATCCATGTGTATATGCCACCTTCCTATTAGTCACTTAGCAGTGGCCTCAATTTGCAGATTGATCATTGTGGTATCACAGTGCTTGTGTTCAGGTGACTCTTATTTTACTTAATAATGGCCCCAAAGCGCAAGAATAATAATGCTGGCAATTCGGATATGCCAAAGAGAAGCCATGAAGTGCTTCTTTTAATTGAAAAGGTGAGTTCTCGACTTAATAAAGGAAGAAAAAAAATTGTATGCTGAGGTTGCTAAAATCTATGGTAAGAACAAATCTCTCCCATTTTTTCTATTGTATTGCTTTTTTTTTTTTAAAGGGACAGAGTCTTGCTCTGTTTTCCAGGATGGAATGCCATGATGTGATCATAACTCATTGCAGCCTCATATTCCATGGTTCAAATAATCTTCCCACCACAGCCTTCTGAGTAGCTGGCATTATACAGGCATGTGGCACTGTAACCTGCTAATTAAAAAAAATTTTTTTAGAGGCAGGTCTCGCCATGTTGTCCAGGCTGGTTTGAACTCCTGGCTTTAAACAATCCTTCCACCTCAGCCTCTTAAGTAGCTTCGATTATAGATGTGAGCCATTGCACCTGGCTCTATTCTGTTTTATTATTAGTTATTGTTGTTAATCTCTTACTATGCGTACTTTTTAAATTAAACTTTGTCATAGATATGTATGTATAGGAGAAAAAAACAGTATATATAGGGTTTGGTACTATCCAAGGTTTCAGGCATCCACTGGCAGTCTTGGAACATATCCCCTGCCGGTAAGGTGGGTCTACTGTAATTTGAGTAATTTGTTTCAGGCCATATCTTTCCAGGATTACAAGTCTCTTCTCCCTTTCTGATAAGAATCATTTATTGGAAATGAGTGAGAAGCACTCATCACATGTTCCTATCAACTTTTGACAGGGACTCTATGGCAGATTATTCATTCTGCTGATGGTTAGATGTTAATTGAAAAAACATCTATCTGCTCTGGTTACTAGGCATGTAGATGACTGATATGGTTAGGCTTTGTGTCCCCACCCAAATCTTATCTTGAATTATAATCCCCCAATCCCCACGTGTCAAGGGAGAGACCAAGTGGAGGTAATTGAATCATGGGGGTGGTTTCCCCAGGCTGTTCTCTGATAGTGAATGAGTTCTCAAGAGATCTGATGGTTTCATAAGGGGCTCTTCCCTGTTCGCTCAGCACTTCTTCTTCCTGCTGCCTTGTGAAGAAGGTGCCTCGCTTTCCCTTTGCCTTCTGCCATGATTGTAAGTTTCCTGAGGCCTCCCCAGCCATGCTGAACTGTGAGTTAGTTAAACCTCTTTCTTTTATAAATTACCCACTCTCAGGCAGTTCTTTATGACAAAATTATATTTTTTTTCTGAAAACTTAAGAGCCAGGTTTCTGTTCTTACTCCGTAGAATTTTTCTCCTTATTAAAGGAAGATAAATTGTAAAAAGGCCAGATTCTTAGAAAACAGCTCTGGATTTATTCAAATGCTTCAAACAGTTAAATACAAACAGTGTTACACATAGCATGACAGGAAGATGGAAGTTTGGCCTACAAAATCTTGAAGCCAGGATTTACAACCAGCTTTAACAGGATTTATTTACATACTTGGTTTTGAGTGAGGCTGTGTATCCCACTGAGTTAGATACAAATGGATTTTTAGATCTTTCATTTCATCTGTTAAGTAGGGTTGTATGGTTCATTTAGATGTCCAACTACGGGTACCTAGAATAGTATTCTGGTTATGGCATAATCAACGTTCTTTCTCTCAACATTCATTGGATAATAGTCTCTTGATCATACTTTTATTGTGTAAAAAATTTTACATTTTTGATTTTTAAAAATTTTAATATTTTTTGAATTGTTAATAAAATTATGTGGTTAAAAATATAGGAGAGTATATGGTGAAAAGTCTATCCCTACAAAGTGTCTCCTGACCTTTGTTTTCTCTCTCTAAAACAGTATTGCTATACCCGTTTCTGGTATCTTCTTAAGATGTTTCGTGTATATATAAGTATGCGTCTGTGTGTTCTTTTTTCCCTTTTATCACAAATATTGCACACTGTTCTGAATCTTTTAAATATCAGTGTATTTTGGAGATTGTTCCATATTGCATAAAGAGCTTTACTCATTTTTAATTATTTTCTTTTCCTCTGCACACCGTTCTACCACATGTATATATCATATCTTTAAGCAGTCCCATACTGATGGGCAAATGGATTGTTTCCAGTCTTCTGTCGTTTACAGACAATGATTCCGGCCAGGCGCGGTGGCTCACGCCTGTAATCCCAGCACTTTGGGAGGCCGAGGCGGGTGGATCATGAGGTCAGGAGATCGAGACCATCCTGGCTAACAAGGTGAAACCCCGTCTCTACTAAAAATACAAAAAATTAGCCGGGCGCGGTGGCGGGCGCCTGTAGTCCCAGCTACTCGGGAGGCTGAGGCAGGAGAATGGCGTGAACCCGGGAAGCGGAGCTTGCAGTGAGCCGAGATTGCGCCACTGCAGTCCGCAGTCCGGCCTGGGCGACAGAGCGAGACTCCGTCTCAAAAAAAAAAAAAAAAAAAAAAAAAAAAAACAATGATTCCATGGTTAACCTTTAGCATATGGCATTTGAAGCACATACAAGTGTGTGCATAGACTACCTTCCTGGAAGTGAACTCCTGGATGGTCAGAGGATATGTGCATGTGTAATGAACTCTATCAGAGCTGAAACAATTTACACTCACACCATCAACATATGAAAATTTTGACAAAATTTAAATTAGGGATTGATTTTCTTCTGCCCCTCCTTAGCATACTGTTAGTTATACTTTAACAGGGTGTATTCGGGTAATGCAAACTAAACATTTTATTAAGTTAAATCAGTCGCTCTTAATGAGGGATGTGAAATAGAATCACTAGTGGAATCTTCATAATACACATGCATTGCCCACACCTCATACTACTGAATCAGAATCTTGACTGGGCAAGCTCGGGTAGGCCTGGCACCTGTATTTTGAAAGGCTATGTAGTTAATTACTACGTAGACAAACACAAGCCCCTTCTTGTATTTGAAACTACCATGTTAATAAACCAAAGAAATTGTGTAAGTTTGAAGG
Organism: Homo sapiens; assembly: GCF_000001405.40. Taxonomy (NCBI): domain Eukaryota; kingdom Metazoa; phylum Chordata; class Mammalia; order Primates; family Hominidae; genus Homo; species Homo sapiens. The sequence goes on along the minus strand of NC_000004.12, from coordinate 89,024,722 downwards.
GTAGTATAAAGTTTGAGGGCATAATACTTCAATTTGTTTTATTTAATTACTTTGCAGTTTTTTCAGATCAACAAACATTTACTGTACACCTGTGATACACAGTAAGCACTATGTCAGGCATGGAAATGGGACTATAGGGGTGACCATTCATGTAATTCAATCATAGGTTGCTATTTTGGTTATGCTTTATTATTGTTTCACGTAAATGCAATTTAACAATTTGGCATGAAGGTAAACTATTATTGTAAAGGAATTTTTAAGACAGAAAGGCCTATATCAAGCCCTTTAAGCAGATTTTGGATATTTTCATTTAAAGGTATATACATTATAACTTATAAAGCATACAGTCTTTAAACTCTTTTTCTCGCTGACAATGTTAACGGCTTCTTTCTCTTAGTTTGGCATGAAGATACTATAGGTTATGCCGTTTTAACCTACAGTGTAGAGTCTCAAGTCACCACCAGGTGTCAGAATGTGCTTACTTATTGTCATACTACTTCCCTGGCCAAAGTGTGCTGTTAGGCAATTTGTGACTTCTGGCATATTCTGTTTCTAATGGCATATTCTGTTTTTAATATTCATACTATTTTGAAAGAAATATTTCAGTTGTACAGAAAAGTATCTTTCAGTGATGTAGACATTAGCTTATATAATTTTTTCTTCATTTCTAAACCACTATTAAGTTGCTGTTTTGTGATAATTAGCACATAGCTTAAAATCAAATATAATAGGAGCTCTGAAATGTATGAGAGTAACTCTGCTTCATGAAGTCATCCAAATATCCCCCTTTTCTGAATATTTTTGTTACAGTCATAACTTTCTACAATTTTAGAGTAGGAAAATTTAAAGGTTATATGGTCTGGTAAGCCTCATGTGGGTACTGGCTATATTCTAGCCTCATAAGAGGCTTTAAAAAACTGTATGGATTCTTCTTCTCAGAATGTGATATATTCATGCCCAGGATTATAAACTTTCCCTAGTTGAACATCACGAATTATCATAAGAGTTGTGGGTGGGAGATAATCCTGAGGGAAAAGAGTTGTTCAGATAAATGGGACAGAGACAGGAAAATATTATTGAGGAGCATTAAATTCAGTCACTTCTATTTGTACCTTATATGACTGCTAGTTTGGTCCAGTGGAATCAGGAGGCTTGAGGACCACAAGACAGTTCTTGGAGCTGGGTATTTTTTTCTGAAATTGCTGGAAGTATATTTATTTGGGGGAAGGTTCAAAAAAACCTTGTTGGAAAAGAAAGACTAAGGTCAAAGCTAAAAAGAAAAAAAAAAAACAACATCATGTGAAATCAGATCTAAGGGGCATTTGCTAGGCCAAAAACAGAAGGCAAGATTAGGTTAAGCAGCTGGGTAAATATAGGAACAGGAAACAAAACTCTAAATTTTCAGGATTTCATATTTGACCAGGGACGGAATGCCTTTGTGTTGGATGCTAGCTGCTTGATTGTTGGATAAGTTTCTGAAGCTAAAGATAAACTTTTGTATAGTAGAGGAGACAGACCTTGAAAGCTTTAAATGATTAAGCTGGCATCTCCCAATAGAACCTGATATTCCACAGAACTTAAGGGAAAGGCGTATCGTATTCGTTACCCATTTGCTGCATAACAAATTACCCCAAAACATAATAGATTAAAACAATAGTATTTATCATTATCTCATAGTTTCTGTGGGTCAGGAATCCAGATACATCTTAGTTGTGTCCTCTGTCTTAGAGTTACAAGGCCGTGATCATGGTGTCAGCCAAGGCTTCAGTCATATCAGGACTCAACAGGGGAAAAATTCCCTCCCAAGCTCATTCATGTGGTTGTTGGCAGGATTCTGTTACTTGTGAGCTGTTGACCTGAGGGTTTTCAGTTATTCACTGGTCGTTGGCCAGAGACCACCTTTAGTTGTTTGCCCGTGGCCAGTAGCTAATAAAGTACATCAGACAGACAGAGAGAGGGGGAGAGAGAGAGAAAGAGAGAGAAGCATGATGGATTGTCAGTCTTTTATAACTTAATCTTAAAATATGACATGACATCACATTTGCTGTATTCTGTTGTTAGAAGCAAGTCACTAGGTCCGGCCCACACTCAAGTAGAGGGGATTATAATGGGTGTGGTACGAGAAGTGGGGATCATGGGAACTATTTTAGAAGCTGTCTGCCACACAGACCAACTGGTATCTCTTCCATTTAGGTGGTGCCCTGGTCCTAGTCATTGTTAAATACTTTTAATATCATCCCTAGTGTCACAATTTTTTTCAGAATTGGAGCTAAAATTCATATCAACTTTTGATATTGATTTTCTTCACAGCCAAATAATATGTATATGTGGAAGAACACAAACATCTCACCAGACTTCAAAGTCCATGAGGGTAATGATAGTGTTGAATTTTTTTTCTCAGGATTGATTTTTTTTTATTACCTAAGATAATGTCAGGCACTTATTACATGTTTGTTGAATTAAAGAACTTAAAAGTATTTTATTAGATTATAAAATAAAATAAAATTAGCTTCCTCTTTTGCTTTAAAAAGAGCAATACAATTACCAGTTAAGGGAAAGAAGCAAAGGCTGATATAAATTATCACCTCCCCTCTAAAAAATCCTGATAGGCTTCAATGTCATTATGTCATTGCTAACATTCACCATTAGACTCTCAAGAATGTCACGTTAAATCCTGGCCTGCTCTTTCTTAGAAAGATTGTTTCTTACACTTTCAAAGTCCTCTACTGCCTGACACATTCACTTACATGGTGTGTAGCACACTAAGCTGGAAATCATTATCTTCTGCCGTAAACCAGCTACTCTCCTATCCCTACCCCCTAATCTTATCTTTTACAGTGTTTTTTTTTTCCTGTATTCCTACTTTTCAAAACTTTAAGGTTACCTTTCAACCCTTTCCCTCTCCCTTTTGAACCAAGTTACCAAATCATCTTTATTCTTTGTTTTTCACTTCTTTTCCACCATAATCTCAGTTTACTACCTTAAAATAGAAGATAGTTTCCATAAGGCAGGTCCTCTCCATACTCTACTTCTTAGCTAGCTAAATCTTCCTAAAACCCTGATTATATTTTGTCTTTTTCCTCACTTATTGCTCCAGTGATAAGGCCTTCACTCTTTAACTTGTCACAGACCCTTTCCTGTTTCTCCATTTTATTATCCCATCATTCTTTGACCTAGGCACCCCACATTGTCCTCTGCCTACCTTTCTTTATGTTTTCCTATGTCTACTTCTCAATTCATATTTTTGTTTATCTTTGTCAGGGGTAGATCAAGGTTTTGTGAGTCCAGATGCCTAATCTTCTGAGACTTCTTTAAGAAAAAGAATATGATACTAAGAATACAGGATTAGGGACAGAGCTTGTAAAGGGCCCAAGAAAATGAGGGGCCCTGAAGCTCAAGCTTCATTGGTTTCACAGCGTAACAGCTCCAGCCCCTCTGTGTTGCTTTAGCCAAAGGTTAAGTTTACCTCCTCCAGGAGGCCTTCTCTGATAACCTCAGCTGACACTGATATCCCCCATCAACTGACTGAAGGCAAGGATCTTGTCTTATACCACTTTGTAGTTTCCTAGAGTCTTACATTTTGAATTTAGTGATAACTGAAAAACTACCCCTTATTTCTTAAACTATTACACAGGTAATTACATAGAGTTTAAAAGTTTCTTAAATACATGTCATTTAAAAAGTAGTTGTTCATGAAGTGTTAAGCTGCTGTTAGAGCCCTGAGTAAGTTTTTGTTATGTGCTCTAGAAGATTATATAAATGAAATTTCTTTGTGTACTCTGTTTTGCTCTATGTTTATATATGCCATAGCCTTATTTTTAGAAGCTGGGTTTTATACCAATCATATATGATCTTTTAAGCTGACATGCAGTGGATATGAACATTTATTATTCTAAGGAAAGTTTTACAAAATGTGAAAATTACACAATGATTGATAATTACAGTGTTGAGAGAATCATATGCTGAGATTTCTTTCTTTGTGTTGTTATCATTCTTTACGTTTCATGTCTGTGAGAAACCTATTTATTTTCTGTGCCTACTTTGCTCTTCCAGGACTTACCCAAGAAGGTCTTTTTAGGGTGAATGGTAACGTGAAGGTGGTGGAACAACTTCGACTGAAGTTCGAGAGTGGAGTGCCCGTGGAGCTCGGGAAGGACGGTGATGTCTGCTCAGCAGCCAGTCTGTTGAAGCTGTTTCTGAGGGAGCTGCCTGACAGTCTGATCACCTCAGCGTTGCAGCCTCGATTCATTCAACTCTTTCAGGGTTAGTACAATAAATCCTTTTAGGAGTTAAAACAACTTTACTAGGCTGGGCACGGTGGCCCACACCTATAATCCCAACACTTTGGGAGGCTGAGGTAGAAAGATTGCTTGAAGCCAGGAGTTGAAGACCACCGTGGGCAACCAAGCAAGACCCCCATCTCTACAAAAAAAAAAAAAAAAGGGCAGAAAAAAAAAAACCAGTTTTATTTTTAGTAAACATACTAAATATTTAAAATTTAAAAAGTTTTTAAATATTTGTGGTCTTTCCATAACCACCACCTTGTTATTTTACTCCAGGCCCTCATCCCCTATGTAAAATCATACTAGACTGATTATGAAATACCGTTATTAAATGAAATTTCTGATACCATTAACATGTGACTACTTCAGTAACGTAATATTGAAAATCCCTGATGCTTTTGGGCCAAAGACATGTTTTTCTGACTAATGACTGTCATAAAAGGAGTGAGATCAAGAATAATTTAGAAAACATTAGAGAACAATAAAGGAAATATTCATTAAATTGTGGTTGCTTAATGACCTTTGAGACTGAAAGCTCACTGGTGTACTTGCTTTTTCTCCTAAGCAAGATTGAGTCCTAAAATAATTTTGTTCATTTCGTGAGGTAAAAATTGATTTTTGATTGTAGTATTAAGTGATTTCATATGAAAGAACTTGCTTTTTTTTTTTTTTTTTTTTGAGATGTAGTTTCACTCTTGTCACCCAGGCTGGAGTGCAGTGGCACAATCTTGGCTCACTGCAACTTCTGCCTCCTGGGTTCAAGCAATTCTTCTACCTCAGCCTCCTGAGTAGCTGGGATTACAGGCACCCGCCACCATGCCCGGCTAACTTTTGTATTTTTAGTAGAGTTGGGGTTTCACCATGTTGGCCAGGCTGGTCTCAAACTCCTGACCTCAGGTGATTCACCCATCTTGGCTTCCCCAAGAGCTGGGATTACAGGCATGAACCACTGCACCTGGCCAGGAACTCGCTTTTTAAGTGTAATAATTATAGGCATAGTCATTATTGAGTTCTCCCTCCTAAGTGCTGTAAGAAAAATGGTTTACCCTTAAAACCATTTATTTTATTATTTTTCCCAAATTAGAGAAGAAAGAAGAAAATATATTTCCAAAAGTATTCGTTGCCAGATTAAGGGTGCTACCTAAAGCCACATTCCTTTACAGCAGTGGTGTACCTATTCACATGCAGTATGCTAAAGAACAGGATAAGTGAGAAGGCCAGATAGGACAAGTAAGAAAGTACCAGAAATATTTTACCCCATGAAAGACCATTTTGAAATATTAGCTAAAAGTTGTGTGGTTGTATCAGAAGAGGACACTAACTACCTCCACTTGCCATCCCCTAGGGAAGGAGACCTGTCTGTAGCTCCCCCAGGCCCTCACATCAGCAATGCCTCCTGCCCTGGCCTCTTCTCACTTCTCTGCAGCCCCTGGCCTCCCGTGGTGACCTCCAGGCAATCCTTTTGGAAGATTACTCATGTCTTATTTCTTTCTTCAGAGTACCTGGGCAGTCCTCAGGAAACACATCTTTGCCACATTCTTGAAATGGAGGTCAGTCACAAGGCAGAGCCCTGCCTTCTTGTGCTGCCACCCAGGGCACCCATAGCCAGACTGTCTGTGTTAGACTCTTTGACGAGTTTTAGACTCTTCAAACTACCCAAGTGATAATCTGATGACCCTCACTTGGCTTGGGAAAGTTAGAGGAAGCATTATATTTCTCTAGCAACTCTCTCCCTTCAAAGAAATCCTCACTCTCTAATTTTTAACTTCAAATTTTAACACTGAATTTCCTGCTTAAATATCTTTGTGGCCTGTTGATGGCCCAAGGCCGCCAGACCTGGGTTTGGTCTCACCTTAATAAGTTCTATATAGCTCATCTAGCATTTTTGCTTAGAATGGGTGGGCCCATCACAACCTTTATTTTTATCTTTGAGGCCTCAACCCCAAATTGTATTAATTTGCTACATCTGCCCTAACAAAATACCACAGACTGGATGTTACAAGCCTAAACGAGAGAAATTTATTTCTCACAGTCCTGGAGGCTGCAAGTCCAAGATCAAGGTGCCAGCAGTGTTGGTTTCTCCTGAGGCCTCTCTCTTTGGTGTGCAGATGGCTGCCTTCTCACTGTGTCCGCACGTGGCCTTTTCTCTGTGTGCACTCTCCTGATGTCCCTTCCTCTTCTTATAAGGACACTAGTCCTATTGGATTAGGGACCCCATTATAATCTAATTTAACCTTAATTACCTCTTTAAAGGCCCCAAATACAATCACATTCTGAGGTATGGAGGTTAGAGCTTCAACATATGAATTTTGGAGGGAACACAATTCAGTCCTTAACAGTGATGCAACAGGAAAAATCCCAGAAGTTTTACCTATTTTCAAACCTATTATTTTTTGTAATCTTAGCTACTTCATTTTTGAAAAAAATGATTTTATTTTTTGAAAAGGCATAAAATCATTGAATTATTAAATATTATATTTTATTGAAAATAGTGATAAAATATGAAAGCAAATTTGCAGAACAGTTTGTTCTGGTTGTCAACGGTGCTTTTAAGCTTTGTATGTCAGTGAGTGACATGTTCGAGGCTTGCTAATTGGAAACTTTATGAACTTTTTCACGATATGTATGAAGATAACCATTCCTTCATAAAGGTGACAATTCCTCCTATTTGGAAACATTAAATCCTTTTTACAAGGAATATTTTATCCATAGGGAAGGGAAGTTTTGAGATAAAGTTTGGAAAATTATTGTAAAATAATGTCTACAGGAGTTGACGAATATTTTATGCTTAATGCAAAATATTTGGTAGTCAGATATCTTTAGTATTCTTAATATTATTCTATAGTATTCTGTATTATTAAGTATTCTTAGTACTCAAAAATCCTATAAATTTCAAAGGCTTTTATCACATTTCCAGAATAGTTTTCATTTGATATGAGTATGTACTGTTTTATTATTTTTATTACTATTTATAGAATTATTTTGTAATCATTTAGGTCTTTGTGAGTCGCCATATTCTTTATGACGTGATTCCTCAGTCATCAGAAAGTTGATAGGTGTCATAAAAGCAAGCAGTATCATTCTAAAAGCAAGACTCATTGTATAGTCAGCCTTTAGGTTATGTGAGGTTATGCACAGGTAACAAATTTTGAATGGGAAGAGAGGTTAAATTTTTGCTATGTTGGTATTATTCTTCCATTCCCTTAAAATCTCTGGTTAGATTTGAGTCATTCAGTAAAAAAAAATTACAGTTAAGCATCAATGACATAAATACTTTCTGAAAAATACATTATTAGGTGATTTCATTGTTGTGTGAACATCATACAGTATACTTACACAAGCCTAGATTGTATAGCCTACTACACACGTAGGCTATATGGCATAGCCTGTTGCTTTTAGGCAACAAACCTATACAGCATGTTACTGTACTGAATACTGTAGGCAGTTGTAATGCAGTAGAAAACACTTGTGTATCTCAACATATCTAAAAATTGAAAAGGTACAGTAGGCCTGGCCTGTGGCTTATGCCTGTAACCCAGCACTTTTGGGAGCTGAGGTGGGCAGATTGCTGGAGCCCAGGAGTTTGAGATCAGCCTGGGTGACATGGCAAAACCGCATCTCTACAGAAAATTAAGAAATTAGCAGGGCGTGGAGGCATGCACCTGTAGTCCCAGCTACTCAGGAGGCTGAGGAGGGAGGATCACTTGAGCCTAGAAAGTCAAGGCTGCAGTGAGCCATAATCATACCACTGCACTCCAGCCTGAGTGACAGAGTGAAACCCTGTCTCAAAAGAAATAACAATAAAAAAGAAAACAGAAAAGGTACGTAAAAATATAGTATAAAAGATTGTTTAAATGGTACACCTGTATAGGGCATTTACCATGAATGGAGCTTGCAGGACTAGAAGTTGCTCTGGGTGAGTCAGTGAGTGAGTGGTGAGTGAATATGAAGGCCTAGGAGATTACTGCACCACTGTAGGCTTTATAAATCTTGTACACTTAAGCTAAACTAAATTTATTTAAAAATTTGTTTTGTCTTCAGTAATAGACCTTAGCTTACTGTAACTTTTTTACTTTATAACTTTTTAACTTTTAAAAACATTTTGATTCTTTTAAAATAACACTTAGCTTAAAATACAAATACCTTGCATAGCTCTACAAATTGTTTTCATCATATAATTTTAATATTTTTCTATTTTTAAAATTTTCTTTTTTCTTTTTTTACTTTGTAAAATTGTGTTTTTTTTTTTTTAAACTAAGGCATAAGCACAGATGTGAGTCTAGGCCTACAGAGTCAGAATCATCAATATTACTACCTTCCACCTCCATATCTTGTTCCAATGGAAAGTCTTCAGGAACAGTAACACTTGTGGAACTGCCATCTCCTACAATAGCAATGCCTTCTTATGGAATACTTCCCGTAGTACCTGCCTGAGTCTGTGTTACAGTTAACATACACATGTGTATATGTATGTATGTATATGTGTATGAGTCTGTGTTATAATTAACATACACGTATATATGTATGTATATGTATATGTGTATCTAAGTCTGTTATAGTTAACATACACATATATATGTATATGTATATCTGAGTCTGTGTTGCAGTTAACATACACGTATATATGTATATGTGTATCTGAGTCTGTGTTACAGTTAACTTTATATATATATAAACTTCATACATATAAATAGAATGAGTACACTCTAAAATGCACTTTATACATATATGTATAAATAGAATGGGTACACTCTAAAATAATAAAATGTATAGTATAGTAAGTTTTCACTTAATGTTGTTGATAATTTCTTGGAAACTGCAACTTTAAGTAAAATGATGTATCAGGAAATAAATTTTATCACAGGCAGATTAATACAAACAAAAGTTAAGTATCGGGGTAACCCGCCCCCGATAATTCAACATGAGTCCTTTTCTATTTTTCCTAAGTGTCAGCCAGTCTGAGAAATAAAGGGAAAGAGTACAAAGAGAGAAATTTTAAAGCTGGGTGTCCGGGGGAGACATCACATGTCAGCAGGTTCCGTGATGCCCCCGCAAGCCGCAAAACCAGCAAATTTTTATTAGTGATTTTCAAAAGGGGGAGGGAGTGTACAAATAGGGTGTGGGTCACAGAGATCACGTGCTTCACCAGGTAATAAAATATTACAAGGCAAATGGAGGCAGGGTAAGATCACAGGACCGGGGCGAAATTAAAATTGCTAATGAAGTTTCAGGCACACATTGTCGTTGGTAACATCTTATCAGGAGACAGGGTTTGAGAGCAGACAACCAGTCTGACCAAAATTTCCTCGTCCTAATAGGCCTGGGAGCGCTACAGGAGACCAGGGCTTATTTCATCCCTTATCTTCAACCGTAAAAGACAGATATTCCCAGAGCGGCCATTTTAGAGACCACCCCCTAGGAACGCATTCTCTTTCTCAGGGCTGTTCCTTGCTGAGAAAAAGAATTCAGCGATATTTCTCCTATTGCTTTCGAAAGAAGACAAATATGGCTCTGTTCTGCCCAGCTCTCAGGCAGCCAGACTTAATGGTTATCTCCCTTGTTCCCTGAACATTGCTGTTATCCTGTTCTTTTTTCAATGTGCCCAGATTTCATATTGTTTAAACAATTTGTGCGGTTAACGCAGTCATCGCAGGGTCCTGAGGCGACATACATCCTCAGCTTATGAAGATGACAGGATTAAGAGATTAAAGTAAGACAGGCATAGGAAATCACAAGAATATTGACTGGGGAAGTGATAAATGTACATGAAATCTTCACAATTTATGTTCAGAGATTGCAGTAAAGACAGGTGTAAGAAATTATAAAAGTATTAATTTGGAGAACTAATAAATGTCCATGAAATCTTCACAATTTATATTCTTCTGCCATGGCTTCAGCTGGTCCCTCCATTCGGGATCCCTGACTTCCCACAATAGTTAAGTTCTGATGGCATGATTCTGGTTACAAAAACATCACCAAACTTCTAATTGAAGACCCAGAACACTTCTGTTATTAAACATTGAAATAAATGTGAGGTACACTTACATTTAAGAAATACTTTTTAAAAAATAAGAATTATTTCCCCAGTTTTTGGTAAATAGTGAGTGATGGCTGTCATAGTGGTAATGGGTTAAATCAAGGAATAGGTATTTGTGAAGTAAAAGTTGTCAGCAGCACCTCTTCCCACCACATAGTTCAAAATCAATGGCAAATACGGTAGGCTTACTGAGTGCGTTCCTACTGCATCGTTTATTGTCATGCATCTGTAGGATTACCGTCTACGAATTTTTATTTTACAATCATTTGTATTCATTCATTTATTCATTCATTCATTTTCTAACCTGCCTTTTCCAATTCAGGGTCGTGAGTGGCTGGAACCTACCCCAGCAGCTCAGGCACAAGGAGGGAGTCAACCCTGAGCAGGACACTATTGCACCACAGGGTGTACTTACCCCCATGCCCACACTCACTCAGACTGGGAACATTTAGACATGCCGATTAACCGGTCATGCCCATCTTTGTACCCAGAGAAAACTCATGCAGACCTGGGGAGAAGGCACAAACTCTACATAGACAGTGGCTCTGGCTGGGAATTGATTATTTTTTTCTCATCAGCGTTAGAACAAAATGACCTTGAATGAAATGTCGTTATACTTGCTGTATAGTAACTACATAAACCAGTAACATAGTCATTTATTATTGTTATCAAGTATTATGTACCGAATCTAATTGTGTATGCTATACTTTTATAGGACTGGAAGCCAGTAGGTTTGTTTACACCAGCATCACCACAAACACATAAGTAATATGTTGCAGTAGGACGTTATGATGGCTATGACATCACTGGGCAATAGGAATTTTTCAGCTCCATTATAATCTTATAGGACCATAGTCATATATGTAGTCCCTCAGTGACCAAAACATCATTGTGCAGTGCATGACTGTAATTGAGCAACTACTAGTTATGTAAGCTGCCAAATAGAGGGAATAATGTATGCATTAGGCATCAGACAATATAGCCTCTATAAAATAAACTTATTTTTTCATAATTCAGATAGAAGATAGGTAAAAAGGGTTACTGTGTTTTATACATTTTATATATATGTATATATACTGTGTTATATGTATATACTGTGTTTTATATATATATACTGTGTTATATATATATATATTTTATTGTCTCTATAAAATAAACTTCCTTCTTTCATATTTCAGATGAAAGATAGGAAGGATTACTGTGTTTCTTGTTGGTTTATCCTGTGTGAGGTACCCTTACAGTACAGGGTGGACGTTGCAACTGAGCACCCTGAAGCCGGGGATGGTAAAACTCTTTACACATAGTTGAATGGGTTTTGCTTTTAATGCCCATTAAAAGCAGATGCTGCGCTTGCCAGTAAACAGTATTCTCATCTCCCACCCTTTCTACTATACATCAATATGTGATAAAGTTGTTTTGATGTAATTTCCTCAGGGGTGACTACCCTGCTTTCATAAATCCATCCTCATAATAACAGATTAAATTGTTTTCTTGGTATTCTGTCACAAGTCAATGCTACATTTCTTTTTTTTTTAATGTTGTTGTAGGCCTTTGAATTATATCCTGTGTAAACAGCAAGTGATTTCATAGTTGAATGTGCTTAAAATTTTTCAGATCAAAGTCCTCTCTTCCATGCTTTATAGGATGGAGTTCTGGAGCCCTAAGTATTTTTTCAGACATTTAGGCTAAACCAAACTGCCAGTGAGAACAGTCTGGATGTCTGTAAGCATCCCTGACCCTTAACATCTTGTAGATGAACAGTGGCCCTCCATGGGAGAAAACTGTTTAAATTCATTCATTTCTATAACAAATTATACACTTTGGATGTGTCTGATGTCTGAAGCTCTGAGATTCTATGGGTTTTAGTTAGCAAATCAGTATACCTGCATGACAGATTTTTATCAAAGACTTCTTTCTCTATTTTATTTCTTCCAGAACCTTTCACTTCTTTCAGAGGCCTCACAATACCTCTCAGAGGTTTAGACAATTTATATTTAAGAGACACACTCGAAGGGACCTTCAGTGATCATCCTTTCCTATTGCCATGTTAGGCTTCTCTCTGACTGCAGCAACTCATCTTCCTTAATCAAGGTTTATAGTATGATTATCTCAGCTTGGTGTATTCCATGCCTTTTGATCTTTTATCCTTATGTTGGTAGGGCAGTAGTATATGTACTTTTTATTTTTGTAATCTCATGTGTGTTTTGGAAATAGGTGTGAATTGTAAGCCATAAAAAGATTGCAGAAGAGGATTCATTTAATTTAGGATTAACTAGAAATATTTTTAATTGACTGTTTCCTGTGGAAAATTCTTCTCTAATATAAATGTAAGTAGTTCTAGATCATAGTTGAGTATTTTTATTGTTATTTGATGACTTGGAATTAGATCATCCATCAGTATTTTTTTTAGTAACTTCTAAATAGATACTGAGTAATACAAAGAAATGAAAAATTAAACATCTTGATTTTAAGGAGTGTGTGATTTAATTGAGGAAGTAGAAGATATGTTGTATATATTCTACAATAGTGCTTTAAATGAACAATAAAAACATCCAGTCAGTGGTAACTAACAAGGAGGGAAGAAAACCAGCCTGGATTATGGTGGTCAGAAAACACTTTGTGGGAAAAATAAGATTGGAGACAACATTAACTTGTATGGAGAGGAAAATCTTTTAAGTGAGTTAAGGACATGAGCAAAAACACGGTAAGACAGAGTTATCTGACAGAGCTATCTGTAGCTAGAAGAGATTAGCAAAAGATACCATTGAAAAAGTAGGTTGAGGTTAGGTGGTATAGGGTCTTGAATATTAGTGTTAAATTAATATTTATATATAAATAATAAAATGTTTAAGAAAGATCTCACATAATAGAAGCAGTATGTTAGGCAGTGCTGTGTAAGATGGTTAGATGGGAAGATGCTACATGCAGAGAGAACATCTAGAAGGCTAACAGAAATCTAGGTCATAGTCCTATAACCATCTGTATCAGATAAATAGTGGACAATGAAAATTTTTTAAATTGTTGTAAATATATACGTAACATAGCATTTACCATTTTAACCATTTTTAAGTACAATTCAGGGACATCAAGTATAATCTCAGTGTTGTGCAACCATCACCACTATCCAGTGCCAATACTTTCTTTGTCATCATTCCAAAAAGAAACTCATCATGGGATTTTAAAGGAAGGTTACCAGAGACAGACAGAAAACATGAAGAGAACATCGTAGCTGGTAATTATTAAGATAATGAGGATGGCCAGGCATGGTGGCTTACACCTGCAATCCCAGCATTTTGGGAGGCCGAGATGGGAGGATCACCTGAGGTCAGGAGTTTGAGGGCAGCCTGGCCAACATGAGGAAACCCTGTCTCTACTAAAAATACAAAAATTAGCCAGGCGTGGTGGCAGGTGCCTGTAATCCCAGCTACTCAGAAGGCTGAGGCAGGAAAATCGCTTGAGCCAGGAGGTGGAGGTTGCAGTGAACCGAGATCGCACCACTGCACTCCAGCCTGGGCAACAGAGCAAGACTCCATCTCAGAAAAAAAAAGAAAAGATAATGAGGGTAAGAAAAGTCAGAGGTTTTGAGATGACCTGAGAAACTGTGTTAGGAAGGGGTAGTCTGGTGGCCTGACCCTGGTGTCTGTACCTTTGATGGGGTCCACAGAACCACATGATGGCAGAGGGCCAGTTTATCAGATGGTTGTGAATACATACTAATAATGAGAAAGAAATTTGTGAGGTGAGTTGTAGTAGCACCAGGGAAAGATCCCTGCAAACTTAGTGTTTAGATAAGGCCAGAGGCAACTACTGTTCCTTTGTCTTCAGTTATTCAAATCTTTTCTTTTCTATCTGTACACAGGGTAGCACCTTTACATTTTAAAGTGCTTCAGCTCCTCAGACCTGATCTTTTGTCCTGAAAGGAAGAGACAGTCTTCAACTTTCTAGGAACTTTCTGTGGCTGCCTAATGCTCTTTCCCTACCTCCAGGCAAATTTGGGACTTAGCCCAAAGGCTTAGGTGCTGTCTGTTACACTTGGTAGTGTCAACCTTAAATGATGAAATTCAGAAAATATGATTAAGTTTAGAGTTTATTCGGTACAAAGCCTGGGGATAACCACTCGGGAAACACAGACTCCAAAGGAATGGGGACAGAGGTTCAAAGTAGAGAGGTTAAAGTTTTACTTATATAGGCAGAGGCAGAGTAGTTTAGCAGGGTTACAAATTTTTCCATACAAGGTCAGTACATACTGTATAGAGGACCCCTGACATAACTATCTCCATCCTAGAAAAAGACTCTTATTTTATATTTCACAGGACACATTGCCGACAAGGATAAGATCCTTTGCTTAATAAACAAATAAAAAATAAAGACTGTGTCCAACCAGATATGGACACAAACAGGCACCAGTTCCTACCAGTTCTCACCAGAGGACTCTGACTATAAAAGATTAGGTCTTCAGTAGCTCAAAAGGGCCGTCTTAACTGACACTGTTTTGTAGTTACTCATGATTAAGAGCTTGGCATCTGTTGCAGAAGGTTCTGCCACCTAAAATACTCTTCCTTGCAAGACCAACAGACCGCTCAACCCAGACTAGGACTCCTTTGGTCTTCTTCACTCTCCCTGGACTGGTTTGTCAACCCTTTTCTCCTGTCTCTTCTTCCTCTTGATATTAAATGTTACTTTGTTGTGGAATGTTTAACGTTATTTATATATTGCTGAAGTTTACTATTATATATGGTTTGCAATATTGACTGAGTTGTGAAGTGGTTTGAGCCTGTGTCCCCACAACTCTGACTACCAAATTAACAGGAAGTACTAAGGAAAATTGCCTTCTTGGGAATTCCATGTAGCTCATGGCTTTTGTGATTGGAATAACATTAATAAAAGCCTGGCATTGTGGAAAGACACAGACATGTGTGGATCTGGTTTTCTCTAACCTTGCATAGCTCATAGCACATACATTATAGCAATTTGATTGATTATAGCTTATTACAGCCCAAGGAAGACTGCTTTAACATTCTGTAAGGAGAGGTAGTGGCGTTGAAGGGAGTCTTATCTCTGGTACCTTTGGGTCTTTCCTAATCATCTACAGTACAAGAATACAGAGGAAAGTTAATCTGTAATCAGAGAAGCAGAAGTTGCAACTGCATGCTACGTGACTCAGGCCACATATTCTCATTTCTCTTAAGGTTCAAGTAATTTAAAGTTCCAACAGCTTTTAGTTTTAATTAATTTAATTTTACAGTAGGATCTGATGATTTCGTGGTGGAGACTTTATTAAATATCTGTCTCAGAGATCGTGTTTTGTTTTGTTTTTTTTAAAGAAAGGGGAAAGATCCTGATGTGACATCTTGACAGTTGATCCTTTAATAAACCTAATGGAAGTTAACAAAGGAAGATTATTTGGGGGCCGTGACGAGGAGTTCATTTTAAATGGATGAGTAAAATGAAGGTTAGTGCTTATGAGAGGGATTAGGACTAAAGATGTGCATTTCATAGTCATCTTTGTAGACTCATCAGTGTTTATAATTCTGAGCATCAATTATGTTTGGACAATATTGTAGATATAAATAGATAACAATAAGCTAATTTTATATATTTCTTTAATCACAATTTAAGTGCCTGTTTTGGGTCAAGATTTTGCCTAGGTGCTTTACTTGTGTTTGTGTTTTTATCTCCATTACAGCTATTCCTACAAATATTTCATAGATAAAGAAAGTGAAGCTCAGCTCAGTGAGGGCAAGTTACTTGCCAAAGAACAAGCAGGTAGATTGTGCAGAGTTGGGATCTGCCTGGCTCCAAAGCCTAGCCTTTTTATTTTATACTGCTTGTATTAATCAGCTAGGGCCACCATAACAGAATAATACAGACTGGGTGGCTAAAACAACAGAAACTTATTTTCTCACAGTTCTGGTGGCTGGAAGTCCAAGATCAAGGTGCTGGAAGTAGTTTCTGGTGAGGGCTCTTTTCTTTCCTTGCAGATGTCACTTTCTTGCTGTGTCCTCACGTAGCCTTTTGTCTGTGCTGGAGTACTCCTGATACCTCTTTCTCTTCTTATAGGGACACCAGCCCTATTTGATCAGGAGCCAACCCTTGTGGCCTCATTTAACCTTCCTTGCCTCCTTAAAGGTGCTGTCTTCCACTGTGGGCACATTGGGGGCTAGGGCGTCAATCTGTGAATTTTGGACAAAATTTAGTCCATAACACTGTGCTTTTTAAAATTTATTAAATTTGATAAATGTTTGAGTGAAAAACAGTAAAAAAGCCTGCAGTGGGATGTTAATTAGATAGTCTCTGGGGTATAAATTATTATAGCATTGATCTCCGACAGATCTCGGAAATCCTTAATGTCTAGTGAATTTAGAAGTAAGGAAAAAGTTTAAAATAAATGAAATGCTGTGGAAAAAAATGATACTGAGGTGTTTTTTGTGTTTAATATTGATCCTTTTTGAGAATATACTTGTTCGAGTGACTGATGACAGTAATGGGTGCCGTTAGGTGACTACTTATTGCTTAGTTTAATACCTAGTAGATATTTTACTTATATAATCTGTTTTAATCTTAGCACCAGCTCTAATGTGATATTGGCAGTATAATCTCCATTTTGAAGAAAGTGCTTATAGCATGTGCCTTAGAGCATAGGCTTTGGCTCCATTCCAATAGATTTCAAATCTCAGTTTGCCATTTGCTCTCTGCATTAGTATGGCCAAGTTACTTACCCTTTTTGTGCCCTAGTGTATCTGTTAATGTATTTCTGTATAACAATGACTCCAAAATTTAGTGGCTTGAATCAGTAAACATGTATCTTCTCTCACAGTTTCTGTGGGTCGAGAATTCAAGTGTGGTTTACCTGGGCAGTTCTGGTTCAAGGTCTCGGGAAGTTGTGGTCAAGAGGTTGGCAGGGGCTACAGGTATGTGAAAGCTTGACTGGGGCTCGAGGATCTTTTTCCAAGGTGGCTTACTCACATGGATGACAATTTAATGCTCGGTCTTGGTGACAGGCCTTAATTCCTTTTTCTGTGGGCTTCTTCAGATGGCTGCTTGAATGTTATCTTAACATGGTAACTGGCTTCTCCCAGAGCATGCAGTTCAAGAGAGATGGAAGCTGTCCTTTTAGCTCTAGAAGACAGATAGAATCACTCTGCCCTGTTTGTTAGGGGCAAGTCATTAATCTGGTCTGTATTCAAGGGTAGGAAAATTAGGCTCCATCTTTTTAAGGGAAATGTGTCAAACTTTGTAGGCATTTTTAAATCACCACACTTAGTTTCCCTGTTAAATGGAGATAATGATACGGACAAGAGGCAGGAGAGCGGAGTCCCTGGTGAGGGCTCCACCCTCAAGCCTGGACCCATGACCCTAAATTAGAACAGGCATTCCTGTTTTTGTGCCTGAATGTTACTTTCTGGTCTATCCTGCCCCCCTATCCTGTGCCCATATGAACCCCAGACCTCAGCTGGCAGAGGGACAAGTGGTTGAATGTCGAGAGGAGAAGAAGCGACTGAGTGTCTGAGACTATGGATAGATGCGGCTTAACTTCAGAAGGGAGCCCAGCTGGAGACAGCAGAGCTTCAGGGAAAGATTACCTTCCTCCTGCACCATCCCCTGTCTAGCTCTCCTTCCGCTGAGAGCCACCTTCCACTGCTTAATAAAAAATCCGCATTCACCATCCTTCAAATCCATGTGACCTGACTCTTCCTGGTTGCCAGACAAGGACCGGGGTACCAAGAGGGCAGGGTGTAAAAGGCTATCACACTGACTCTCCACTGAGCTGGTTAACACTTAGCCGTCCATGGATAGCAACTGCTAAAAGACCATTAATTGTAACATACCCCTAGACGCTACCTTGGGGGTGGAGCCCAAAAGTGCTCGCTCTGGCCCCAGCACCTGCTTGCCTGCATGCTCCTCCTCCCACAAGGGGTTTGAGTAAGCAAGCCACACCCCTGTTGCAAGTCCCACAGTGGGGCGCAGGGAATTCTTCCCTCTCAATAGCAGTAGTGTCTACTTCCTGAGGTTATTGTGGATATTGAAAGATACTAAAGAACTTGGAATAATGCCAGTCACATACTAAATATTTAATAAGTGCTAGGTCAGTGCTTCTCAACTGTTGCAGCCTGTAAGAGTTGCCTTGGAAGGCACATAGACCAATGGAACAGAATAGAGAGCCCAGAAATAAGGCTGCACACCTATGACTATATGGTCTTCAACAAAGCTGACAAAAACAAGCAATGGGGAAGAGACTCCTTATTCAATAAATGATGCTGGGATAGCTGGCTAGCCATATTCAGAAGACTGAAGCTGGACCCCTTCTTTACACCGTATACAAAATTCAGCTCAAGATGGATTACAGACTTAAATGTAAAACCCAAAACTATAAAAACCTGGAAGACAACCTAGGCAATACCATCTGGATGTAGGAAAGGGCAAAGGTTTCATGACAAAGACCAAAAACAATCACAACAAAAGCAAAAATTGACAACTGGGATCTAATTAAACTTAAGAGCTTCTGCACAGCAAAAGAAACTATCAACAGAGTAAACAGACAACCTATAGAATAGGAGAAAATATTTGCAAACTATGCATCTGACAAAGGTTTAATATCCAGCCTCTATAAGGAAGCTAAACAAATTTAGGAAAGAAAAACAACCCCATTAAAAAGTGGGCAAAGGACATGAACAGACACTTCTCAAAAGAAGACATACATGCAGCCAATAAGCATATGAAAAAAGCTCAACATCACTGATCATTAGAGAAATACAAATTGGAACCACAATGAGATATTATCTCACCAGTCAGGATGGCTATTACTAAGAAGTCAAAAATTAACAGATGCTGATGAGGTTGTAAAGAAAAGGGAATCCTTATACACTGTTGATGGGAGTGTAAATTTGTTCAACCATTGTGGAAAGTAGTGTGGCAATTCCTCAAAGACCTAAAGACAGAACTATCATTCAACCCAGCAAATCTCATTACTAGGTATATACCCAGAGCAATAGAAATCATTTTACCATAAAGACACATGCATGTGAATTTTCATTTGCAGCACTATTCACAATAGCAAAGACATGGAATCAACCTAAATGCCATCAATGACAGATTGGATAAAGAAAATATAATACATATACACCATGGAATATTATGCAGCCATAAAAAAGAACAAGAACATGTCTTTCATGGGAACATGGATGGAGCTAGAGGCTATTATCCTTAGCAAACTAACATCGAAACAGAAAACCAAATGCTGCTTGTTCTCACTTATAAGTGGGAGCTAAATGATAAGAACTTATGAACACAAAGAAGTAAACAACAGACACTAGGTCTACTTGAGGATGGAGTGTGAGTGGAGGGAGAGGAACAGTAAAGGTAACAGCTGGGTACTGGGCTTAATATCTGGGTGACTAAATAATCTGTACCAAAAAAAAAACCATGACATGAGTTTACCTATGTAACAAACCTTCACATGTACCCCCGAACCTAAAATAAAAGTTAAAAAAAAAATTTCTAGAAAGCTTAGAAAACTTTCAGAGATCAACTTTCAGAGATTTTATTGCAGGCCAATAAAATCATTAGGGGGATGGAACATGGGCTTCCATATTTTTAATGTAATCTCCCTTCCCAATGCTTATGTCCCAACTCATCCTCAGCCCTCACTCCTGTCCATTGCTTTCTTGGTTATAAAAAGAAAAGTCATTTTAGTGTGATTCTCCTCATTTTTTCTGCTTTTAAGCTTAAAATTGGTCTCCTTAGCCTTTCTCTATTCTAACTTCCCTTTCTTTTCGAATATTTACAAAAGAGTTACAGAAGAATAAGTGTGCTTACCTGCCTTATGATTAGAAAGGAGAAGGAAAAGGGAAAAAAGAAATGAATTCAACTTGGAGTTAAGAGGAAGATTTCAAAATCCTTGCCCAAATTAATTGAAACTGTGCTTGAACTTTCTCATCGTTGGCTAAGTTGATAACACAAGATGGGCTGGATTCGGTGGCTCACGCCTGTAATCCCAGCACTCTGGGAGGCTGAGGTGGGTGGATCACTTGATGCCAGGAGTTTGAGACCAGCCTGGCTGACATGGCAAGACCCCATCTCTACTAAAAATACAAAAATTAGCCAGGCCTGGTGGTGCACGCCTGTAATCCCAGCTACTCAGAAGGCTGAAGCACGGGAGTTATTTGAATCCGAGAGGTGGAGATTGCAATGAGCTGAGATTGCACCACTGCACTCCAGCCTGGGCAACAAAATGAGACTCCATCTTACAAAAAAGAAAAGAAAAAACCAGCAGACCCTGGCCAGGTGTGGTAGCTTATGACTATATAATTCCAGCATTTTGCGATGCCAAGGTAGGAGGATTGCTTTAGGCCAGTAGTTTGAGACCAGCCTGAACAACATAGTGAGACCCTGTCTCTACAAAAAAAGAAAAGAAAACCGGCAGATCCCTACCATACCCTTTGGCAGCCCTCAGTTCTTTCTCAGAATGAATAACTTTTAATTGGTTTAGCTATTGTTTTGGTATTTGCTTCCATTTGATAATATAGTGTTAAATCTTGATTGCTCACTTTCAGATATCTCATCACTTCTGCTTATAAAATAGATGGAATTCACTCTGTTGCCTTGCCACTTACTCCAAACAATTTCTTCGAATATTGATATATCACAAATTTAGTTAAATTTATAATTAATGTGTGAATAATTACGTAAGAGGGTATATGGTGTGTGAGATATTTTCTGACAATATTTGTCTTTTTTTTTTTACATACATGTATATATATTTTTTTCTTTTTTCCCCACTCATTCTGTCATTCAGGCTGGAGTGCAGTGGTGTGGGATTCCAGCTCACTGCAACCTCTGCTTACTGCAACCTCCACCTCCCGCACACCTATAACCATGATTCTGCTGCCTCAGCCTCCTAGGTATCTGGGATTACAGGTGTGCACCAACATACCTAGCTAATTTTTATATTTTTAGTAGAGACAGGGTTTCCCCATGTTGGCCAGGCTTGTCTTGAACTCCTGAACTCAAGTGATCTGCCCACCTCAGCCTCCCAAAGTGCTGGGATTACAGGTGTGAGCCACCATGCCCAGCCCACTTACATAATTTTCTATAAACTTGATGCAGTTTTTTTTTTTTTCCAAATTGCTCCAACAACTCCACTGTTAACTTAAAAAAAAAGTAATTTATCCATTCTTTATTTCTGTGGTGATTCCTCTTTGGGGCCCTTTTTATTTTCTGCTCCCACTTGTATTGGTTGTAGATGTCATCTTGAATTTTCCCTCACCAGTGTTTTTTCCTGGACCTGCTATTTCCTGGAGTCTTTTTTCTACCCATTATGTTAAACATTCCATGGGTTCCATCAGATTGGAAAGTATTTTCTTTTGATCTTGGAAATTTTCTTGTGTTATCCTTCCTATATTATAGTTTCTTTAAATGACTTATCACTGTCTTTTAATTCTGTTTTCTGTGAAATTTCCTCATTTATTTTCCTGCCAAACCTATTTTTTTAATTTTAGCTTTTCTATTTTTAATATCCAAAATAATCTCACTTTTGATTCCTCTTGCAAAACACCATACTCTTTTAGAACATTCTCGTCTTACTTTTCTGAGGATACTAACAATGGTTTGTTGTTACGTTGTACTTAAGTTTTCTTCTTTTCTCTGTATTATCTGTTTATGGGTTTTCTTTTTGTCTTTATTCAAACATAAAGTGATTCTTAGCTGTTTTGATCTGAGGATAACATTTTGTAAATGGGATCAGGGGCTTGTCTCTTGGCATACTTCACTTTGGAAGGATTAGATAGAAAAATGAGAAATTTAGCTGTGTCATTTGGGGATGCCCAAATGTCAGTATGTGAAGATCTTTTTCTCTTCAGCTACTGAGTTCATCAAGAGCAGGGCTTGGGGGAGGTGGGAAGTAGTATGCTTACTTCCCATCAGTAAGGAAATAATGACTCCTTATTTCTTAGCAGACTTTTCACTAATCTCACATTTTCAAATGTGTTTCTCGTGCTAGTCCTTAACTATCTCAGATATTCAAGAATCCTTTGATATTACCCGGAGACTAAGCCTCAGCACTCCTGTCTGAGCACATGCCTGCCTGGATGCAGGCGGTGTTGAAGGACTTGCCGAGCCTGACAGGCTTGTAAACAATCTGTTTCCAGTCACTTGCATCCACTTCCAAATGTCTTTAAAATCTCATACTCTTCTGTTTCCTCTGCTGTTCTTTTTTTTTTTTTTTTTTGCCGTTGGGTGCTTACACTTTTTAAGTATTATTTTACTGTCATTTCAGTGGAGCCTTGGGAAGACTAGATAAACACATATAATCGGTCTGTCTCTTTAAATGGAAATTCTCCCTTGCCTTTTTTTTTTACCCCCACAACCCATATTTGATTTTAAATGAGACAGAATTTTATAATAGCAGCTGTGCAAACAACATGTGAGAGTTAAGTGCCTGTGAATTTTATCAAATGCTTATGAGCATTTGATAATTTAGACAGTAACTGTTTTTCTTAAGAAAACCACCGTAATAATAGGGCCATTTTAATCAGCACAGTGGCTAATTGTAAATAAATCTAATTTAATAAGCTAATTTGTACCTAAGCCTTAGGGCTTTCTCTTTCTTCATTATATGAGGAACTCACTAGATACCTTGGAGTCAAGCCTGTCTTTTATCTACACTATCTTGATGCCATCTGTATTGTGTTGAGATTAGCTGAGTGGTTTCGACTTGCAAATTTTACAGTACCACATGAATAAACGTTGGCCAGATACTAGTTATGAATTGTCATTTCTTGGATAGTATGAACTCCATAACAAGCATATGATATATTTCCTTCCCTAGGGTAATTTCTTTTTACTGGGAAGCTTCTTTTCTTTTGAAATTACTCAACTTACACAAATATCTGTTTCTGCGAGAAACAGAATCATTATATTAAACTACAAAATTTAACCTTTCCATTTTCAGTGTGTATCTTTTGGGTTTTCTATAAGCAATGCCAAACATATACACTATTCTTTTTTTCTAAGTAAAGACTTAAACCCAAAGCAAAATTAAAGGTTTGATGTCTACGTATTTGCCCAAGGTACCAATCAATCAGCAGCACAAAGCCTCCACTGGAATAAATTGGAAATCTGGTGGCAGGAAACCCAGGTTTCCACAGATGACTTCATACATTTTGGCAGTGTTCCAATTGGACTGCTCTCATCCAGATCCATGTGACAGGAAGAACCTTATTTGTATCTATAACCACCCATGACCTCTGAGATTGTAGGTCCTGATATAACTAGATGATCTTTTCTTTACTGGGTACACGTATGCATCTTTATTTTCCTTATATGGCTTTTGACTCTGTGAGATAGTATTAACTAGTGGGTGAGGTTGTGCAAGCTTGGAAAGGGAAGCCATGACTGAGCAAATTATTCCATATAAGAACAACTCATCTTGAAACATGATTGTGTGCACATGTGTGCGTGCATATGTACATTTGTTAAAATCTTCCATCTACTGTCATGTTTTAGGCTATTCTCTTTATCCTTGAGGACTTATTCTTTTAAAAAAATTGTCATTTTAGTGGGATATTAGGAGGAGAAGTAGGTACACTCATCTTTAACTGAAATGATCTGTCATCTTTATCTGAAAGGTCTCCTCTGACTTTCTTTTCCCATGCTTAATTTTTTCCCATGCTTGATTTTGAAGTCAACAGAATTTCTTTATAACAGCTTTATTGGTATATAAATTACCCACCATAAATTGACCTTCTTAAAGTGTACAATTCAGTGGTTTTTGATCTATTCACAAAGTGCAACCATCACCATTATCTAACTTTCAAACATTTTTATGACCCCAGAAAGAAACCGTATGCCCATTAGCAGTCACTCCCCATTCCTCCCTCCTCCCACCACCCACATCCTTAGGCAAAGACCAGTCTACTTTCTTTCTATAAACATTTGCTTCTATGGACATTTCATAAATGGAATCACACAGTATGTGGTACTTTGTGACTGGCTTCTTTGATCTAGCATAATGTTTCAAGCTTTATCTGTGGTGTCACATATATCAGTACTGCATTCCTATGGCTGGTTAATATTCTATAGTATGAATATACGATATTTTACTTATCCATTCATGTTGATGGAAATTTGGGTTATTTCCATTTTTTGGCTGTTATGAACATTTATGTACAAGTTTTTGTGTGGATATATGCTTTCATTTCTCTTGAGTATCTACCTGTAATTGCTATGTTATATTGTAACTTTATTTTGAGTAACTATTTTCTAACATAGTTTTAGAAAGATTATAGGCTTGAAGAGGAAAAGCAGGATACCCAGCAGCTCCAAGGCCAAGAAGAGGCCCATTGGGGATATTATGGAATTAATTGTGAGCTGGGTGAAATCCTCAGTAAGTTCTTTGTTTTTTTAGTAATGCTTTTATGTTGGAAGAAGAAAAGACATAGTCAACAAGTGAGTTATTTAAAAAGTATACAACTTGTATTAACAGAAAATCAATCTACATAAAAAATATTAAAAATTTGGTTAAAGAATATCAGTTGAAGGGATAGCCAGATGATTAGCTTGCTAGCCACTTAGAGCTCTGCCCTAACTCTGTCAAGCCGTGTTTTGAACACCTGCTTTACTGAACCCATGGAAATAATCAACCTTTTACAATGAGTCCATAAACAATTTGAGGCCCTTAGGGGAGAAAGGAGGGGTAAGAGGACATACAAATAGGCTTAAGTAACTCTGGGCTTGGTTTAACTCATATGGCACCAAATCCACTTACAGGCCACTTATAGCTGAGCATTTAACCAGTAGTGCCTAGAAAAAAACCAACTGGTGGTAGTATGATTTCATCTGAAACTATATATTTACTGTACTTGGCCCATTTAATGTAGTGCTAGATTGATGGAGAAAGCCTAGTTTTATTAGCTGAGATACTGCCAATATTGTTTCAGATTAGCATTTTACATTGTGTGAGGCTCTCTGTCCTATATGCTGTTTGTTTTTTCCAGTCTCCTCGGTACATAAATTCTCATACAAATAAGTTCTTCAGCTGCTAAATGCTTGTGTCTAACCTTTATTGTAGATATGAGGTTCCAGCTTTATAATTTAGACTATTTTATATTTTTATGTACACCACCTGTCCCGACTGACAAGCATTCAGTACCCAATAAATACTCACAAAATAAATATGCTGAGATACTATTTAGGCATTATCAGGAGTTTGTTTTGGTTATAGGACTAAAGTGTAAAATATCACCTAATTCTTTGTTCTTCCTGCAGGCCTTTGCTCTTGGACATACAGGTTCTCTCTGGGAACAGGAGGATCACTGTAAATATTGACTAATTTGGCAATAAACATACCTCTGCATTTTGCAGAATCTAATCAGAATGATAAGATTCGTAGTTTCACTAATAACCTCTAAGAATAGAGGGTAATTTATTAATTTTTATTAGTCACTTTATCAGTCTGCCCTTTGAGAAATTTACGTGAGGCCTCTGAGAACCATATCATGGTCATGAGGTTGTAAGAGATTTGTAAGAAACATAATCCCTCCTTTTGCATAGGAAAATGAAATTCTGTTGCCTATATAAGCTTCTCATCACTCCAAAGAAGTGATTCCAGTCTTGGGGAATGAAATGCGGAGGTAAAACCCAGTCTGATTCTGTACAGCTGGCATTTCATAATTATTTTTCTCATTCTTCTGTAAATACATATTTAGAAAGAAATATAATTCATGTTTTGTTTATTCTTATGTAGTTTATATTTTGTGCCCATGCAGCCTTATAGGTTTCTATTAAAATTTTATTTCTCCACAAGCCCTGAGAATTTACGAAGCTATAGTTTCTCACAAATTAATTAAGATTCCCACCTCTCCACTACACAACAGATTTGTTTATTGATTGATTAATTCAGGAAACATTTCTTAAATATTTACATACATGAGACATGGTGTTAGCTGCTCTGTAATAATGATAACAATAATAGCTAACTTTGTAAGAGTATGCTGATCAAATTGTATGTTATGAGGTCCTGGGCACTTGGATTTAAATTGTAGCTCAGCTATTTGGTACCTGGGTGAATGTGGACAGGCTAATCAATCTCTCTATTTCAGTCTAGTCATCTCCAAATGGGGAACTACTAGATTCCTATTGCTACCATAACAGATTACCATGAACTTAGTGACTTAATGCATTGCAAATTTATTATCTCACTGTACTGTGGGTGAGAAGTGTGTGGGCTCAACTGGTTCCTCTACTCTAAATCTCACAAGGCCAAAATCAAGGTGACAGTCTAGGCTCCTGTATGACTGTTCTGGGTGTTCTAGGGGGAATCTACTCCCAGACTCATTCATAGTGTTGGCAGAATTCACTTCCATGCAGTTGTAAGGCTGAAGTCTCTATTTCTTTGCTGGTTTCTCAGTTTCTAGAGGCTGCCCGTGTTGTCGAGTTTATAACCTCTCTTAATCTGCAAAGTTGGCAACAGCTCATTATACTATTAATATCTAATAGATTAGCAAGTTTTCATAAAACATTTTGTGAGGTTTAATGAGGCAGAGGGAGGGGGGAAGCTACTTTGACAAATCTGGCACCATGAGGCTAAGTATTTTGGTTGTCTTAATGGTTGACCTTCTCATGGCTCTGAGATATATCATGATAGAGATTAGCGTTTTGTCAGTTAGTTTATATTATTCTTTCCTTGAGGCTAAGATTATGAGTACAGTATAACTTCATGGTCATTGAAAAGTCCAGGCATGTGACAAACACTAGGATACATGTCAAGATTAGAGTTAGGTGCCATTCTGTGATATATCTTGTGATACAGGTATAGCATTGCTGATTATAATTATAATTTTTTTTTTTTTAGTGAGAGCAAATATTTGTCACATGGTTCAATGCTTGCTGCTTAACCTGGAACAAAAGTATTTATGGTACAGTTTTCGAGTGCTGAGTAGATTTGTCTGTATGCTATGTATACTGTGCTAGTTGAATGTTTGAATTTTAGCTTGAGAAATGGGTCAAATGAAGCCAACAACAAATGAGAACTTTCAAGAAAACTTGAATAATTTGAAGTAGCACTTTTCACTAATGGAGAGAGATAGTTTTTGTCCTAAGATTGATGTCAAAGAAAATGATGACTATTTTAATTGTGAACCATTATTTCCATCTGCAAAGTTTTCTTAGAATTTTTGGACTTACGAATTATAACATATGATCCTAGTTTTTATTCCAGTTTAACAAGTTTAAAGCAGTTAACATATGTTAATACATCTGCAGAGGTGCATTTCACTTCTGTTTCTGAGGCCCTTTTATGGAATTTTATTGCTGAGTGTCCTTTCCCTGTGACCACTAAAGGAGCTTTTTCTTCTATTTAGATACTATCTGTAATCTGATTCCTACCTAACAGTAATATTCCATCCAACTCAGCAAATTCTATAAATGGACTAAATTATTCCACATTTCTTTAAAATATATTTGAAATATAGATGTACTGTATTCCTATGCTAGTTTGTCTTACTGTGTGTCTTAAAAATGCGTATCATTCTTTAAAACAATGTCTTGAGCGCTTTTAATATGCAAGGCACGGAGGGTGTTTAAAAGATGGTTGAAACTCAACCACCAACTCTAAAAGAGCTTATATTTGCCAGTTTATAGATTTTTTTTTTTACTTTGGCTGGAGACATCAACTACATTTCAAGGAGACCTTCCTGGCAATCTTATTTATAATCTCTATCACTAGCCTTCACCCTGGTCCAAGTACTCCGAATTCCCCTAGCCCTGTTACTATATTTATTGCCTAATGTCTCACCTGCTAGATGGTAGGCTCCATGAGGGTAGGCATTTTCTGTTTATTTTGTTTATGGATTTATCTCAAATGCTTAGAATGGTGCCTGGAACAGAGTAGTCACTCAATAAATGTTTTCGGAATGATTAAATGAATAAAACAACTTCCAACACAAGACAAATTTAAACTGCATTCTGAATCCGCCCCCACGTCTAACCATCCCGTCAGCATCAGCCTGATCCAGGCCCCAGGCCCTTTCCTTCTAGATGGTTACAGTAACCTCTTAAGTAATCTTGCTGCTTTCAACTGTGCCCCTACAGTCTAGACTCAGCAGAGCAGCCGGAGTGGTCCTCCAGGCAGATCATGTCTCCCCACAGCTCAAAACCCTCACACAGTAAACAAAACAAAACAAGAAAAGACCATAGCTTTTAGTCAGATTTAATCAGACAGTAATGATCTGTCCTTTCCCTCTCTGCATTGTCTCCCCACTTCATCTCCTGCTACTCACCCCACCCACCACCACTTGGCCCCAGCCCCAGGACCTCTGCCTCAGGCCCTTTGCGTGTGCTGTTTCCTTGCCTACTACACACTTCCTTATTTATTTCAGCTCTGCTCAAATGTCATGGTATCAGAGGGGCCTCCCTGACCATATTGAGTGAAATAACATCTTGTACCCTGACATCACTCTGCTTTACTCCACTTTATCCTGCTTTCTGTTTCTTCATAGCATGTATGTTACCACTTCACATATATTTTAAACATTTTTTAATTGTCTGTCTTCCCCTCGATTAGAATATGTTTCATAAAAGCATGGAGTTTGCTTTTGTATTAGTCAGGGTTCTCTAAAGGGACAGAACTAATGGAATAGATGGGTATTTGGCTTATTAAGGAGTATTGGCTCACATGATCACAAGGTGAAGTCCCACAATAGCCCATCTGCAAGCTGAGGAGCCAGGAAGCCAGTCCGAGTCCCAAAACCTCAAAAGTAGGGAAGCCCACAGCACAGCCTTCAGTCTGTGGCTGAAGGCCCAAGAGCCCCTGGAAAATACAAGGGTCCAAGAGTGGGTCTGGTGTAAGACCAAGGGTCCAGAAGCTGAAGAACTTGAAGTCTGATGTTCAAGGGCAGGAAGCATCCAGAACGGGAGAGAGATGGAGGGCAGAAGACTCAGCCAGTCTAGTCCTTCCATGTTCCTCTGCTGGCAGCTGATTAGATGGTGCCCACCCAGACACTGAGGGTGGGTCTGCTTCTCCCAGTCCACTGACTCAAATGTTAATCTCCTTTGGCAACACCCTCACAGACACACCCAGGAACAATACTTTGCATCCTTCAATCCAGTCAAGTTGACACTCAATATTAACCATCACAGCATTGTTTAATGCCTTCCCCATGGTGGTAAAGAATGTTAGACACATAGAAAGTGTGTGATAAACAAATATACTGTTTGTATATTTGTGCAACAAATATACTGTTTGTATATTTGTGCAACAAATATACATTTTGGGTGCATGTGTGCAACAAATATACATTTTGGGTGTGTGTGTGCAACAAATATACATTTTGGATGCGTGTGTGCAACAAATATACATAGTGTGCAACAAATATACATTTTGGATGTATGTAAACAAAAATAGAAGCATTGCAAACTTTTATAATGTGAGACCTTAAGTGAGCCATCATAATTATCAATATAAATACGAGAACATGAATGTATAAGGCAGTGTTTATTGTATTTAGATATGAATAAATCAAAAAATAAAGCCATAGCAAAGTAATTATTAGGAAATTTTTTTTTTTTTGACAGGGTCTCACTCTGTCACCCAGGCTGGAGTGCAGTGGTATGATCATGGCTCACTTCTGCTTTGACTTCCTGAAGCTCAAGCGATCCTCCCATTTCAGCCTCCCAAGTAGCTGGGACTACAGGCATGTGCCACCATGCCCAGCTAATTTTTGTATTTTTTGTAGAGACGAGGTTTCGCTATGTTGCCCAGGCTGGTCTCAAACTCCTGGGCTGAAGCAGTCCGCCCACCTTGGCCTCCTAAAGTGCTGGAATTACAGGCATGAGCCACCACACCCTGCCAATTATTATGAGCCTTCTTTCTCGCAAGCGTCAGAAGGCATCTTCCTAATAGGCACATTTGTACCACCACTGCCCCCATGCTGCTACCCTAGGCATTCTTCTACAAGCCTCCTCTGAAGGTGTTGAGCAATTATTATTCTCATATGTAGGAAATCTTATTTGTAGGGTTGCAGCAGGCTGGCAGTAATGGTAATATTTACCAGATATTTCCAGAAACACTTTACAAAATGCAGATACATAATTAACCTGTATGAAAAGAGATGAGGCAAAATGTCATGCTAATAAATTAAGGTCTTTACTGTACTGTCAGTATATTTGAACAGGGATTCAAGAAGTAAATTATAAATGTAGGTGTGCTGCTGTCAAAGCCGCTGATGTAGAGGACGCTCACATCCTTGTCCAGTGGGTGAATCCAGGAATCGATGAATCTGTCTTCCATCACAGGAAACAAAAATGCTGTGGAAATGGAAGGAGGTAGATGGAAGATATTTCTCAGTTACTTTTGACTTTTCAGAGTATATTTTGTGATTCTTCCATTCAGGCCATGAATGATTTTTTTTTTTTTTTGAGGCAGGGTCTTGCTCTGTCGCCCAGGCTGGAGTGCAGTAGCATGATCTCAGCTCACTGCAACCTCCGCTTCCCAGGTTCAAGCGATTCTCCTGCCTCAGCCTCCTGAGTAGCTGGGATTAGCCACCATGCCTGGCTACTTTTTGTTATTTTTAGTAGAGACAGGGTTTCATCTTGTTGGTCAGGCTGGTCTTGAACTCCTGACCTGGTGATCTGCCCACCTCGGCCTCCCAAAGTGCTGGGATTACAGGCGTGAGCTGCCGCGCCCAGCCGCCATAAATGATTTTATGTCATTTTGCTAAACATGAAACTCTCTAAATACATCCGTCTCCCTTCCCATTGTTTGGCTGTTTTATTTCCTGGAAAAATTGTTTATCGTATTTCAGAAATTGGAAAATGATGAAAATGCTGCTGCTTTTTCAAAGATGTTATTGTCATAAATTCACAACTATTTTGAATCTTCGTTTTATTAGACCTGGTATCTTTACACATTGCCTGCCTTATGGTTTGAGGTTTCATTTCAGAGCCAGAAGGCCAGAGGCTGATTATCAAGGCTGTTGTAATGCTGTTGCTTGTTACCTTTAAATGCTGACAATCAGACCACAATTTTAAACAGAGAGCAAACACCCATGAAAACATCCCATAGACTCACTTTGAATTAGTCACCATAAAAAAGAAGGCAGAACATTTTCTCTTGGTTCATTATTTGTTTATTTTCATAATATAAAGGCATGAGAAATGGGTATCTCCAATTAGTTCTTAATCACTCCAACTTAATTATTTCATTATCTTATATATCCCTGCTATTTAAGGTCATAGTGCAGTGGAAAATATTATAAACAACACAACGTAGGTCACATAAGTAGTAGGTAGCAGAACCAGGTTCCTCACCCCAGAAATGACTTGAGCCTTCATTCTGATCTTGTGCTCTGAAGCCTCTCAATGTCACTGTGTCTGATTTGCTATATGTTTTCACTTCCTGTCAGTAGCATTATGTTATCCAGGTGCTTTGTAACACTGATTAATTCTCTGATTTTGTATCTCATTTCCCTCATTTTTCTGTTCTTCACTTAACTGGCTAAAGCTGACTTATGTAGGCAGTACAACTGCTTATTAATTATAACTGAATTACATTTTTATTCTCTTAGATGTCTGTTAAAGTAATGGATTGTAGTCATTCCTCTAAACTGCTGTATTTGTTATAAAATATTTTTATTTTCTTCTGAGAGAAAGCATTATACAAAGTCACAAAACTTAGCAATTTTACTATATTTAAGTATTGGCAAAACAAATCTTTGAGACTTGAGAGAAACTTCTCATATGTATGCCTATGAATTTTGATATATTGTTAGACATTTTGGGGTGTATGCTGGGTTATTCGTCTTTTGTATGAGAAATATATATCAAATTCTGAACTATATGACATGTTAGATATTGTTAAAGAAAAAGTTATTCTGGCCGGGTGTGGTGGGTCACGCCTGTAATTCCAACACTTTGGGAGGCCCCAGCCTGGCCAACATGGTGAAATGCCGTCTCTACTAAAAATACAAAAATTAGCCGGGCATGGTGGTGTGCACCTGTAATCAATCCCGGCTACTCAAGAGGCTGAGACAGGAGAATCGCTTGAACCCAGGAGGCAGAGGTTGCAGTGAGCTGAGATTGTGCCATGGCACTCCAGCCTGGGTGACAAGAGCGAGACTCCTTAAAAAAAAAAAAAGAAGAAGAAAAAAAAGTTATTCATTCTGACACTTGTTAAAGAATGGTAAGGCAATCTTTATTCAGGACTATTATGATAGCTAGAGGGACTACTGCATTTGGGGTTTTGCAGCTTGGCAGAGAGATTGGGCTCAACTTGGAATACAAGGGAAAGTGGGAATTACATGACCATATACCAGAGTTGGGATAGGCAGCAGTCAGTGGGTGGAAAATTACTAACAGGAAACCTCAAGGGTCAGGACAGATTATGGCTAAACAGACCTAACAAGTTTCTTGCTGAAGGCAGGCTAAGGTGATCAGACATCATTTGGAGGATGGTGGGAAATGAGTAATTTGGTCAGATATGGAGGGTTATCAGATAGGAAGGGTGGGGATCTTGGCTGAACTGACTTAGCAGTATTCTTACTAAAAGTGGACTCTTGAGGACATGCCCAGAACAGGGCTTAGTTGAAAAAAAGCTCAGAGAAGTCTGACTAGAGATTGGTCAAGGAGATAATCTTTGTCAAGATTAAAAAGCTGTTTAGGAATTAAGTTTCCTTTAGTTTTCTCTGTGTACAGTACCTTGATCACTAAGTTTAGCATCCCCCATGGTGTCCCTTGAAGGTCTCTCATATCAAATTTTATTCAAAAGAATCCTGATTTTGACAAAGTTGAAGACAAAAATCAAATGGAAGATTCCACTGTGGATCAAAAACCTAACCATTGTCTTAATTTGGGGATTAAAACATTAAATTGAAACACAAACCCATTTTGTGCACTGAATAAACCTTGTGGTTTTTTAAATATTTCTTGCATAAGTTAGTAATTCTTTTTATTATTATTATTATTTTTTATTTTGAGACGGAGTCTCTCCCTGTTGCCCAGGCTGGAGTGCAGTGGCGCAATCTCGGCTCACTGCGAGCTCCGCCTCCCGGGTTCATGCCATTCTCCTGCCTCAGCCTCCTGAGTAGCTGGGACTACAGTAAGTTAGTAATTCTTTAACATAAAGTCAAATACACAAGGCCTATCTCAGTCTCTCAAGAGTTTTTTTCTGAATAAAATGTTAGAATGTATTACACCTATGGGCTTTTGTTGTTGTTACTGTGAAATATACCTTAGAACATTTTTATTCTTTTTTTTTCCAGATGGCAGAAATGATGTTCAGGAGAGTAGCTTAAGAGACTTAATAAAAGAGCTGCCAGACACCCACTACTGCCTCCTCAAGTACCTTTGCCAGTTCTTGACAAAAGTAGCCAAGCATCATGTGCAGAATCGCATGAATGTTCACAATCTCGCCACTGTATTTGGGCCAAATTGCTTTCAGTAAGTTAGTGGAGTTTTACTGTTAATATCATCATGTCCCCCTTTGTGTTTACTACTGTCTGAAATTACTGGGATGTAGAAGCATATTTCAGTCTGAAAATTCAGCCAGCTTATTTTGGAGAAGTTGTATCTTGTTCTTGGGCATGTTAGCCTTGTTTTTCATCCCAATTTGAAGAAGGTAGCTATGCCCTTTTTACAAAACTATAATTTGCAATAAATCAAATAGCCTTATTTAAAAATCTGGAAATAAGTTATATTTTAATTAAAAGGGGCATTTAAAAAATCTGTAATCAGAAATGTTGATTAGCAGAAAGAGAAGGAGTATGACATAGTGAATAATTTTTTAAATAGTAATAAAGTTCAAATTATTGCCAATAGATGGAAAATTATGAACAGACTATGCCAGTATCAGAAAAATATAACCTCAGCTTCATTTACTGGAAATAAACCAGTCTATTTTAGTAGATTCTTTGTTGCTAGCCACAGGAACTTTTGTAAAGCTTAATATTTTATTCTCCTTCTTATTCCATAAAGCTCTTTAATTTTTGATAC
This sequence comes from Homo sapiens, assembly GCF_000001405.40. Lineage (NCBI taxonomy): Eukaryota > Metazoa > Chordata > Mammalia > Primates > Hominidae > Homo > Homo sapiens. The sequence continues at coordinate 88,990,420 of NC_000004.12, read as the reverse complement.
GTGAAATGTGATCCTGCAATCCAGGGACTTTGCTTTTAACTCTCCTATTAATCACCTCTGATATCAAATACATTCTTCTAGTTAAGAGAGAGAGAACATTTACACTCCAAAAGCTCTCAGAAACTCAGCAACTTTTTTTTTAATAGCATATCTACTTCTCCACTTCATTAATATACAGGCTTATTCAGCTGCCCAGAACTAGTAATATTACAGTCTTCAGAATGACTGTCTAAATTTAGATTCTGGCTTAGATCCTAGTGACTACAGGGTTCCAGGTCATTCACAGCCTAATTTGGGTAGAAGTTCTACTGTAATAACTATCCTGATTGTAATTCTAAAGGTGTTAACTTTTAAGTAATGGCATTTCATAGGATATGTTAGGGTCTCGTGAATAAATATCTCAGATGCAGGATCCACTAATTTTTTGTCTTATTCAGAAGCTCCGTGATAGTAAAAAGTCTATATTTTTTCTTATATTTGTTCTGCCCAGTAAACCTTTGTTTGGTGACTTACATGTGAGAAAGGTGTAAGTAGAAAACTGTTGAATAATTCTGAAACCTAGATTCTAGAACAGGTAAAAATGAATTTGTAAATAGAATGCTTATTTAGTAAGCATTAAACACAGATCCATACCTCATTACTAACTTAGACATTGGGCTTGATCTGGAATTTCTGGTAATCTGCTCCAGGTAGTCAGTCAGAATATCAGTAAGTAATGAGTATTTATTATAGGTTCTAATTAGTATGGTTTTACAGTTTTTCTATTGTTGTAAAATATACATAAAATAAAATATACCAATTTAACCTGTTTTGTTCTTTTTAAGACAGTCTCACTTTGTTACCCAGGCTAGAGTGCAGTGGTACAATCTCGGCTCACTGCAACCTCCACCCTCCGGGCTCAAGCAGTCCTCCCACTTCAGCCTCCTGAGTAGCTGGGACTGCAGGCACATGCCATCATGCCCAATTAATTTTTGTATTTTTTGTAGAGACGGGGTTTCACCATGTTGCCCAGGCTGGTCTCAAACTCCTGGGCTCAAGCAATCCACCTGCCGCGACCTCCCTAAGTGCTGGGATTACGGGCATGAGCCACTGTGCCTGGCCAACTCAGGTTTTTAAACTAATGCTTAGCTAGTTTTAGTATTCTTGACAAATTCCATTTACCTAATAGATCAGTCGTTTAATGTAGCTTTTTGTTTGTTTGTTTGTTTGTTTTGAGACAGAGTCTGGCTCTGTCACCCAGGTTGGAGTGCAGTGGTGAGATCTCGGCTCATTGAAACCTCTGCCTCCTGGGTTCATGCGATTCTCCTGCCTCAGTCTCTTGAGTAGCTGGGATTATAGGCGCCCACCATCATGCCCGGCTAATTTTGGGGTTTTTAGTAGAGACGGGGTTTCACCATGTTGGCCAGGCTGGTCTCGAACTCCTGACCTCGAGTGATCCTCCCGCCTCCGCCTCCCAAAGTGCTGGGATTACAGGCCCGACCCTCATGTAGCTTTTGAAATGTATGTGGTACAACGTTATACAATAATTCATTCAAATTTTTAAATGTTACTGTCTGTTGCTACATCTTCTTTCTCTTTTCTAATGTTAATTTTGTCTTCTCACTATTTATCTTGGCCAGAGTAGCCGAGCTTTTTGTCTATTTATTATTCTTCTCAAATGATCCATTTTTAACTTTATTGAATAAATTTGCCTTAAAATTTTTCTGTTTCATTAACTCCTATTTTCATATTTATCAATTTACTAGAACTTAACTGGTTTTTTCAAGCTTTTCTCCTGTTTTCATAATATGAAAAATTTCAGTCATACAATTTGAAGGAGCATAATGATTATACATTTTCTCATTAACTAGATAAAACAAATGCATTTTATGTCTGTATATATGTAAATATGTATTTTTTGTTGAACCATTTGAAACTAAGTTGCAGACCTCAGCTATTTCACTGTTAAATACTTAATAATGCATCCTTAAAAATGAGGAATTTTTGCTACATAACCGTAATATACTTATTATGCCTAAGAAAATGGACAATTCCATCATATCATTTGGAGAGTCCATTCAAGTATCCCAATTTGTCACAATTTATTTTTCTCAGAAGACGATCCAATGCTTCATCCATTCTACTTGGTTGTTAGGCCTCTTTAGTATGTCTTAATAAAGAACAGTCCTTCCATGTGTGCACACCCATGTGCAGGGGTGCCCACACTGTTGTTTTGTTTGTATTTAACCACAACTTTTTTTTTCAACCACATTGACTTTTGAAAAAAATTTAATTTAATTTAATGTTAAGTTCCTGGATACATGTGCAGGATGTGCAAGTTTGTTACATAGGTAGACATGTGCCATGGTGGTTTGCTGCAACACCTAGGTGTTAAGCACAGTATACATTAGCTGTTTTTCCTGATGCATCCACATTGAGTTTTTAAGAAAACAGACATCATCCTGTGGAATATTGTGCAGTGTGGATTTGTCTGATTATTTTCTTGTGTGGTTAAGTCATTTTTCTGTCCTCTGAATCTACTATAATCTATAAGTCATATATAAGTCAAGTTATATTCAGATTAAGTTTTTTTTTTTTTTTTTGAGAGGAGTCTCACTGTCACCCAGGCTGGAGTGCAGTGGCGCGATCTTGGCTCACTGCAAGCTCCGCCTCCCGGGTTCACGCCATTCTCCTGCCTCAGCCTCAGGAGTAGCTGGGACTACAGGCGCCCGCCACCACGCCTGGCTAATTTTTTGTATTTTTAGTAGAGGCGGGGTTTCACCATGGTCTCGATCTCCTGACCTCGTGATCCGCCCGCCTCGGCCTCCCAAAGTGCTGGGATTACAAGCGTGGGCCACCGCGCCCAGCCTCAGATTAAGTTTTTTGGCCAGAATACCTTATCAGTGATATTGTATCCTTAATGTTGCATCCGATTAGAAGCCATGTAATGTTAAGTTGTCTCACACTTGTTGATGCTTAGTTTGCTTTGTTAGTTAAAGTCACCACTTTCAAATCTCTGTATTGTAAGGCTGTGGCATTCCCTTTGCAGTTAGCAAGTAATTCATTAGGTGACTACTTGGGCATCATGCAAATGTGTATTCCTCCCTATTCACTATCAGTTTGATTGTCTATTGAAAATCCTAGTCTGATTCAGTTTTTTCTTTTTGGGTTGTAGAATGTTGATTTTTAAACTCTACTAGTATTTTTTTTTCTTTTTCTTTTAGTGATATTCTTCTATAAAGAAGAGCTTTCCCTTGTCAGTGGGGAATGAACAACATTAAATTTTCCTGTGCTCAAATTATCCCAAATTTGGCAGTTGTGGGAGTCCCTTTAGGCTGGCAACTGTGTCCTTTTGACAAAACCCTGTAACAGTATTTCCTACCTTTTCAGCTAAAGATGATGTCTCAGGATGGAATTAACCATTTCTCCAAGGGGCTTTGGTTTCTTCTATAGAAGAATTACATTTAGAAGCCAAGATCTGGGTGCTAAGTTATTTGCATCTAGGTCTTAATGACTTCTAGAGCAAGGAAATAAAGAAAGAAATGAATACTTGAATGATGGAATGACTGAATGGAAGAAATAATGGATTTATATTGATATTTTGAGTTTAATTTTAACATTATAATAATCTTTCTTAACAACTTTGATTTCATATTTGTAACTCTATACTCTGACAGTGAAAATCTTGCTTCCTAAAAAATAAGAATATTTATTTGCTTTTCTCCACAACATAATAAAATGTGTATTTTATGTATAGATATAAATAAAGTGTCACAACATCAGGGAAACCACTGAGTAATGTTTAAGACATCCGGGCAGTCCGTACTGTCCTATATCTGGCTAAGAGAATGCATTCAAAGTAAAGGGTGGTTGTCTTCGCCATTTGGCATATGGTTGAGTTCACTTGTTTCAATCCATTTCCAATTTTAGAATGCAGAGCTTCTTTTCCTTTTCAATGTAATTTTGTTTAAATTTTTATAACACTTACGTGGCTTAAAAGTGAAAATTGGTCGGGCGCGGTGGCTCATGCCTGTAATCCCACCACTTTGGGAGGCTGAGGCAGGCGGATCACTTGAGGTCAGGAGTTCAAGACCAGCCTGGCCAACATGGTGAAACCACATCTCTACTAAAAATACAAAAATTAGCCAGGTGTGGTGGCAGATGCCTGTAATCACAGCTACTTGAGAGGCTGAGGCATGAGAGTCACTTGAACCCGGGAGGTGGAGGTTGCAGTAAGCTGATATTGTGCCACTGCACTCCAGCCTGGGAGATAGGGTGAGACTCAATCTCAAAAAAAAAAAAAAAGTGAAAATTATGTAAAGAGAAAGAGGTTTACTCAGAAGTTTCCCTTTTATCATTATTCTTTCTATACTGTTCAACCTCTTGGTGTCTTTGGAAAACATTTTTATTAGTTTCTGGCTTATCCTTCAATGTTTCTTTTGGTAAAAATAAGTGTGTATATGTAGTTACATTTTGTGTATTATGTGATGTCTATATGTGTGCATTCTTATTTCTATGTGTTCCTTACACTGTTCTTCACTTTGCTTTTTATCTGCAAATCTTAGAGATCATTCCAACAGTTTTTTTTTTTTTATTCTTTTTTGTGCTTGTGTATTACTTCATTGCTTGGACAAAGTAAGTTTTAGTCAATGGTACTTTTCTGATGGTCGTTTGTTTCCCATCTTTTACTGTTAGATATGATCCCACATCAAATAAACTTGTGCATATGTATCACCAAGATTAATTCCTAAATATGAGATTTTTGGGTCAAAGAACAAATGCCTCTATATCATTAGATAGCCCTAATTCCCCTCCACAGAGGATGAGTCAGTGTTACATGTCTGTTAGCAGCATGCAAGAGTGTCCATTTTTCAGTCTTGCCAAGAGGATTTCGCAAAAATTTTGAAGTCTTGCCAGTCTGATAGGTCAGATGTGATATCCCAGTGTGGATTTTTTAAGTTTTAAGAGTTTTATTGAGACACCGTTTATATACCGTACAATTTGCCATGTGAAGTATATAATTTGTTGGTTTTGAATAGATACAGAATTCTGTAACCATCACCACGGTCACTTATAGAATATTTTCATCACCCCCAAAAGAAATGCTGTACTGTTAGCAGTCACTTCCCATTTCTTCCCAATCACTCCCCACAACAACCTGGCTCTAGGCAACCACTCATCTACTTTCTGTGTCTAGAGAGTTGCCTATTCTGGACATTTCATATAAATGTAATCATACAATATGTGTTCTTTTCTGACTGGACTCTTTCACTTAGCAAAATGTTTTCAAGGCTCATCCATTTTGTAGCATGTGTCAGTACATCATTCCTTTTATGGCAGAATAATATTTCAGTGTAGAGACACACCAGTTGATGTGTTTATCAACTCATTAGTTGGTGGGTATTTGTGTTACTTCTAGTTTCTGGCTATTTCGAATGATGCTGCTGTGAACATTTGTGTACATGTCATGTGTAGAATTATGTGTTCATTTCTCTTGGGTATATAACTAGGAGTAGAATTGTTGGGTCTCATGGTAACTGTTTAAAATTTTGAGGAACTACCAAAATGTTTACTGAAGTGGCTGCACCATTTTACATTCCCTCATGCATTTGTTCCCTCATATATTCCCATCAGCAATGGGATGTGCTTATCATGCAAAAAGAGACTAATATAAAATAAATATTCAAAGAAAAATAAAACCTGAGGACCTAATAGGAAAATGGCAAAAGACAAAAATATATGAAGAGAAAGACACATGGCCATGTACATTCCCATCAGCAATGTATGGGCGAACCAGTTTCTCTACATCCTTGTTAATATCTTTTTTATTCCATTCCTGTGGGTATGAAACACTATTTCATTTTGGTTTTGATTTGCATTTCCCTGATTACTAATGACATTGAATATTTTCATGTGCTTATTGGCCATTTGTATATTTTTGGAGAAATGTTTATTCAGATCTTCTGCCTATTTTTAAGTTGATTTATTTGTCTTTATTGATGAGTTATAAGAGTTGTTTATATACTTTGCATATAAATTCCTTATCAGGTACAGGACTTGTAAATATTTTCTTCTATTCTATAAGTTGCCTTTTCATTTTCTTGATCATGTCCTTTTAAGTGCAGAGGTTTTTATTTTTGATGGAGTGCAATGTATCTGTTTTTTCTTTTGTCACTTATGCTTTTTGTGTTGTACCTGAGAAAGTTTTGGCTAACCAAGATCATGAAGATTTATTCATCTTCTAAGAGTTTTTTAGTTATGACTGTTATGTTTAGGTCTATGGAGCTATTTTGGAGTTAACTTTTGTGAATGGTATAAAGGAGTCTAACTTCATTCCTCTGCATGTGGCTGTCCAGTTGTCCCAGCATCATTTGTTGAAGATTGTTTTTCCCCATTGAATTATCTCAGCACTCTTGTCAAAAATAAGTTGACCACAATTATTGGGGCTTATATCTGAACTCATAGTTATATTCCATTGATCTGTATATCTATTCTTATGTCAGTACCATAGTATTTTGATAATTCTATAGCTTTTTAATGAGTTTTAAAATCATGAAGTTTCAATACTCCAAGTTTGTTCTTCTTTTCAGAATTATTTTGACTAGTCTAGGTTCATTGTATTTCTCTACAAATTTTAGGATCAGTTTGTAAATTTCTACAAAAAAGTTAGTCAATATTTTGATAGGATGTTCTGTTGAATCTGGAGACCAATTTGGAGAGGACTCTATTGCCATTTTAGCAAAATTAAATCTCCCAATATGTGAGCATGAAATATTTTTCCATTTACTTAGGTCTTTAATTTGTTTCAATACTGTTTTATGGTTTTCAGGGTACAAGTTTTGCAATTATTTTGTTAAATCTATTATCAAGTATCTTTTTCTTTTAGATGCTATTCTAGATGTAATTGTTTTCTCAGTTTTATTTTCAGATTGCTCATTGCTAATACCAATATAGTTTTAATTTGCATGTGTTTTCTTATAAATGAAACTAAACATTTTTACTTGTGTTTAAGGGCCATCTGTCTTTTTCCTCATATACCTGTTTGTATCTTTTGCCATTTTCCTATTAGGTGCTCAGGTTTTATTTTTCCTTGTTGAATACTTATTTTGTTTATTTTTAGTCTCTTTTATCCATCATAATCACACTTAAAACTCTAATTTTCCTCTCAGTATTACTTTGTCTCCTCATTTTCACTATTATTTTACCACTTGATATAATAGGTTGGGTTATCCAAGGTATAACTCTGAGACTAAGTTTTCAAGCAGAAGTTTTATTGGGTAGTACTTTTTGGAACCATTCTTTCCTTATACCTATAAGGAACAGAGGAAGGTAGGATTAGGCAGAAGTTGAACTGCCATCAAGTTGTAACACAGGATTCACTCAGTCCCAGGGGAGCTGAGAAGATGGGATGACCTTTCAGATAAATCCCTAGTTGAGTCAAAGGGTTTAGTCTCCTTACCCCATTTCCATCAATCACTGGAGGTGAGCTGTGCCAGGGACATTGTGTAGTCTCAGAAGAAGGACTTAGCCATGAGCCATAAGCAGGCAACACTTTGAGTGAGATTGGGTGGATAATGAATACTTCTGGCATGAAGGAGACACCTGGGCATCACCTCACAGAGTCACTACATAAATATTTTCTTTTAAAAATTCATTAAACCTTGGACTGTGAGCTATATATGTTGTATATGATTTTTCTAAGGAAATCCCCAATATCCCAGTTTCTAAGGCAAAAGTCCTCTGAATACTTTATCATTCTTAGAAATTAGCAGGAATTGCTTCTGTAAGTTTTGATAGTTATTAAAATGAGTATTGGATTTTCAGTGGTTTGGATAGCATGACGTATAAAAGGAAGTTAGTCTAGTTCTTATTCTGCCCATTAGTAGTCCTTATTCTACTAATGCAGGTAGATTTGGCCTGCATTATTTTCCTGTTAAATTTTTGTAAAACAGGACCCACAGAGTTTGCTTTGAAATTTAAGTGAGACTGTAAGAGAAAGTCCTCATACATTGTAAGCAATTGGCAGAGTTAGAATCCATGTGCATTTAATTAAATACATTTAAAATTGCATTAAGGGAAAGATCAGGTTTTATGGGCTCTGCCCATCGTACTAGTTAATGAACTGGGCTCTTTAGAAACATGAGATGGAAGACATGACATTGCTCTTAACCTCAGTTGTCATAGTTCTCACTTAGAACAAGCTTCTTACAGTATTGAGTATGCTTGTTAATATTTAATGGAATAGAAAATGTTCTTACCCAGTAAAATTTCTCAACACAAGCCAACTTCTTCAACTTAGTACTTGTATCAGACACCTTCTGACCTCCTCAGATTGCCTTGGCTCTACCCGCCTCTCAGACCAATCTGCTTCCACCAGGCTTGGACCTTTCTCCTGCCTTGGGAATGCTAGATTCTTCTTCTTGGCTTCTGCCTTATAGCTGGGTCAACAAGCCACCTGCTCAGAGTTTCTGGCTTCTGCCATCACTTTTGAACCCTAGACTCGGATCTTAATTCCTGATAGGGTATCAGAGGCATGGGATATGGCAACCTGGAAATCTAGAACAGTTAAATAAGAGTCAGGAAGAGACATGGACTTTTTTTGTTCTTCCCATGGAACACATTTCTTCATCCCATGGCTTCTCCTTGCAGCTTATCTGGGGAATTCCAGACTGCCAAGCAAAGCATCTGTCGAGCAAACTGTTATGTGTCTTTGTAGTTCTTTGTGAAAGAGCTATGCATACTTTACATTATTTCATATCCCTGCTTGCCTCCTTTTCTCACCCACCCTGCCTGGTATCCCTGCTGTCAAAATAATACACCAACATCCTCATCATTGCCTTGTTTTCTTTGGGTTTCTTGAGGATCTGCTCTAAGGCACTGTGTACCTAGTGATGTAGCAGACAGTTCTAATACATTAGGAAAATCTATTTTCTTAAGATTAGGTGAGAGATTTTATACTTTAAGAATATTTAAGGATAACATTGGGTATGCATGAGATTCATTATATTAGAAATACCTAAATATTTTTTATTTGCCGTTGTTTAGAGTGTATTTAAAAATCTGATTAAGTGATATTGATGCACGGACCAAAGCCTCGGCTTTTGGTTCTGGGTTTTTTGTTTGTCTGTTAGTATTCTTGGCACTTTGCATTAAACTCATTGTGCACACTTAGTTTGTACAATTTGATAACATGTATGTCTTTAATTTCTAATAATTAAATTTGCTATTGCTACTGATGAGTAAGTCATTTTGGTCAAATTTTGCTTCATATCTCTGCGTCTTGTGCCTTTCGTCTATAGATAGGTAAATTAATTCTATTCCTTGAAACAAGTGTTTCAGTACTAACCAATAAGATAAAAATAATTTTGTAGGTATTCCTGAAACTTTCAAAGATAAATCAGTTTCATATTTTGAATGATAAGCCCTTCCACTTATTCTTCTATCCAAGATGTTACATTTTTTCTTAGTGGCAGCACCAAAAATGTTTAAAACTGCTATTGGTCTTCAAATCTTGCAGAAAAACAACACAATAAGTTAGAGTTTAATTTACTGGTATAATATTTACACCATTAAATATTAAATGATATCAGCTAAATTTGTAGACACGAACATGATGTATAACCAGATATTATAATGTTGCTGTCATTTTATCTGCTAACTGCTGTTAAGCAGCTATATTTGGTTTGTAACCCAAAAGTTACTTTTAGAAACTGGTAATTTGGATTGAAAAGTATAAATAGTTGAAATTTTTAAAAATCAAGCCCAAGCTGTAGGATCACATATTTATATATTTATAACCTGTTGTCTGTTTATAAAATGCAAATTTTTCCCTTAATTTTTAGCATAATTATATTTGTTATTGATATTCTCTATAAATATGATTTTGGAATATTAAAGAATGGGTGATTGGAAAGTTTGGCCTTTCTCTGCCTAAATCTGCACTAGCCCTATGTAGCACCTACTTCATTGCCTGTAGTTCTGTGCTGGCAATCCTACTGCCACTTGTAACTGTGATAATTGGCTTACTACTTACCATTTCTTTTCAAAATGTTTATACATTTGTTTTTATTACAAAAGTAACATATGCTCATGGCCAAACAAAATGTTTTCAAACAAAACCCCCCACAGTATAAAGATAAAAAACATCCATTATTCCACTAACCAGACTTAATCCCTGGTCACACGTCAGTTTATAAACCAGACTTAATCCCCACATGTCAGCTTATGTGCCTTCATCTTGTTTTCTCTGCATGCTCACATGACTAAAGATGGGATAATAAAGTAATACTACTTTATAACCTTTATTTAAAAACTTACTGTTGTTTATCATGGCATGTCTCATGCTTATACATGTAATTCTACATCATCATTTTTAACGACAGCATAGCATTCTGATCTTTTGAGCAATACAATTTATTTAAGCCATTTTATAAATTGCATTTAGAATGCAATTAGAAAAATTAATTACTTTTTGGTTTTTTGAGTTGGAGTCACCCAGGCTGGAGTGCAGTGGCATGATTTCCACTCACTGCAACTTCCACCTCCCGGGTTCAAGCGATTCTTCTGCCTCAGCCTCCCAAGTAGCTAGGATTACAGACACATGCCACCACACCTGGCTAATTTTTGTATTTTTAGTAGAGACGGGGTTTCACCATGTTGGTCAGGCTGGTCTTGAACTCCTGACCTCATGATCTGCTGCCTCGGCCTCCAAAAATGCTGGGATTACAGGGGTGAGCCACCATGCCTGGCCAATTAGTTTTTTTTCTTGGCAATAATAATAATAGGCAATATTTATTGAGTTCTTACTAGGTTCCTGGTAATGTTATAGATGCTTTGTATCTATTTCTTCATTTTATCCTCAAAACCCTATGAGGCAAGTACTATTATTATCTCTTCACGTGAGGAAACTTGCAGCACAGAAAGTTTAACTTGCATAAGGTCACATGACTAGTAAGAGGTTAGAGTCAGGATTCTGAATCCAGAAGGCCTGGCTCCTCAGCTCCAAGCTCTTAATCACCACTTAATAACTGTTTCCCTTATAAACAGCATTGCAGGAACTATTCTTGAACATACATTTTTCACACTTACTTAATTATTTTTGTTGGATGTACTTTTAGAATTAAACTTGCTGGTTAAAGGGTATGCGTATCATCAAATTTGTGCTCTAGAAAGGTCACACCAGTTCATGCTGTGAGCAGCAATACGTGAATGTGTCTCCTTTCCCATACTTTCTCTAGTACTCATATTATTATTTTTAATATTTGCCAATATAATAAATGAAATTGTTTCTTTTGACATTTTTGCTTATTTAATTACTGTAAGGTTAACATGTTTAAAAGCATATTTTCCCATGTAGTTCTTTTGTACATTGCTTTTCACTCTCTTCCTTGAGTTTTCTTAAGCTGGTGCTCGTCTTTTTTATGACTGATTTGTAGGAGTTCCTTTTCTTAATACAACTATTAATGTATTGTTGTGTATTGGAAATATTTCTCTGAGCTTATGATTTATTTTTGAAACTTGAAAATATTTCTCTGAGCTTATGATTTATTTTTGAAGCTTTTTAATTGTCGCCATAAGAAGTTTAAAGATTTTGTTAATTCTTTATATCAATTTGTGTTGCTTGGGTTTGATGTTATCTTTTTTTTTTTGAGACGGAGTCTCGCCCTGTCGCCCAGGCTGGAGTGCAGTGGCCGGATCTCGGCTCACTGCAAGCTCCGCCTCCCAGGTTTACCCCATTCTCCTGCCTCAGCCTCCCCAGCAGCTGGGACTACAGGCGCCCACCACCACGCCCAGCTAATTTTTTGTGTTTTTAGTAAAGACGGGGTTTCACCGTGTTAGCCAGGATGGTCTCGATCTCCTGACCTTGTGATCTGCCCGCCTCGGCCTCCCAAAGAGCTGGGATTACAGGCCTGAGCCACTGCACCCAGCCTTAATTGTGCTTTTTAAACACAACATTAGGTTATACATATTTCCTGTGTCATTCAAATCCTTTAGTTTACAGCATTTTTTTTTCTTTTACTTACAGCCAGGAATTTTTGTATAGAAGATGACAGACTTGTACTTATTAAGTTCTGTTTGTATAAAAAAGTGTATCTTTAGTTATCTATTCCTCATGGTAAATCCATAAACATAGCTGTTACTTTCAGACTTTTAAAGATTAAAAAACTGAAGTGTAGAAAGTATTATTTAGGATTACAGAGTTAAAATAGAACTTGTAACACTTCTTGATCTGTTTTAGTTAAAACTGAGAACTAGGCAAGAAAGTAATCCTTACTTTTTAGAGAGAAAAAGCCCAAACTGGTGCACAAGGATTTCTATGTTATCGTTGTCTCTTGGTGAGGTAGTTATAGGTATTAGATTGAACCATGTAAAACTGCTATTTTTCTAGTTCAAAATGGCCAAATACTGTAGTTTTATATAATACAGTCTTAGAGTAATGTGAAGTCTATTATTCCTTGGGTTCAGGTGAGAACATGAGTTTGTATCACGTAAAAAATTAAATATTACTGATTGGAGATGATATTATACATTATCCTCTAGATGTTCAGTTATTTTTTTCTGGAACTCATGATGTTTTATAACTTTATATGCTCCATATATAGTCTTCCTCCAGATACTCTGTGTGAGGAAGGATGGAGCAAACTTTATTACGCAGCTATTAGTGTTAGTAAGTATGCTTCAAGTCTTAGTTTTCAAAACAAAAAGTAATTAGAAAGGATACTTTTTGACCTTGGTCTCACTGAAAAGGAGATAGTAGAATAACCTTAGATCTACAAATGATTACTCCGCAAGCTAATTGCTTGATTGTAATATATGTGGATTAGCAATCAATTGTTTTGAAAAATATGCATTGTAATTTGAATTTCTATATGAAATAATAATGTATTTTGTTATATTACAAGGGAGCAGTGATTTTTTTTTCCTAGTAATCTCCAGTCAGTAAATTTTAGGTTAGTGCTGATAAGAGAAACGGTGAATGAAGTAAGTGATTTGCAGGTGTTTTACCTCACCAGGGTGATGCAGAGTTTTTAGAATATGTGAACTCTTCTCTGGAATAGACAGTGGTATCCCTTTATTTGCAGTTTCACTTTCTATGGCTTCATCTCTTTGCACATCATATCCACTCTGTATGTGCTACCTACCTGTTCGTTACTTAGTAGGCATCTTGGTTATTAGATGGACTGGTGTGGTATTTCAGGGCTTGTGTTCAAGTAACCCTTTTTTAACTTAATCACCCCAAATGCAAGAGTAGTCATGATGGCATATTGTTGTAATTGTTCTATTTTACTATTAGTTATTGTTGTTAACCTCTTACTGTACCTCATTTATAAATTCAACTTTATTATAGATACATATTTACGTGACATATCTCTTAACAACAGGGATATGTTCTGAGAAATGCATCATTGTTAGCTGATTTTGTCATTGTGTGAATATCATAGAGTGTGCTTACACAAATGTAGATGGTATAGTCTACTACACACCTAAGCTATATGGTATAGACTATTGCTCCTAGGCTACACAGCTGTACACCATGTTACTGTACTGAATGCTATAGGCAGTTGTAATACAATGGTGAGCATTTGTATATCTAACCATATCTAAACAAAGAAAAGGTACAATAAAGATACACTATAAAAGATAAAAAATTGTACACCTGTGTAGGGCACTTACCCTGAATGGAACTTGTAGGACTGGAAATTGCTCTGTGTGAGTCAGTGAGTGAGTGGTGAGTAAATATTAAGGCCTGGGACATTCCTGTACACTACTGTACACTTAGGCTACACTAAATTTATAACAAAATAATTGCTCTATGACATTTTGATGGCTGTGACATCAGCCGGCAATACTAATTTTTCAGTTTCATTATAAACTTATGGAACCACCCTCATATATTTGGTTTGTTGTTGACAAAATGTCATGTGGCACATGACTGTATAGGAAGAAATATACAATATATAGAGTTTGATACTATTCACAGTTTCATCCTGTATTCAGGTTCTTGGAACATATCTCCTGCAGATCATAGAGGACTACTGCATCTCTCTAGTGAATAACCAGCCTTAGTTGTTGAACGTTGCTGATGAGGCCAGAGTCAAAGGTTTCTTATTCTTGTAAAAATAATCCCTTGAGTCCATCATTATCTGTGAGAATGCAGTGATTAAGCAATAACATCTGCCTGGCAGTTAATGGTCATCAGGAGAGATATATAGTTGATCGTAAATTCAAGATCTTTTAAGTCAGCCAGTTATTCATTAAAGAGAAAGGCTCAGCCAAAACTCATCAACACTACTCTGCTAATACTATTTTTAAAAATGAAACCGCATGTTTTCTTTCAAACATGGTTTCAGAGGACTTCTACATTCACGATCTTACTTACTCCTTATATCTGTCTTGGGAAGAGAGCAGCGCAGTACATTTTATTTAACAAAGGATGACCTAAGGCTCTATAAAATGGCTGGTGGGTGGGTGTCAATGATTGGCCACAAATTATATAACTAGTTATGGCAAGACTAAGAATAAAATGTCTTCTGACTCCTGGACTGGTGTTTTGTCCTTTAGAGCACACATTTTCTCAAGATAATACTACAGATGTTATTTACTGTACCATACTTTATCTCACTCATCACGGGTTATTTGTGGAATTAATGACCTTCATTGTATCATTTGCCTTGATGTGGCCCATGTGTGCACAGAGTCCGTTGTTAAGTACAACTTTTAAAAATGGAAGAAAGCATTTAAAATGAATACTCTTTGCAGAGAAAAAGCAAATTCGGATTTTGGCAATTCTTTGTTTCTCATTTTCCATGCTTCTAAAAGAAAATTCAAGTGAATGCAAAATTATTTTAGTAATGCAGTTTGGTTGCTGTCTATAAGACTTCAAAATGAAAATTAGTACTATATGTCTTACTCAAGAGTAATCTTGAAAATGGCTATTGACCCTTTAAACTCCTTGCAGCATCATTCAGTGATGACAAGTAGAAAATTTAGGTATATACACACAAAAATAAATATATTGAGGCATGTTTATTAGGTATTCACAGAATTCAGTGGCAAATTTTTATTCCCAACATTATATGTGGGAGTATGTGTGTGCACTTATGTAATAATCTCCAGAATTATTATCTCAACCCTGTGTCTACCTTCTACTTGCACAGCTATCTTTTATTTTCTCCGACAAGGTTACTATGGAGATTCAATCTTGGGGAAACAGGATTCTGCTCTGCCCTCTGTTACGAATCAGCTTTGTGACTTTAAGAAAGTCACACAATTTTTCTAACCCTCTATTTTCTACTAGGTGATATGTGAATTTCTTTTGAGCGTTTAGATTTTTATATGATTTTATTTTTCTACAAGTTTTATCATTAATTTACTTATTTGGTAAATGTATTAAATTACCAAATATTTTTTGAGTACATACTGTATGCCAGCAGGCAGTATCCCAGATGTCAGCCAAACAACATGGTTCATGCCTTTGGGGAAGAAGGCTCCTTATGTAATTACTGAATTACAGTTGTGATAAGTGCTGCAGTGGTGTTAATAATAGAGATGCTAACTGTGCTGACTATGAATGTCTATGCCCGAGAACTAGCTTGTATTTCATTCAAACTTACCTAACTCTGAACTCTCCCCATTTTAGTGCATTCCGCAGACCCCAAGCTCTCTTCATCTCTTTCTTCTGGTTTTGATAACTTCTTAACTAGTTTCCCCTCTTTGATAACTTCTTAACTAGTTTCCCCTCTTTGGTCTCACCAACCCAAATCCAAATCCACACTGCATTATGTTTAAAATATAAAATTAGCCGGTCATGGTGGCGGGTGCCTGTAATCCCAGCTACTCGGGAGGCTGAGGCAGAGAATTGCATGAACCCAGGAGGCGGAGGTTGCAGTGAGCCAAGATCACGCCATTACACTCCAGCCTGGGCGACAGAGCGAGAGTCTGTCTCAAAAAAATTAAAAATTAAAAAATAAATCAGGTGACTTTTGGTTCCTGGTCTAGCATTTAAGGAGCTTGGAATCACCACTCGTTCCTAACAACAAGTAAAAAGCTGAACAAACTGAAAAATCAACAACACTTCTTAGATTTGGAAGAGTGTTGAGGTCACAGGAAAAACAAGTGCCCCAAAATTGGTCAGACAGACAGGCAGATACAGAGAATCACTATTTGCCCCAGTGGAAACCAGCAAGGAAGGGTAGAACAACCTGAACTGTAATTGACAAATTGCTGGAAGCTCCCGGTGGATAAGTCTGTCAGTTAACTCTAGGGCCACTGAGTCATCTGGAGAACTCCATAATTTTGGGAGTTTTGCCTCCTGAAACTCTACCCGATTCTCACAGTGAATACTGGAGAAAAATCCCTTCATGCTTCTGACATGGGGAGGAGAAAAGGAACCAATTTGAAATATACTAGAGCATTTTGCTCTTAAAGGGTTGCCTTCGAGGAAAGCTATTTAACCAGAGCCTAACCTGCCAGGGATTTCTCAGGGCCTAACTGACCTGGGGGAAGGAAAATACCCAATTCCAGCCCCATCCAGTCATCCTGTCCCATGTATGGGTAGGAAAAACTGAGAATCACTTGTGAAGTTTACAGTTGAGGGGCACAGGCTCACTAAAAGACAGACCTAATCATGGGGCTGTAGAACTCTTCCCCTCTCCTAGTACCTTGACATCACATTATTAAAGGCCAATTTACAGCAGTTCCCTTTACCCAGTACATCATGTCCAGCCATCATGAAAAAAATCACAAAGCAGACTAAAAGAAACAAAAACATAGGTTAAAGTGGCAGAGCAAGCATCAAAATCAGACTTGGATAAGGCAGGGATGTTGGAATTATCATACTATGATTTAAAACAATAGGATAAGGGCCCTAATGGATAAAGTAGACAGAATGCAAGAACAGAAGGGATTGTAAGCAGAGAGATGGAAATTCTAAGAAAGAACCAAAAGCAATGCTAGAAATCAAAATTACTGAAACAGAAATGAAGAATGCATTTAAAGGGCTCATTAGTAGGCTGGTCATGGCTGAGGAAAGAATTTCTGAGCTTGAGGGCATTTCAATAGAAACCTCCAAAACTGAAAAGTGAAGAGAAAAAATACTGAAAAACATGGAATAGAATATCCAATTACTGTGGTATAATTGTAAAAGATATAACATACACATAATTAGAATCCCAGAAGTAGAAGAAATAGAGAAAGGAACAGAAGAAATATTTGAAACAATAATGACTGAGAATTTCCATTCACTAAACCAGAGATCCAATAAGCTCAGAGAATACCAAGCAAGATAAATGACAAAAAAAAAAAAAAAAATTATGCCTAGGCTTGTCATTTCAAACTGCAGAAGATCAAAAGTTCTGAAAGAAGCCAGAAGAATAAAACACTTTACCTATAGAGGAGCAAAGAGGTAAGCTCTACATCTGACTTCTCTGAAACAATGCATGCAAGAAGAGTGTGGATAAAATATTTAAAGTGTTGAGAGACAATCCTTAAAGTAGAACGTTGTACCCTATAAAATTATACCCAAAAGTGAAGGAGGCCAGGCACGGTGGCTCACGCCTGTAATCCCAGTACTTTGGGAGGTCAAGGCAGGTGGATCACCTGAAGTCAGGAGTTCGAGACCATGCTGGCTGATGTGGTGAAACCCCATTTCTACCAAAAAATACAAAAATTAGCCAGGTGTGATGGTGCACACCTGTAGTCCCAGCTACTTGGGAGGCTAAGGCACAAGAATCTCTTGAACTGGGAGGCAGAGGCTGCAGTGAGCCAAGATCACACCACTGCACTCCAGCCTAGGCAACAGAGTGAGACTCTGTTCTCCCCCCCAAAAAAAAGTGAAGGAGGGGCTGGGTGCAGTGGCTCACACCTGTAATCCTAGCACTTTGGGAGGCCAAAGTAGGTGGGTCACTTGAGGTCAGGAGTTTGAGACCAGCCTGGCCAACATGGTGATACCCTGTCTCTACTAAAATACCAAAATTAGCCAGGCGTGGTGGCACGCACCTGTAGTCCCAGCTACTCAGGAGGCTGAGGCAGGAGAGTTGCTTGAACCTGGGAGGTAGAGGTTGCAGTGAGGCGAGATCGCACCACTGCAATCCAGCCTGAGCAACAGAGCAAGACTCTGTCTCAAAAAAAAAAAAAAAAAAAAGTGAAGGAGAAGCAGAAACTTTTTCAGACAAACAAAAATTGAGGGAATTTGTTGACAGTAGACCTGCTTTGCAAGAAATGTTAAAAATTCTTAGGGAGAAGGAAAATGGTGTAAGTCAGAAACTTGGATCTACATAAAGAAAGGAAGAGCATCAGAAGGAATGAGTTAGGGTAAAAAAAAATATTTTTCTTATCTAATGGATAACAGTTTATTCAAAATAATAATAGTAACAATATATTTAATTATGTATATATATGTGTTTATGTATGCTCACGTATAAATGACATGAATGACACAAATGATACAAGCAGCAAAGAAATAGGATTATTGTTATTGAAGGAGATGTAGAAAAGTTTTGAACTGTGGCAGCAGTCTGGTCTTCTAAATTTGATATGTGTAAATTAAAGTTTTCTTTATATTCTCATTATGTTAGGGTTTCAACTAGTTTCCTTTTCCTTGCAGTAATTTGATATTAAAAATAGTAGAAGTGTTCCAGGAGCGGTGGCTCATGCCTGTAATCTCAGCAACTCAGAAGGCTGGTGGGAGGATTGCTTGAGGCCAGGATTGCTTGAGACCAGATTGGGCAACACAGTGAGACTCTGTCTCTTAAAAGTAAAGAATAAAACAAAGCTGGGTGTGGTGGTGTGTTCTTATAGTCCCAGCTACTTGGGAGGCTAAGGCAGGAGGTTCTCTTGAGCCAAGGAGTTCAAGGCTGCAATGAGCCATGATCATGCCACTGCATGCTAGCCTGGGTGACAGAGTGAGACCCCAACTTGAAAAATATTTAAAATTCATGTATTTAGCAAAGAAAGGGTCCCAGAGCCATTTTTAAAAAGTCCCAGTCTTTCAGAACAGTTCATTATTTTAATAATTCTAAAAAGTAAATAATAAAAATATACCTAAAAGTCTATGAAGACTGCCAAATACATGCTTGAATGAAAACGAAAAGCATCACTTGAGAGAAGACAGTTTGTTCATTTGTTGTTATCCAAAAGACAGTTACTAAGCCCTAATACAAGGTAGCCTTCTATTAACTAAATTTTCCCTTTGATGACTTTTGTGCCTTTTCTTTTTCTCTTTTTGAGGCAGAGTCTCACTCTGTCGCCCAGGCTGGAGTGCAGTGGCGCGATCTCGGCTCTCTGCAAGCTCCGCCTCCCGGGTTCATGCCATTCTCCTGCCTCATGCCATTCTCCTGCCTCAGCTTCTCCTGCCTACAGGCGCCCGCCACCACGCCCGGCTAATTTTTTGTATTTTTAGTAGAGATGGGGTTTCACCATGTTAGCCAGGATGGTCTTGATCTCCTGACTTCATGATCCACCCGCCTCGGCCTCCCGAAGTGCTGGGATTACAGGCGTGAGCCACTGCACCCGGCCAACTTCTGTGCTTTTTCAAAGAACTAATTTATGGCTTTGATCATTTTTTCCTACTGTGTTATTATTTCCAAGTCATTAATTTCATCTCATTTTTATTATCCCTCTCTTTGGGTTTATTTTTTGGTTCATTTTCTAACGTATTAAGCCATCTGTCCCACAGAGTTTGCTATCTCTTGTTTCATTATCACTGAGTTCTGAAATTTTTTAAAATTTCAATTATGACTTCTTCTTTAACCTCTACGTTATTTAGCAGTGTGTTTTATTCCAAATATATAGTTGTTTACTTTTTGTTAAATTTTAATTTCTTTCTAATTGAAGATCAGTCTATATAATACTCAATTTTTGAAATTTATTAAGGCTAAAATATAGATATATCAGATATGTATTATATAGATATATCAAATATATCATCTATCAAATATATATAGTGTATCTATATATCTGATATATATCTGATTATTATGTATCATATATATATATATCTCTCTCTCTCAGATCATCTCTCTCTTGTTTCCAAGACCTTTATTTAGTGATATTTTCTTTTCCATGGCATTCAAAGCCTTTAATGATTTGGTGCTTGTATAGCCTCATCTCCTCTACTATTTTCCAGGAGCCATCCATAAGAATCTAAAGATGGGCAACCGTAATTATATTATATTAGAGGAATATCTGGGGGCTGAGGTAGATTTTGGAAGTTACTCATTTAAGTTTTATGTCTTTTCATCCAGGTTTTCTCAGATGTAAACAAGGAAGATGAAATATACTTTTTCAAGGGGACTGTCTAGTGCTAAAATTCTAGTAACTGTAATAAGCTTTTCATAATCCTCATACATTCAGCAGATATTTATTGAGTGCCTTCTCTATGACCAGCACTGTTTTATGACTGAAATAGGGTGATGTGATAGCAAGAGGCTGGGTGACCAGTTTTGGTTGGGAATCCAGAGATTGTCTTTTTGTAGAACTGATATCGATGCTGAGATCTAAAGTAGAAGAAGTCAGCCCTACAGAGAGCAGAAATGTGAGCAGGCTAGAAAACACTTCAGAGCATAGGCTTCAGCACTAGACTGACTGGATTCCAGTCCAGGCTCTGGCATTCACTATCTCTATGCCCTAGGACAGTTTTCTCAGCCTTTCTGAGTTTGTTTCCTCCTCTGTAATAAGTAAAGTAATAAGAGCAAAATAATGGTGCCCACATGATAAAGACTGGAGGATTAAATGAATTAAAACATGTAAAGTACCTGTACATAGTATACACTCAGTAAATGTTACCTTTTGTTTTGTTTCCAGGTAGAGAAAATGTTCAGTGCAAAAGTTCAAAGATGAGGATAAGCTTGGCATGTTCCAGAAATAGAATAGATATGTGGTTTTGGAAAATGATAGGAAATTCACTTATATGCATTGTTCACATGTTTCTTCCAATCAGGGTGCCCTTATTTTCCCATCCTGACCTTCTACCTGAACCTGTCTATGAGTTTATCTGGTAGCCATCTTTTAGAGCCAAGCTGCTTGCATTCATCACCTAGGAAGCCTCTCCTGATCATTTCTACACATGAGCTCTTCATCCTGTATTGGCAAACAATCAAGATCCTGGACTTCAGTCCCATCTTTGCCACTGAAAATCTGTGCTGCCTGGACAAGTCACTTTTCTGACCCCAGCTTCGTATATTTAACACAGAAATTATGAAAATTATCCTGGAGTCTTATCTTTTTCTTTTAAATTTTTTATTTCCATAGGTTTTGGGGAAACAGATGGTGTTTGCTTACATGAGTAAGTTCTTTAGTGGTGACTTGTGAGATTTTGTTTTTTTGTGAGATTTTTGAGAAATTGATTTGATTTGATAATCTGAGATGGAAATTATGTGTCTTTTAATGTTAGTTAATACTGTCACTAAAGACTTAATAGCATTCAATGATATGACCTCTTTGGAACATCTTTTAAATTGATGATATTAGTATTTAATTTCCTTACAAATATTTCATACCCCCTTAGTTAAAGTGTATCTCCTTTGATAGAAGAAGCTGGTTGTATTCCTTTATGTGACCCCAAAATCCCTAACAGCGTTATAGGCATTTCTGTTGAAAAATGAATAATAGTTTGAGAATGAATGTGGAGGCAAAATTAATGCCACTCTGTCCTTTAAAAAAAATTCAGGCAATGATTTAAGCTCTTCTGTCTATTTTGTTTAAATACCTATTTTGCTGGATATGGAGAACAGGGCAGGAACATGAAGTAAAAAAAAAGGAAGAAAGTGGGGTGGGAGAAAAGGGGATTAATGGAATAGAAACGTCCAAAACACTTTTGGAAATTATTGTCTATGATTCCCTTGTTATTAAGAAAGAACAGTGTATATCCTCTGGGGCATATAGGGCAGAAAAAAAGATTATGAACAATTGCCAAGTACTCTAAACTGAAAACAAAATCATTGTAGAGTAAGTAATTACTGTATCCCCTCCTGATTCTCGGTCATAGCGAAGAAAGAATTTGAAAGCTTTTTTCAGAGTCAATTTTACCTTGCTACTGATTATATATTTTTGTACTTGCTATGTTGGAAAACAATGGTTGTTTGGCCTCTACTTTTATCCCTAATTGTTTAGAACATAAGTGTTGCAAAGTTGAAACTTTAGAAGGTGTGTTCTGAGCAAACAGGAGGAAAAGTATTTCTTAATCAGATGATGACCTTTGTTTCCAAGTAGGTGATGTGGCCAAGAGTTGAATGCAGTTTTAATAACTAGGATATTCAAGTCCCTGAGGCGGGTGCTTTGTATCAGAGATAATGCAAATAGTTCTTTTTATCTTCTCTTCTTGGCCATTGTACCCAGAGGCTTACCAATCTTCCACATTTAGTCAACAAACCTTTCTAACTACTTGCTAGACTCTGCAAATTATGGCAGGTCTTCTGTGGAAAGGGATAAACAGGAAAAGTCAGTATGACTGTGGACTGTAATTGTGGAAAGTAAACACACACACACTACCACCACAGCCTGTCTCACTCAGCCAGTGTCCTCCACATGGCAGCACTAGGCACTGTTTAAGAGACGTGATACCCGGAAAAACAAGCATGGAACTCCTGGTAATAAACAAGTATCAACTGATTTCATCTCCAAAAGAATTTCCCTTCCTCTCTGTCCCCATTACCAACCTCCTGCCCACAGTGGGAATAACTGAACTGCTGATTAAAGTTTGGTTTATTTGTTTTTCTAATTATGATGGTACAGTGCTTGACCCACTGAGTTTTCTACCCATTGCTCTTGCCGGGCATCTTTTCTGTGTTGTAAGGCACATGGAATTCTCTCTCATTTCTATGATGAGCAAAGATAAGGCTACTCTCCTTAAGCCGCATCCCACAATGGGCTCACATTATAAATTAAGATAAATATGAAGACCCTGAATATATTTGCAGCTACCCACTACAAGAGTTAAAATGTTCCACATGGAACTTACCAATAAACGTGCTCATAAACGAATTTGGTGTATTTTATCTAGACTGCAGATGATCACATATAAAATAATGATTGTCATGGGAAAGCTCTCATTTAAAAAATTAAATAAGATTGTGTAGGGAAATGAGATTATTCATTCACTGACTCTTTAATCAGACTTTAATCAGCAGTTCAGTTATTCTCACCATACTGTGCACCAAATGTATAGTAGATAAATCAGAGAGACGTACTGCCTGCTCTCAGTGAGCTTGTGGAGGAAAACACACAGAAACACTATACAAATAAATAATCATTATAATAATCACAGGTAACAGTGTTTATTGTTATGTCAGGTACTGTTCTAAAGAAATTACATGTACTATCTTATTTCATCCTAATAACAACCCTAGAAGTTAGGTACTATTATTTCACATTTATAAATGAAGAAATAGACCATGTGAGCTAAGTAACTTTCACAATGCATGCGGCTAGTAAAGAGCCAAGATTTGAACCTAGAGAGAAGACTCAGAGCCTGAATTCTTTACATCTATACTATAATTGCAAAGCATAGCAGAGCCTGGGTTAGAGAATATTGAGACCAGGTATCAAGTTCAAGAATACTGAAGAGAAAGGATAACAATTTTCTAGGAGGTTAAATGTCTCCATCCTAGTTTAGTGAGTGGAGTGTTTCATTTTGCATGAGCTAAGCTAGTGACATTTAATTCAATATAACATTTCTGATTTAATTTTATGAACTTATTTTGGTAGTTCATTGGAAGAGGCTATTAATGTGATTCCTCTTAACATAGAATAGAACTATTCTATGGACTATTCTCAGGTCTAAAAATAATGACCATTGTAACTGACTGCCGGGGATTCAACTTTAGTTGAACCTACATCCTAGACTTAATTAATAAGAAAGTAGGTAATAAATGAAATGAAAAAAATAAAATAGCTTTCTGTTGGGCATATTTAGGATAGTCCAACCTCCAGGCAAAAAGGATTAACCATGGTTCTGCTAATGCTTTACTTATTTGGCTATAGCAGGAAAAAGGTCAAAGGTAAGAGAGGACAGGTGAAACTTCAATTTAGTTTAGTTTTTCTGGTGCCAACGCCTAGAACATAGTCCCTGCCATATAGTAGGCTCTCAGTGCATGTTTGTTCAAAGAAGGAATGAGTGAATATGAAGGATCAGTTTTATTTCTAATACTCTGGGAAAAGGAGGGAGGGATGTAGCTCACAAGGGTCTAATGTTTATTTATTTTGGGAAAAGCAATCACCCAGAATTAATCTATATTATACTGTTTTTCTAACTAATTAGAATTTAATAAATAGTCCAGTTTCAAAAATCACATTAGTGGTCAAAAACTACATAACATGTCTTCACCTCATTCCTCCAAAAATTAAAAATAGAACTACCACATGATCCACTTCTGGGTAAATATATCCAAAAGAGTTGAAAGAAGGGTCTCAAAGAGAGATTTGCACACCTGTGTTCATAGCTGCATTACAATAGCCAAGAGATGGTAATAATCCAAGTGTCCATGGATGGATGAATGGGTAAACAAATGTAGTATATACAACCAAGAGAGTATTATTCAGCCTCAAAAAGGAAATCCTGTCACATACTACAACATGGACGAACCTTGCCGACGTTATGCTCAGTGAACTAAGCTAGTCACAAAAAGACAAATACTGTATGACTCCACTTATATGAAGTATCTAAAGTAGTCAGATTCACAGAAACGGTAGAATGGTGGTTAGCAGGGGCTGGGGGAGTGGAAAAAGGAGATATGTTTAATGGATATGGAGTTTAAGTTTGCAAGATGAAAATGTTCTGGAGATCTGTCATACAACGATGTGGATATAAATAAGACTACTGAACTCTACGCTTAAAAATTATTAAGATGGCAAATTTCATCTTGTTTTTTTTTAACTTAAAAAAACTACATATAAGATAGTTTTGCCTGTTTTCAGGTTTCTTTTCAGTGTTTTAGGTATTCAGTATTTAAATCACAAAATTTGTGATTTGAACATTTTTTTCTTCCTTCATGAGATTTTAAGTGGATTGATACTTGCTTTCCATTCTGTCCCGATGTCTGACCTTTGTAATGTAAAGAAGAACATTTTGTTTAATTGAGAGAAGTCTGCTGTGTTCTTGTTGATAGAGGACCATCCTAGAGTTGGGAGTGCTGTCTGCACAGCAACAAACCCAGAGTCTACTTTGGATCACCTTATATAGTTCATGAGTAATCAGCAGATGCCTTTCCTTTCTATGTCTCTCTCTCAGTGAAAGGCACTGTTTCTTCCACTTGGTGAGGAATGGCCTAATGCTCATTGTCTGTAACAGGAATGCTACAGCTGCTCAAATTGTACCATTTATCATATTTGGTAAGGTCTTGCCTTAGTCTTGCCTGTTCAATTATAAAAGGAAAGAAGACGTAAAAGATGTAGAGTTGTACTGTGTGATTTTCCCCCCATTATGTCAGAAGAGGCCTTAAGAAAACTAATACCAGCACACAAATATATCTTTTTAGATTTTCTATTATATATTTTGTCTTATCAAGAAGAGCAGAGTGGGCCGGGCGCGGTATCTCACGCCTGTAATCCCAGCACTTTGGGAGGCCGAGGCGGACGAATCACTTGAGGTCAGGAGTTCGAGACCAGCCCGGCCAATGTGGTGAAACCCTGTCTTTACTAAAAACACAAAAATTAGTTGGGTGCAGTGGTGCGTGCCTGTGATCTTAGCTACTCCAGAGGCTGAGACAGGAGAATCACTTCAACCAGGGATGTGGACGTTGCAGTGAGCCAAGGTAGCACCACTTCACTCCAGCCTGGGTGACAGAGTGAGACTCCAAAAAAAAAAAAAAAAAGAGCAGAGTGTATGTTAGTTTGGTGATTCATTACATGTTAGTTTATGATTCATTATGTGCTAGTGTGGTGATTCATTATGACTAGATGGTGCTGTGTAAAAAAAAAAAAATTTCCAGAAAAATCTAGTTTAATAATTATGCTACCCAGTCCTTAAATCCTATATCAAATACTACCTCCTCTAGGAGGTCTTTCCTAATAATATTTTTTTAATCCCAAAACAACAGACTACCTCCAAAAATACACAATGACCTACCTGCATTAGTTTGTATCTTTCTTATAGAAACATTCTATTAATTATGTTATTTATACCATAATATAAGCTCCTTTAGGGGAGAGGCTATCTTGCCCTTACCCATGGTATTCTCTGAAGTACTTCCCACAGGCAAAGAAAGCAATAAGTGTTTGGTAAATATTTCTTGGACTGAATTGAGCCAGCTGTTTACATATACATTAAGTTAACTCTTCTCATTATTCTCAGCCGTATGAAAGAAATGCAGATCCACTCTGTGACTACATCCTATTGCCTAATCTAACTAGGCAGATTGCAGCTACTTTATGTTGACTGTTCAGAAGTTTTTGCTTGGGTTAAATGAAGTCAAACCTGTTGAGTTTTTTGGCGCATGGGGAGTTGTTTACAACTTTTCTTTTTCTTTAGTGCTATTGTTCAGTGGGACCTGCCTGAGGAGTGTACTGTACCCCAAACTGTTTACACTGAACATTCATTTCTTCAGTGACACACCCATCAGCTGACCTGTTTACACTGGTACTTAAGTAAAGTGGGTGCCTGCAAGCTTGAAACACTCTTAAATTGAGTATAGTATGTTTCAAATAATACAAGTATCTTACCATATTATTTATAAGTTTTAGCAGCAACTAATAGACTGGTCCCTAAAATATATAAACAAGGAGCTATTAAATATAATTGTGGTGGTTTTTAAAAGTCTTTGAAAAGAGACCCTTGTCTTATTACTCCAGGGAAATTTGCAGCCATTCTATAGAGGTATTATCTCATCCCTACTAAAAAGATTTCAAATGGGCTGGGTGCAGTGGCTCATGCCTGTAATCCCAGCACTTTGGGAGGC
Organism: Homo sapiens; assembly: GCF_000001405.40. Classification (NCBI taxonomy): domain Eukaryota; kingdom Metazoa; phylum Chordata; class Mammalia; order Primates; family Hominidae; genus Homo; species Homo sapiens. The sequence continues at coordinate 88,963,550 of NC_000004.12, read as the reverse complement.
CGAGGCAGGTGGATCACCTGAGGTCAGGAGTTCGAGACCATCCCGGCCTACATGATGAAACCCCGTCTCTAATAAAAATACAAAAATTCGCTGGGCATGGTGGCAGGTGCCTATAATCCTAGCTACCAGGGAGGCTGAGGCATGAGAATCGCTTGAACCTGGGAGATGGAGGTTGCAGTGAGCTGAGATCACACCACTGCACTCCAGCCTGGGCGACAGAGCGAAACTCAGTCTCAAAAAAAAAAAAAAAAGATTTTAAATGAAACTCTTAGTAATCTCTCTTTGGGTGGCCAACCCATTGTTGTAAAGCAAGGGAATATCTTATTAAAAGTTGTTTGTTGGGTCTGGGTGTGTTAATGACACCGTTATCACATTGTTAAGCTTCACAGAAGCATATAACCTCATCAATTTTAAATTTTTTTTAAGTAACATTAGTTTCATAAAAATGATACTTGCTTCTTGTAAATAATTAAAATTATACCCAAAAAGGCAAAAAGAAAAAAAGTAAAAGTCACCTAGTGACCCATTGATATTTTTCTGAACATCCTTTTAGAAATCTCTACACAGAAATTAAAATGCATTTTTACATATAGGAAATATTCATACATGCTACTGTGTTACTAATCTTATTTAAATAATATGTCATGAACATCTTCCATGTCAACTAACGTTAATCTTTATACCACTGTTGTAGTAGTTGTCATAGTATTCCCTTATGTTTTGGAATTTACCTAATTCTTTCTTAATGAACATTTAGATTGCTGTCAATTTGGGACTATTATGCACTCACATTTCAGTGGCCAGAAAGGTTGATGTGTGTTCTGAGTGGTGCACATCCCACAAATATTTCACTAACTTCTAGTCATGTGATGAAATTAAAGTCCACACAGTTTATTAGATGACTCTTTGAGTTGACACATATGCTCTCTCTCTCGCTCTCCCCGCCCACCAAATAGCAGTGACTCCTGGTTGATAAACCATGCAACCCATTGCTCCCACCACTCTGGAGCCTCCCTGCAGCTGACCACCCCTTACTCAGATTGCAGCCAAACTCCCTGTTCTGTGAAACTCTCTGTTTTTCCCACCTCCTTTCTTTCCTCTTTGGAAAATTGTGTAAATGCTGAGTTTTTTCTCTTATCCTTGCACTTTCACAGACCTTGAATTGGTTGACTCTCCTTTAGTAAATCCCCTTCATGCAAATGCTTGTTCCGAATTTCCTAAATCTCGTTCATCCTTTCCTTCTCTTTTTTTGTGAAATATTTAAGTAATTTGTATTAAAATCCATATAGTTCATGTGTCTCTACTAATGTGATAACATTGTGTTTGAAATCTATTAAAAGGAGACTCAAATATCCTCTGTGACATTTTTGCTGAGATTTCATTTCATTTTTTTTTTTTACTTATTTTTTAAATTGACAAATAATAATTGTACATATTTATGAGGTCTGGTTTTTACTGTTGCCATTCACTCTCTCTTCTGACTCCTACCTAGTTACCTTCTTTCCCTGACTCTCTTCTTTCCCTTTCTCTCTCTTCCCTCTTTCCCTCCATTTCCCTAATTTTCTATTGTTTTATAATTGAATTTAATCGTTTTTATAATTTTTATAATTGAACTTAACCTATTTTTCCCCATTCACTTTCCATGGCTTGATAAAATACCTGCTATATATAAGATTAAAAGAATCCATAAAAGTGAAGTTAAACCACATTAAAATAAAAAGCTGTTTTTGCAGCCCTTTAACATGAACTGAATCCCAAAACTTTCTGTTGAGTTAGACCCTCAAGTCTTTGTCTATGAGATACAGTTAACATCTATCATGTCATACATTTATTTATTTTATGTTCCCTACTGCTTCTTCCACACACCACTAAAAGGCAAGTTCTGGCCAGACAAGGTGGCTCACGCGTGTAATCCCAACACTCTGGGAGGCTGAGGCGGGCAGATCACAAGGTCAGGAGTTCGAGACCAGCCTGGCCAACATGGCAAAAACCCGTCTCTACTAAAAATACAAAAAATTAGCCGGGCATTGTGGTGCACGCCTGTAGTCCTAGCTGCTTGGGAGGCTGAGGTAGGAGAATTGCTTGAACCCAGCAGGTGGAGGTTGCAATGAACTGAGATCATGCCATTGCACTCCAGCCTGGATGACAGAGCAAGACTCAGTCTCAAAAAAAAAAAAAAAAAAAAAAAAAAAAAAAAAAAAAAGGCAAATTCCACAAAGCTGAGGATTTGTTTTTATGTATCTCTTTTCTTGGCAAATATAGGTATTATTTGTTCAGTGAATGAGTTAATTATAGGTAAACTTATTCTATTTTTAAATGTGTATTTTGTTTTAAAGCTTTCATTGCAACTATATTTTCTGTGTTGTTTGTTTTTCCATTTCAAGTGAAGAGTATTTCAAAACTTTTATGGCTTTTATTGATTGTTCTAGGCCAACATTCAAACTTAGTCACCATTTCTATCACTATTTTTATTAGAAAGTCCATTCTGAATTCTAAATCGTGGCTTAAAAATCAACTTTTGGTCTAAAAACTGTAAGAGGGCACCTCTTTAAAAAGTGTTAAGAATTAATACAAATGCACTTTCTGTGCTTCTTAAGGAGGCAAGTCATCAATTTCCATAAATATAATTTTTTTAAAGTTTCTTTATGAATTTTCCTCTCACTGGAGTTGATGTTTTTCTGATTAGTAACTGTTGCTTTTGTTAGGGTTTGCACAATTTCTGCTTTGCAAATGTAAATTGTTACATGTTTTCAGCAATGGTAAAACAAAGCTGCTTCCTGTAAATCTATTCAGGAAGCAACTTTGCAAAAGACAATGCCTGTCACACTTAAAAGGAAGCCCTACATTTGGGTTGTAGTTTAAAAAGGGAATTGAGGATACCTCTGTGTCTTTCTTACTAACTACTAGCTTCTTCGTTCTTTTCTCTTCTCTCCTCTTGCTGAGAGTGCTTACATAGTCATCTTAATACTTCAAATGAGGTTTTGTTGTTGTGGCGGAAAAATTCAGTTTATTGTTGTGCACTTTTGTGTATTTTCTCTTTCTTTGAAGGAGATGATACTGAAGAAGTAGAACCAAGGGATTACTTCAATTATTTGGGCAGGCTAACTTGTATCCCTCTGTTTTTCTATTGTTTTGTAATTGAACCTAATCATCAGTTTTCCTCATATCTTCAGTTATATCTCACTCACAACTAGGACAAAAAATATTAAAAACTGTCTTTCTCACTGAAAAATCAAATAGGCTTCAGGATGTTGAAAATTGTGTTATTTTTTAATAAAGCAAAAAAGAGAAACACATAGTGACAATAACTGAGATTATTTTCCTGACGGATTTCTTATAGCATTTTCATTTGTTTATTGCAAAGAGGTGGGACATTACTCTTGCCTTGGTATAGATATTTCCACATGGGAATTGCCCTTCAGTGCTACTTTGAATTTAAGACAGTTACCTCTAGAACTCAGGAGAGGGAGATGACTTTCTACAACCCAGAATCCTTTCTTTCTGAGGGTCCAGTGTATTTTGAAAAGTCATTCTCAAAGCGATTTAAGTGCCTTCTTGCCGAGAACCAGGCAACTTCTACTGTGTATAATGGAAGGGTAAGGATGCGGTAGTTAAGCAAGCAGGTGTTCAGAGTGCATGGGTTTGAATTTGGTTTTAAACCTGCCTAGTGAAATTATTGTGGTAGACAGAATAACAACATCCCCTCACCCCCTTACCGCCACAAGAGGCTGATATCCTAATTTCCAGAACCTGTAAATATGTTACTTAACATGGATAAAAGGGACTTTGCAGATGTTATTAAGTAAAAGATCTTGAGATAGGAAGATTACTCTGGATTATCCATGTGGACTGTTAAGCCATTCTTGCATTGCTGTAAAGAAATACCTGAGACTGAGTATTTTGTGAAGGAAATAGGTTTAATTGGCTCGTAGTTCTGCAACCTTTGTAGGAAGCATGGTACTGGCATCAGCTGGGCTTCTCGGGAAGCCTCAGGAAACTTATAATTATAGCAGAAGGAAAAGGGGGAGCAGGCACATCACATTGCAAAGGCAGGAACAAATGAGAGAGTGGCAGAGGCAAGGAGATGCCACGTCCTTTTAAACGACCAGATCTCATGTGAACTCAGAGTGAGAGTTCACTCATCACCAAGGGGATGGCCCAAGCCATTCATGAGGGAACCATCCCCCATGATCAAACACTTCCCACCAAGCCCCACTACCAACACTGGAGATTACATTTCAATATGAGATTTGGGTGGGGACAAATATTCAAACTATATCATTCTGCCCCGGCCCCTCCCAAATCTCATGTCCTTTTCACATTGCAGAATACAATCATGCCTTCCCAATAATTCCCCCAAAGTCTTAACTCATTTCAACATTAACTCAAAAGTCCAAAATCTCATCTGAGACAAGGCATGTCCCTTTCACTTATGAGCTTGTAAAATCAAAAACAAGTTATTTAATTTCAAGATACAATGGGGTATATGCATTAGGTAAACACTACCATTCTAAATGGGAAAAATCAACCAAAAGCAAGTGTGAAATGCAGCAGGGCAGTCATTAAATTGTAAAGTTCCAAAATAATCTCCTTTGACTTCATGTCCCACATCCAGGGCACACTCATGCAAGAGGTGGGATCCTAAGGCCTTGGGCAGCCCTACCCTTTTGGCTTTGCAGGGTACAGCCCCCATGGCTAAACTTACAGGATGTTGAGCATCTGTGGCTTTTCTGCCTTGAGGTTGCAAGCTGCCACTGGATTTACCATTCTGGGATCTGGAGAGTGGTAGCCCTCTTCCCACAGCTGCACTAGACAGTGCCCTAGTGGGGACTCTGTCGGGGGGCTCCAACTCCACGTTTCCCCTCCACACTGTCCTAGTAGAAGTTCTCTCTGAGGGCTCAACCCCTGCAGCGGGCTTCTGCCTGGACAACCAGGCTTTCTCATGCATCCTCTGACATCTAGGCAGAGGCTGCCAGACCTCCTTAACTCTTGTATTCTGTGCACCTGCAGGCTTAACACCACATAGAAGCCACCAAGACTTACAGCTTGCATTCTCTAAAGTGTCAACTCAAGCTATACCTGGGCTCCTTTGAGCTATGGCTGGAGCTGGAGCTGCAGTGGCTGAGATGCAGTGAGCAGTGAGAGGCTCCAAAGTATCAGCTCAAGCTGTACCTGGGCCCCTTTGAGCCAGGGGTGGAGCTGGAGCTGGAGCTGGAGTGGCTGAGATGCAGGCAGCAGTGTCCTGAAGCGGTGCAGGGTAGCAGGGCCCTGGACATGGCCCAGGAAACCATTCTTTTTTCCTAGGCCTCTGGGCCTGTGATGGGAGGGGCTGCCAAGCAGATCTCTGAAGTGCCCTTGAGGCCTTTTGCTCATTGTATCGGCTATTAGCTCTTGGCTCCTTTTAGTCACGCAAATTTCTCTAGCAAGTGGTTGCTCCAAAGCCTGCTTGAATTCTTCTCCTGAAAAAGCTTTTTTTTTTTCCCTCTGACGCTTGGCCAGGCTGCACATTTTCCAAACTTTATGCTCTGCTTCCCTTTTAAATATAAATCCAACTTTTAGTCATTTCTTTGCTCTCACATCTGAGCATAGGTTGTTAGAAATAAGCCACATTTTGAACACTTTGCTGCTTAGAAATTTCTTCCACCAGATACCCTAAATCTTCACTCTAAAGTTCAAACTTCCACAAATTCCCTAAAGCATGAGCAGAGTGCAGCCAAGTTCCTTGCTAACGCATAACATGGGTGACCTTTACTCCAGTTCTCAGTAAGTTCCTCATTTCCATCTGAGATCTCATTTCCCTGACCTTCAACGTCCATATTTCTGTCAGCATTTTGGTCACAACCACTTAACAAATCTCTAAGAAGTTCCATACATTTCCTTGTCTTCCTATCTTCTTCTGTGTCCTCCAAACTCTTCCAACCTCTGCCTGTTACCCAGTTCCAAAGTCACTTCCACATTTTCAGGTGTCTTTAGAGCAATGCCCATCCTTGGTACCAATTTTCTATGTTAGGCTGTTCTTGCATTGCTATAAAGAAATATCCGAGACTCGGTAATTTATGAAGAAAAGAGGTCTAATTGGCTCATCATTCTGCAAGTTCTATAGGAAATATGGTGCTGGCATCAGGTCAGCTTCTAGGGAAGCCTCAGGAAGCTTACCTGGAGAAAGCAGAGGCAAGTGAGAGATGTGGGGTGGGAGGGAGGTGCCACACACTTTTTTTTTTTGAGACAGAGTCTCGCTCTGTCATGCAGGCTGGAGTGCAGTGGTGCAATCTCCTCAGCTCACTGCAACCTCCACCTCCCAGGTTGAAGTGATTCTCCTGCCTCAGCCTCCCTAGTAGATGGGACTGCCGGCATGTGCCTCCATGCCCAGCTAATTTTCATATTTTCAGTAGAGATGGCATTTCACCATGTTAGCCAGGCTGGTCTCCAACTCCTGACCTCAGGCAATCTGCCCACCTCAGCCTTTCAAAGTTCTGGGATTACAGGCGTGAGCCACTGCACCCGACCCACACACTTTTAAATAACTAGATTTCATGTGAACTCAGAATGAGAACTCACTCATCACCCTGGGGATAGCTCAAGCCATTCAAGAGGGAACTGTTCTCATGATCCAAACACCTCCCACCAGGTCCTACCTCCAACATTTGGGGTTATAATTCAACCTGAAATTTGGGCGGGGACAATCCAAACTGTATTATAAGCTCAATATAATCACAAGGGCCATTATAGGTGGCCGGAGAGTCAGATAAGAAGGTGTGTTGTGAGAGGAGGCCACAAGCTAAGGAATGCAGGAGATCTCTAGAAGCTAGAAAGTGAGGGTAACAGATTCTCCCCTAGGAAGGACCTGACCCCTGTTAAGACCTACTTTTTTGGCCTACTGAGACCTACTTTGGACTTCTGGCCTCTAGAACTCCAAGATAATAAATGTGTGTTGTTTTAAGCCACTAAGTTTGTGGTAATTTGTTATATCAGTAATAGAAATCTAGTATAGTGACCTTGGATAAATTCCTTAAGTTCTTTGGTGTTTCTTCATCTTTTTTTAAATAATAGCTTTATTGAAGTATACAGTCATGTTGAGAAATGCGTCATTAGACAATTTCGTACATGCGTGAGCATCACAGAGTATACTTATATTAACCGAGAGGTATAACCTACCCCACACCTAGGCTATATGATATAGTCTATTGCTGCTAGTCTGCAAACATGTGCAGCATGTTACTGTACTGAATACTGTAGGCAATTGTAGTACAATGGTATTTGTTTATCTGAACATATCTAAACTAACAAAAGTACAGAAAAATGTGATATAACAGATTTTAAAAAGGTACACCTACGTCAGGCATCTATCCTGAATGGAGCTTTCAGAACTGGAAGTTGCTCTGAGTGAGTCAATGAGTGAGTGGTGAGTAAAAGGGAAGGCGTAGGACATTACTGTACACTACTGTAGACTTTAAAAAGATGGTACACTTAGGCTATACTAAATATATTTTAAACAATTCTTTCTCCCATAATAAATTAACCTTAACTTACTGTAACTAGTTTACCTTATAAATGTTTAAATTTTTTTTTCCTTGGGGATTAACATTAGGCTCCTTGCTACTTATGCAAAGTTGTGCAGCCTGCTTGAATTTCTCCTCAGAAAATGGGTTTTTCTTTTCTATTGCATCATCAGGCTGCAAATTTCCCAAACTTTTATGCTCTGCTTCCCTTTTAAACATAAGTTCCAATTCCAAACCATCTCTCTCAAGTTCAAAGCTCCACAGACCTCTAGGGCAAGGGCAAAGTGCTGCCAGTCTCTTTGCTAAAGCATGACGAGTCACCTTTGTCCCACTTCCCCCAAAATTCCTCATTTCTATCTGAGACCACCTCAGCCTGGACTTTATTATCCATATCACTATCAGCATTTTGGTCAAAGCCATCCAATAAGTCTCTAGGAAGTTCCAAATTTTCCTACATCTTCCTGTCCTCTGAGCCCTCCAAAGTGTTCCAACCTCTGCCTGTTACCAATTCCAAAGTCACATTCACATTTTTTGGGTATCTTTACAGCAGCGCTCCACTACCCGGTACCAATTTACTGTGTTGGTTTGTTCTCACGCTGCTAATAAAGACATACCCGAGACTGGGTAATTTATAAAGGAAAGAGGTTTAATTGACTCACAGTTCAACATGGCTGGGGAGGCCTCAGGAAACTTACAATCATGGCAGACTATGTGTATTCAGTAGATTATATTGGTTTTCTGAATTTAATTTGAGGTTAATAGAGGTCTTTTCCCTGGTGCTCTGTTGTTATCAAAACTGAAGGGAAATATAACAATATAATAAATAAATATAATGATATTTAATTCTAATTAATACGTAATTCTACATTCTGAAAACAATTCTAAGCATAATAAAAACACATTCTAACTATAATATGGTTAGTTCTAGCCATTAAAAGTACATTCAATCTTAAGAAAATATTTGTGAGAGTTATAAAACGGTGAGGTATGAAGGAAGCTCTATGGAGTTTCTTTAACTGCCCTGACTTGACCTGACAGAGTAATATCCTGATGGGATTAGAATCAAGACAATAACCAGAAAAGAGGGAAATGCTGGTGGTGGGAATAACAAGCAACAACTACTTTTCTTGGAGTTCTCATAACATTTTTTCTTTTTTTTTTTTTTTGAGACGAAGTCTTGCTCTGTCGCCCAGGCTGGAGTACAGTGGCACAATCTCTGCTCACTGCAACCTCTGCCTCCTGGGTTCAAGCGGTTCTCCTGCCTCAGCCTCCTGAGTAGCTGTGATTATAGGCGCGCACCACCATACCTGGCTAATTTTTGAATTTTAAGTAGAGACGAGGTTTTTGCCGTGTTGCCCAGGCTGGTGACGAACTCCTGAGCTCAGGCAATCTGCCCACCTTGGGCCTCCCAAAGTGCTGGGATTACAGGCATGAGCCAGCACTCCTGGCCATTCTCATAGCATTTTGAACATATTTCTGTTTTGTATTCCTATTATTTTTTGTATAGGTGTTTAAGCCTGTTAACATTTATCCTCTTTCTGGCTCCTCCCTTGACCTTATTTGTAAACTTTTTAGGGCAAGAATCTGGTTTACGCATCTTAGAAGTGTCATTGACTAGCCTAGCCTCTAACACTTTGGTTGATTGATAGATGAAAGGACGGATTTATGGATGGATAGATGGCAGTTTACTGCAGAGAAAAGTATTCTAACTCTTTTTGGACAGTAGCATTCTCCTATGCATCTCTGGGCTGCTTTAAAGAGCAGAGTAAGATTGTGATCACAGATTCATTTTCACTTTTGTTAATAAGTATTAAGCTTTTGAAATGAAGAAAATGTTCATTGGATGAAGAATACAGGAGTATATAGCACCTCATATTAATATTATGTGTAGACCAATTAGGTTGTCTTATTTTGGATTATCTCAAGACCTACCTTAACTTAGCTATAAGCAGACCAACTGAATTCATGGAGTCTAACAATTTATTTTTTTTCAGAAGTAAACATACTCACTAAATGTTTATCATTTCCAAACACTTTGGCTCATTTTGGTTTGGGTAGAGGCTGACCAGAATTTTTGCATTGTTCTTATTCTGTTGTTTCTTGTCCTGTTATTTAAGCACCTGATTGCTTTTTAAAAATACGTACAAGAAGAGGTAAGACACAACAGTCAAGAGGTGGAAGCAACCCAAATGTCCATCAGTGAATGAATAGACAAACAAATTAGGTATATACATACAATAGAATATTTTTCAGCCATACAAAGGAAGGAAATGGATGAGCCTTGGGATGTTATGCTCAGTGAAATAAACCAGTCAAAAAAGACACATACTGTGTGATTCCACTTATATGAGGTACCTAAAATCATAAAATTCATAGAAACAGAATAGTGGTTATGAGGAGCTGGGAGGAGGGAGAAAGAGGAAGTTGCTTAATGGGTGTAGAGTTTCACTTTTGCCAGATGAAAAGGTTCTGGAGATCTGTTTCACCACTATGTGAATGTACCTTATGCTGCTAATTGTATAGTTAAAAATGGTTAAAATGTTAAAGTTTATGTTATGTTTTTTGTTGTTGTTGTTTTTGTTTGTTTGTTTGTTTTTGAGATAGAGTCTCGCTCTGTCACACAGGCTGGAGTGCAGTGGTGCAATCTCGGCTCACTGCAACCTCCGCCTTCTGGGTTCAAGTGATTCTCCTCCCTCAGCCTCCCGAGTAGCTGGGATTACAGGTGCCTGCCACCACGCCCGGCTAATTTTTGTACTTTTAGTAGAGACGGGGTTTCACCATGTTGGCCAGGCTGGTCTCGAACTCTTGACCTCAGGTGGTCTGCCCGCCTCGGTTTCCCAAAGTGCTGGGATTACAGGCTGAGCCACCACGCCCAGCTGAGAGGGAAGTTTCTTCTTGGGGTAATGAAAATGTTCTAAAATTGATTGTGATGATGGATGTACTAGTCTCAATATACTAAAAGCATTGAATTGTACACTCTAAATGGGTGAGTTGTATAAGATGTTAATTGTATCTCAGTGATGCTGTAAAATATTTATTTACAAAGGCAAAGAGCTGAAATTCAAATTAGTCAAGTTTGCTACTATTTATTTATTTATTTATTTGAGACAGAGTCTCACTCTGTTGCCCATGCTGGAGTGCAGTGGCACGATCTCGACTCACTGCAACCTCTGCCTCCCAGGTTTAAGCGATTCTCCTTCCTCAGCCTCCTGAGTAGCTGGGATTACAGATGTGCGTCAACACACCCAGCTAATTTTTGTGTTTTTAGTAGAGACGGGGTTTCACCACGTTGGCCAGGCTGGTCTTGAACTCCCGACCTCAAGGGATCCACCCACCTCGGCCTCCCAAAGTGCTGGGATTACAGGCGTGAGCCACTGTACCGGGCCTCAAGTTTGCTACTTAAAGAAGCTTTTCTGTGGTATTCAGTGGACTAAGGTTTAGAATGAACTACATGTACCTATACGTAGTACAGAACAAAATAAGAATAATATGATCTTCTTTCTTGGTACATTTTCAGTTTTAACTAAGATATATGAGGATCTGGCAAGTTTAGGCCTTACTGCTGTCAAATAGCATGAAGCTGGGCATGGAGTGAAGTTTCAAACTACTATTAAAATAACATTGAGATACTGAGCTGTTTTCTCTCTGTTTTGATAGCCGCCATTATGCAACCCCACTGAGACTTGCAAATGGATCAATACTATAGCAATGAAGGAGGCAAGTTTTTCTTTATTTTTAGTAACATTACAGGCTGAGCTCTCGGTGAAGAACATGTGTTTCTTGGTATTTATTCCCCTGACAGGCCTTGCCAATGTTTCTTTAGCCCATTTGGAAGCATTCTGGTTGTTCCATCTCAACGGCTGTTTATATAAAAGATTGCTGGTTTGGCCTATAACTTCCTGATTTGGGGAATATTACCATTAGAGAGGAAAGGTGTCATATATGCTATTTATTCTAATACAAATGATAAGAACAATGGGTTATTCTTTACACTATGTTTTACACTGTAGCCTAGGAGCATGTTGCCCATATATGTACAAAGAGGAAAGTAACTTTTTAAATAAGTTGAAAAGGAACTATGAAAGTATTAATAAGTTCAACTTCTAAGAGTATGCAAATTTTAGTTCCCTCTAAGTCATGCATAGTACTAGGCTCTGTTGGAAATATAAGATGAGTTGGAGAGACTCCCTGCCCTTAAGATACAAGGCAATGGAGATAAATACCCTCACAACAAATTATGATATATAAGAGACTCTAATAAATGCTGTGATCGAAGGTTAAACAAATTCTTTGAGAATAAGAAAGAAGTAATTGATTTTGATGGGAGAGAGGAACAGAACTTTAATTGAACATTGGAAGATGGGTAGGATTTAGTAAGTAAAGAAGGAAAAACTCAGCATCATGAGTTCTGAGGTTGAAAATGTATTGTTATGTCTTGGACCCCAAAGTGCAGGGGAGAAAATAATGAAAAATAAAACTAAAAGTTACTTGAGTCATTCAAACTGCTAAAAGTTTGATCCTAATCACCTTTGGTAAACATAAAATTTATAAGTAATCTGAACACTGAGACTTATATTCTCTTTTAACCATTAATTTGAAAAGTTTCTATAAGCAAGATCCTGAGTATATTTAAAGGAAAAATGATATTTTCCCTCCTGCTTTAAAATGAGAAGTTGTCCTGAAGTTGAGTTTCTAAAAATGTTTTTAATTTTGCCAGAGTTCATAGAACTCATCCACACAACCACCTGCTCATTTATTCAATAACTGGAGTTCTAAAGTCATCAGAAGTCTGCCACTCGCCCCATCCCATCATCTGCTTCTTCAGAAAAGTAGAATTAAAGAAATGGAGGGGATCTGATATATCATCTAGGACAAAACCCAGATTTTCAAAATGGGAAGGTTTCCAGAGAGGTCAGGTGTCCAGGGTGACACATATAATAAACAGCAGCAGCCCAGGGGCACGGTTGTTCTGGCCCTTAAGCCCATTGCTCCTCCCAGCCTACAGCATAACAGAGGACCCAGCAACCGGGTTTACACCTTCGTACCTGAGCCCCACCTCCCTTTACATGTCTTCTCTTGTAATATTTTAGTTGCTCTATCTAATGCAGGTTCTCTGAAACTTCACAGATGCCCTGACTGCCTATGGGTCTTGTGGTTTAATAACAGCTGTTGGCCATAACAGAATTGATAACTCTTCCAGGTTGGCCACCATTGAGTTATTGACCCGTCACTGTTAATTTAATGTGCTGCTTTAACATCAGCCACATCCTTGTATAAAAATGGGAATTATAGAAAAATTCACCCGTATTTTAAGTTAGACCACTCTTCTTCATCTGGAATAAATCAGCTCCTTTCTGTGACTATTTCAGATAAATAGTATACATCTATCTTCAAGATGCTAACACTGTCACTCTTTTTTCTGGTAGTGGATTAAAACAAGCCCATCCAGCTCTTTACACTTCAGTATTCTTCTTACTTCTATACTATTGATGGCTTTTCTGTAAGACACATAGGAGTTACTCTTTGTTGTAATATACAAGTGTTTTGAGAACTAAAAATGATAGTAATTATATCCCAATTATCATGTGCTTCTATATATCAATTAATAGTGATCTGATTTTTAGCTGGGCATGGTGGCACAATTAAATATCAATTAAATATATCAATTAAATTTGATCCAATTTTTAGCTGGGTACAGCCGTGCACACCTATAGTCCCAGCTACTCAGGAGGCTGAGGCAGGAGGATTGCCTGAGCCTAGGAGTTCAAGGTGGCAGTGTGCAATGATCACCACTCCAGCCTGGGCAACATAACAAGACCTTGTCTCTTAAAAAAAAAAAAAAAGCCTGATTTTTATCATTGCAAATTTAACAGTAATTATCCTTAAGAATAATAATTACTTCCTACTTTTTTACTAATTTTGTTGAGACTGTGTGTCTAAAATAGATTGAAACATATCTAGTTATCCAGTATAAAACTTTTAAAATTACTTATCCACCCAAATGATTGGTAACTTGATTTCAAACCTAAGGGTATTTGAAAATATCTCAGAAATTAATGTCAATTTTTCCAACGTATCCAAAATATTGATTACTATGTAGACATGGTTGGGTAATTGTTGATGTAGTACTTGAGAGCTTTCACTTATGACGTTTTATGTTCTGTAGTGCTTTTGAGAAGCACTCATGAGTTGGATTAACAAGTGGAACTGTTTATAAACTCTGTAATGTGAGGGGAAAGTGGAAGCTGACATACATAATATAAATTGAGTTCCTGGAAACACCAATGTCAATAATTCTTGAGAAGGGGAAGATTGCCAAGGGTGGGGCCAGGTACAAAAACAGTTCTGGAAATTTTAGTTTCCATTGCCTCACCTCAATTCTAAGAAACATTAGGAACTTTATAATTGAATGTTATCTTTTGAAAAAATCTTCCAGCTTTTTGTTTATACTGAATTTTCATTTATAACATATTAAGGAATATAGGACCATTAAAATAGATTCAGAGACAGGAGAGTACAAATTTGGAAACTTTTGCATCTTTTAAAATGGTTGTTAAACCTGGCCTCAAGTGATTGCTTTCAATAATAGATTTTTTTTTCTTTTTCTGGCAAGGAACTACATAAGGGAGAATGTTCCAGTGTGTCAGCATTTTTTTAATTGCAAATCAATTAAGGACATAGTATCTGCATGGAATGTATGTGGACAAGATGGAGCAATTTGATCAGGTGATAATGCAATTAGGTGTATTCGGGCTTGGGTGAACAATCGTTGTAAGGGTATTGCTTAATCAAATGATGCCAATACCAAAAGGGGTTACAAATTAAGTATCTTATTGCTCTTTATTTACTTATTAGGCTTTTTTTATTAATGACTTAGATTAAGACATAGAAGGCTTATACACATAAACGTCATCATTGAAACAAAGGTGAGGATAACTAATATGTTGAATAGCAAGGCTAGAAATAAAGGTGAAGAAAACTACAAAAATATTAGTTTTGTAAAAAAAGTTATTGTAGGTAGAAAGAATGTCTAGAAGCTTAGCAAATTGATACTTACAGTGAATAAATGTTTAGTCTTGAACTTTGATTCTCAAGAGAGATCAGGACTAGAAAGATCTAGTTTAATACCAGTTTGCAAAGCATTATTTTAGAGAGTTAGTTTTCCTGAAGTACAATCTACATGCTATAAAATGTATCTTTTTTAGTATATTGCTCTCAGACAGTCATAACCACTACCACAATTAAGATACAGCCATATAGCCCAGGCTGGCACGGTGACTCACACCTGTAATCCCAGCACTTTGGGAGGCCGAGGTGGTTGGATCATCTGAGGTCGGGAGTTCGAGACCAGCCTGGCCAACATGGTGAAACCCCGCCTCTACTAAAAATACAAAATTTAGCCAGGCGTGGTGGCATGTACCTGTAATCCCAGCTACTCAGGAAGCCGAGGCGGGAGAATTGCTTGAACCCGGGAGGCGGAGGTTGCAGTGAGCTGAGATCATGCCACTGCACTCCAGCCTGGGTGATAGAGTGAGACTCTGTCTCAAAAAAAAAAAAAGATACAGGCCATTTCCATCATTCCAAACAATTCCTTCATGCCCCTTTTAGTTGACTCCTCCTCTTACCCCAGCCACTGGTAACTTCTGACTGTTTTCTGACCCCATAGTTTTGCAAAGCTTCCTTCACGTAACTTTTTAAGAATTTGATCTTCATAAGATCTCTACAACATTAATATTATCAACAGTTCTATTTTACAATAGAAGAAACTAGTGTTTAAAGTTAAACAGCTTTCCAAAACCTACACTATATGAGTTGTGGAGCCAGAACCTGAGCCCCCATTTTCTAACCCAGGATCCTGAATACATCCCTTAACCCTTCCAGCTAGCCCCTTGTTCCAAGAGCTCTGCTCTTTTCTGCATTGTTCAGTTACCTCCAGGTTGATCTTATATTAGGAGCCAGTGTTTAACATTCATAGTAATGTACTGGAGGGACAAGAGCAGTGTTTCTCAATCTTTTTTGCATTATTGTTCTTCTAAAGAGCGTTTTTAGACTTTTTTCCCTAATCATTCCTTGCCCCCATTAAATTTTAACACCGTTAATATAGTGTATATCTGTATGTATAATGTATGTCTGTACTTAATAGATAACCCGTCTTTGTAATTTCAGCCTCTGAGGACCAGCCTCTCAAGGCCTGAGAATATCTATCTATGACTTTCAACTTTACTCATCAAAACACAAAATTGTAACAAATTTACTGTAAAGATCTCAGTTAGCTGCATTTGGGATTCTATTATCAGGCAGTACTTCATTCTATTATAGAATAAGCGTCCTAGGAAATCAAGCAGAGGAAGTTGGCTTCATAGGCAAAAAAAAAAGGACTAAAGAAAGCAGAAACAAAGAAAAAGTGGATTGGTAGTTTCAAAGTTACTTTCCTTGTATGGCAGGAACAGGTAGCCAAAAATATAGGTTAAAGATCAGAACAGACAGAAATTTATTATTATGCCAATTGAAACTGGCCTGTTTCGGAAATTAGGCTATCTCTCTCTCCTGATTTTTCTGGCAGTCCGGTAACAACTTGGTTTTAGTTATGTGGAACTTTAGCATGGGCGACTTCATTTCTGTGTGTTTTTTGTTGTTGTTGTTTTGAGACAGTTTCTCTCTGTCACCCAAGTTAGAATGCAGTGGCGCGATCATAGCTCACTGCAGTCTGCCTGCCAGGTTCAACACATTCTCATGCTTTAGCCTCCCAAGTAGCTGGGACTACAGGTGCACACTACCACGCCCGACTAAGTTTTTATATTTTTTGGTAGAGACAGGGTTTTACCATGTTGGCCAGCCTGGTCTTGAACTCTTGGCCTCAAGTGATCTGCCCACCTCAGCCTCTCAAAGTGCTGGGATTACAGGCATGAGCCACTGCTCCCAGTTGGGACTTCATTTTTGAAGTTTAGGCTGGTCATCTTGGGCCTCGTGCAGGTGCTTAGTCCAAAACAATGGCCTCCTATAATTTTTATTTAATAATTTTCCCCTTTTGGTCAGGCCAAAGCCTGACCTATTGACCTAGGTCAATAGTGCTGCTTTCAGTTGTGCTGGGTTGCAGTTTCAACATGTCCTTCATAGGTTATGGTGTATATATGATCTTGCATTTCTTTGAGTTTTTGTCATTCCAGCTGAAAAGACTGCATTTGACATTTGAAGGGTGGCTTTATGCAAGCACTTGGAAGTTTGTAAGGGGACACAGTGTACTAGGGAGACTGGTACTATTACTTTCAGGAGGATAATAACTGATAATAACTCTGGCTCCTTAGCCAGAGTCCTTATAAACCAAACCAACTAAAATCAAATAAATAAAAAAAAAGCTGAGCCAGACAAGGAATTTACCTGTTTTAACCAAGTAGCCCGTTTGTTAATGTTTTGTAACTGAATCTCTCCAATACCCAGCATATTTATCTATATGCAGCAAGAAGTGTCAGCAACTGCACAGATTCCTTATTTTCTTTTCTGTTACTACATTTTCAAATAAGTAGATAGTAATTCTATCATCTGGCATCCCAGGAATGTGTTAAATTAAAGCAGAGGGTGCTAATTCTATAAAAGAGACCATGTTGGGAATGAAGTTTTTGGTGTCACCAAAAAAAAAAAAAAAAAAAAAAGAACGCGGGAGCAAATGATCTCTCAGCAAGGCCAGCTTTACTTTCTGCAGAAAGGGTGCTACTTAATAGCTATCCAGCCACAAGAGCACACCGGACAGAGGAGACTGAGTTATTTATAACCTGATGCATCTGCCCTACTGCTGTGTCCAGTTTCCATTGGCTGGAATAGGACCTCGCATTTTACACTTTACCTGATTGGCTATT
This sequence comes from Homo sapiens, assembly GCF_000001405.40. NCBI lineage: Eukaryota > Metazoa > Chordata > Mammalia > Primates > Hominidae > Homo > Homo sapiens. The sequence continues at coordinate 88,946,197 of NC_000004.12, read as the reverse complement.
AGCTTAAAACATTGTTAATTAGGTAAGGGGAATAGAACAAAGAAAGAAAAGGAAGTTGCCCAGGGATAGTTAAGGAAGCATCTCCAAATAAGGTATGGCATGTACTATGGGCTGGGGCTTGTCTAGTTCTATCCAGGCATGCCAGAGCAAGCTAGAACAGCTGATTTGGATTACATATATATATATATATATATATATATATATATACACACACACACACACACACACACACAGATACTATGTGTGTATAAATATACTATGCATATAATATATACTATATATATATAGTCTGTGTATATACACACATAGAATACATAGTATATATGTATTCTATGTGTATATATATATACACACACACACATAGAATATGTAGTATATATATATATAATATATATATACTTATATATATATATACAACCACATAGTATATATATATATACTAATAGTGGTTGCAATCTTATAGTAAGAAAATGTGACTTTTTATAATGTTTGAAGAAGAACTTCCCCATTTCTCACAGACCACTAGTACAATTTGAACAAACAGTCGCATTAGGGATGTTGCTAAAGCTTCCCGCTAGGTGCACTGTAGGATCTCTTAGATTGTATAAATATTTGGGTTTGATATGAGAGATCCAACCTTGTCAAGTGACCCCCAAAAACTACTGATTGGGGAATTCTAACTACAGCCTTACCCTTCCAAGAGAAAGAAGAAGGCCTACATATGGAAAAATTAAGAGGGGCAAGAGTCTTACTACGATAGGGAGTCTCATTCCATGCATCTTGGGAAAAACTCCACAGCATGAAGTTGGCAACTTCTCGTCCTGATTTGCAGTTGAATGTCTCTGGTTGTGCTAGCAGGCATTATATTCAACTCCGCATGTAGTTCACACATCAGGCATGAGACTTGTCCTTTGAAATTTATGTTGAGTTGTCCAGTTTAGCAGTTTTTGTTCTTAGTTGTAGCCAGATTTTGGAGGAAACTGGAAGAATTTAGGATCCAGTTCAGTCTACAGTTGATAATAAAAACTCAAAAACAATGAACAGAGCTACAATCTAATTACAGGTATAATGTAGTTTTCTTTTGAAACATAATGTTTCTCTCTACAGTCACTCCCATTTCTACCAAAGATAATCAGGGTAAGACTAATTTGTTTGCAAAATAAGTTTAGTCTCATAAAAATTGCCCTGAGGTATTTACATAAGTGCAGCAAGAATAACCCACAGAGGTTCCTTTTACATTTGCTTTAGTAGAATTTTGACAAGGGATCTCAGATTGAACTTTTTTTTTTTTTTTGAGACAGAGTTTCGCTCTTGTTGCCGAGGCTGGAGTGCAGTGGCATGATCTCGGCTCACTGCAACCTCTGCCTTCTGGGTTCAAGCAGTTGTTCTGCCTCAGCCTCTCGAGTAGCTGGGACTATAGGCACCCACCACCATGCCCAGCTAATTTTTTGTATTTTTAGTAGAGACAGGGTTTCACCATGTTGGCCAGGTGGGTCTCGAACTCCTGACCTCAGGTGATCTACCTGCCTCGGCCTCCCAAAGTGCTGGGATTACAGGCGTGAGCCACCATGCCCTGCCAGATTGGACTTTTAAAAGCATCTTAACTCTAGGAAGTCAAACCAATGCAGACATCGGACTTTGCCTGCGGCATCTAATATCTTGAGGTTCCTGGGCCTGCCAGGAAGTGGCAACTTTTTACTCACTGGCTATAAGGCAGGGAACCCTTGAAGCTAGGCAGTCTATCCACATTTTCAAATAGGATATTCCAGTCAAACCCTTGGTAATAGAACCAATGTTTCCAGTTACATGATGTTATAAAGAGGGCAAATTCTTTTTTTTAAAAGAGGAACTAGGGTCTTGCTCTGTCACCCAGGCTGCAGTGTAGTGGTATGATCATAGCTTGCTGCACCTTCAAACTTCTAAGCTCAAGAGGTCCTCCCACTTCAGCCTCCTGGGTAGCTGGAACCATAGGCGCATGCCATCATGCCCAGCTAATTTTTAAAATGAGGGTCTCACTATGTCGCCCAGAATGATCTCAAACTCCTGGCCTCAAGTCCACCTCCCACACAGTCTTCAAAGTAGTTGAGATTGCACATGTGAGCCACCATGCCCAGCAAGAGCAAATTCTTATTGAACTTATGCAAATAATCATAGTGCTGTAAAAATAAAACATAGTATAGTTTTTGAATTTCAGAGGTGTCAGGTAGGGAGGAGAAACAAATGTTTCCATTTTTGTTTACAGAAGTATCCTTTACCAAATTGCTGTAAACTATGGATAGTTTAAAAGAGAGAGAAAAAAAATGTGTCCTTCAGTCTGAAAAACAAAGCATTAAAAGAACCAGCAATATTTCAAATTTTTTAAAAGCTTTAAAAATTCATAATTCTTCTTCATCAGTTCATTTAGTCTCATGTAATTAATTCTTGCTCTATTTGAGCTTAGTTAGTAGTTTCACAAACTCATCAGTTTCTTCATTAGAGTTCTAGAAATTCTCACGCAGTCCAGTGTTATCTCAAGGTTAGCAGAAACCTGAACTTGCCAGAGTTCCTCCCATCTTTTCTGTGAACCGTCTTGAAGACACATGCTTTAAGATCACAGTTGTTTACAGAAAGCTTTTAGAAAGGCATCAGAATAAAGCAATTAACTGTGGACAAGATTTAAAATGGCCATGTTAGAACCATGATGAGAATCCTTTATAATAATGATATAATTGACAAGCAAGTTTGGTTATTCCTGTGGTGTACAACATTTTAACAGAAAGTTATGACTGATAGCACAACAGATTTATAGAAATCTCATATAGTTTTTGGAGCACATATCAATAACATATCCATACAATTGGAACTCAAAGATTAAACATCATTTCTTACTTGACAGTGTTTCCACATATAATTTAACATCTCAGATAAGCCTAATTGATTTAATATTTCTCTTTGAGACTTTAAGGAGCCCTTCTGGAATGTTCAAAAGTTAGTTTGTGATCAAAATGACTTAATTTTGAATTCAATTTTGGGAAGTTTGTCAAAAATAAAAGTTCAAAACGCTTATCAATAATAGGATCACAAATCACTGTGAATAATAGTCATTCATTTAACCAAAGTCATAATTGTAAGATTTTCAAAAGCAGTTATATCATTGTAGAAAACCTTAACTCTTTTAGTACAGACGAGATTAAGTTTTCCTAAGTAATCAATAACCTAAGAAGGAAAATATGAGGCACAGGGATTATTTTGATAAGACTCAGATTATTTGTTTCCTAGGCCAGTTACCTAGAAGTTCTCACCATTTTTTACTAAGAGCAGATAAATACTAAAGAAAACCTTGTTTTAAAACAGGAAACCAAATACTAGTTTTGCATCAGTGTATTGTTGATATCAAAGCTCAATTTTTCACCTTGTAAGGAGACTATTTTTTTCAAAGAAAATAGGCAATTCGGAGAGTTAGTAGCCTACGAATATTCAGGCAAGGTAGGAAAGAAGGGAGCAGTAGGAGTCAGGTGGGCTTTACCGTCTTTGGTATGGGTGATATCTTGCATTGTTAGCTTTTTATTAGCCTTCACAATACATTTCTTTAAAAGCAATTTTAGAACCCTATTTTTTTTTTTTTACATTTCTATTTATTTATTTATTTTTTGAGATGGAGTCTTGCTCTGTTACCCTGGCTGGAGTGCAACGGCGTGATCTCGGCTCACTGCAACCTCTGCCTCCTGGGTTCAAGTGATCCTCGTCCCTCAGCCTCCCAAGTAGCTGGGATGACAGGCCTGCACCACCACACCCGGCTAATGTTTGTATTTTTAGTAGAGACGGGGTTTCACCATGTTGCCCAATCTGGTCTCGAACTCCTAACCTCAGGTGATCCGCCCACCTCAGCCTCCCAAAGTGCTGAGATTATAGGCATGAGCCACCATACCCAGCCTCTTTGACATTTCTAAATGTCAATTAGAATAACAATCCCATTCTCTCTGCCTAATTCAAGAGGCTTGGGATTCAAGTGCACCTCTTAGAAAACAGTTTTTTTCATCTAGGATATTTCATATAATGACCATTGTAATTCTGAATTATCTTTAGTAAGATTTTGCCACTTTTGTAATTCTTTGCAGCTTCTGTGGCCATAATTTTTATTCATGAGAAAGTCAGGTGTACCAGAAGGCAGAGTACTGACATCTTTAGAAATTAGGGATCTCATTTTTATGTTGGATCTTGGGTCTTAGAGCCAAGATGGCTTTGGCACTGAAATCTCAGCACACAAGAAAAGAAGAAATAAAGAGCCCCCCTGCAGTAATAACCACTTAGAGCAACTGACGGCAGTTACCTTAAAAACTGCATCTTTTTTTGCCAATGACTCTTCAGTCACTGCAAACCAAAGGTTATGTGCCCTGCCATAGCACAAACTACCTGTTGGTACCCCAAAAGCCAAAGAGATCAGAGTACTCAATTACAAAAGAGAGCAGAGCCCAGACCTGAGAGGAACTTACACAGGATTCTCAGGGCTCCAGGAGGAAGACAGGGGACCCACCCCCCACCACTTAAAGGGGAGGTTAGCAGCATCTTTTCTGTGTTCCTCAAGGAGTCTCAGAGACATCAGTAACCTTCATTCAGGTCCCTTCACTGGTCACCATATCTGTCAGAAGACAAAATTACAACAAATTTAGTTTAAAGATCTGAATTGGCTTTATTTGCAGTTCTAGAATCATGCAATACTTCATTCCATTAAGTAGAATAAGTGTCCCAATGAGTCAAACAAGGTTGGTTTTATAGACAGAAAAAGGCCTTAAGAAAGCAGAAGCAAAGAACAAAAAGTGGATCGGTCATTTTAAAGTTACTTTCCTTGTATGGTGGGAGCTGGGAGACACAACAATAGAAAAATAACTGTTTGGTTAACATTAGGTTATTTCAGGTTAAGGATTAAAACAGGAAACTTCGCTATTCATTCCAACTGAAGCTCCTGTTTGGGAAGTTGGATATTTTCTCTCTTTCCTGATTTTAGAAAGTCAGATAACAACTTAGTTTTGATTTGGTGATGTGGAATTTTAGCATGGGTGACTCCATTTCGATTTTTAATCTGGTTTGTTGTGCTTAGTCCAAAACAATGGTCTCCTATGATTTTTATGTAATAGCCCTCTAGATTCTTGGTTCTGCCCTCTAAGTCATGATTTATTTTTAATGAAACTACTCATGTTTGCAGCTGAGTAGTTTTATCAACCTGCTTCCTGCCAATAGAATTTGGGGGTGCCAACATCATCCTTTCATTTTGTATCCTCTCTGTCCCTTTGATTCCACGTTGGCAGTGTTTTTGCTGAAATAAAACTCTGTGAGTCTTCTGTGGATTTTATAGAGATTCACTTCATTATAAGAAAGGCATATCCACAGATCGTTTAAAAATAATCCCTTTTCCATCTCATGCTACAATGGCTGAGGGATGATGCTTTTCAGTTCCTAGAGGCCCTCTGATTTGATCGACAGGATCTGTGAGGCACACCCTTCATCACTTGAAAGGGACCTTTGCCTGACTGCATAAAACCAGCTTTTGATCTTTCTGAGGTTTTAGCAAAAGTCTATATAGTCACACCCTCAACTTTTTCTATAGAGCTTGCTTTCTTGACAGTGAATTTCTTAATTTTAGTGTCTTTTCTATTTGGAGAGTCTGAAAATTTTTAAAATCATGTCCCCTTTCATTTTTGTATAAGTTCTCCCAATGTCTTTCTTTCTCCTCTTGCATTTTACTGTAAGTGGTAAGAAGAAACTAGGTGGCACTTTCAAACCATTGCTTGCAAATAATGTTAACCGTATAGCTAAGGCTATTGCTTACAGGTTGATCTTCTCAAGTAACTATAGGATACAATTTCCCTAAGTTTTCTGCCACCATCACAAGGGTCTCCATTGCTCCAATTTCCAGTAACATATTCCTCATTTCCCTCTGAGCCCTCATCAGTGGTGTCCTTAAGGTCCAGGGGTCAGTTAAGAACTGGTTCAAGGCATTTTAGGCCTTCTCTATGATGCTGCCCAGTCTCCTTCCACTACCCAGTTCCCAAGCCACTTCCACATTTTAGATATTTGTTACAGCAGCATCCCCTTCCCAGGTACCAAACTCTGTATGGTAGTGTAACAAATTACCACACATTTAGTGGCTTAAAACAACAAACATTTGCTATCTCACAATTTCTAGGGGTCAGGAATCTGGGCACAACTTAACTGAATCATCTGCTCTTGATCTTACTGTGCCAAATTCACAGTATTAACTGGGTTGCGTTTTTATCTAAAGGCTCGAGTTTGGGGAATGATTTGCTTCCAAGCTCATTCAAGTTGTTGGCAGAGTTCATTTCTTTGCAGCTGCATGACTAAGGACCCTAGCATCTTACTGTGTTCTTATGGCTGTAGCCCCACTGAAGTCCCATAGTTCCCTGCCATGTGATCCTCTTACAGCCATCTCACAACTTGACTGCTTATATCTTTAAGGCCGATGGGAGAATCTCTCACTTCAGTTTTCTGAGTTTCATCCATTGTGACACAATCATGGGAGCGACATCCTATCACCTTTGCCAAATCATATTGATCAGAAGCAAGTCACAGGTTCTATCTACACCCAAGTGTAGGAGACCTTAGGGTGCGTATCCCAAGATAGTCTAGTAGGTTAAATAGTATCTCCTAAAGATATCATAATCCCTGGAATGCGTAAATGTTACCTTATTTGGAAAACAGAATCTTTGCAGATGTGATTAAGGTAGGGATCTTGAGATATAAGGATTATCCTGAATTTTTGAGGGATAGGGGAGTGGACATGAAATGCAATCACGTGTATCCTTATAAGAATGGGGTAGAGGGAGATTAAGCACATGTAGAGAAGGCCGTGTGATGGTGGAGCAGAGAGAGATTTGCAGATGCTGGCCCTGGTTAAAGATTGATGTGATGCACCTATAATCAAGCAATGCTGGCAGCCACCAGAAGCTAGGGGAGGCAAGGAACAGCTTCTCCCCTAGAGCTTTCACAGGGAGTATAGCCCAGCTGACACCTTGATTTTGCCCCAGTGATACTGATTTTGTTCTTTTGGCCTCCAGAACTGGAAGACAATACTTTCTGTTGTTTTAAGCCACTTAGTTTATGGTAATTTGTTACAACAGCCTCAGAAAATTAATACAGATAAGTAGTAAATGAGACCTAAGTGGTGCTTTTTAAATGTATTTCTCTGGTTATTCAGTGAAGCTAAGTATCTTTTCATAAGGTTATTAACTATTCTGCAACATTTCCAACTCATGTCTTTTGTCTCTTTTTCTTTTGGACTTACCTGTTGATTAGTAGGAGTTCTTTACATAGTGTAACTACTAATCTTTGTCAGTTATACATGTTACTGAAGAAGTTTACCAGTAAATTATCTTTTTACCTTGTTTATGGGATATTCTGTATTCAGATATATTTTCAACTATTTTTATTGTGAATAATTTTAAGTACATTCAAAAGAAGAGAGAATAGTGTAATAGACCTTCCATGCGCTCATCACTTAGCTCAACAATTATCATTATTTTTCCCCAGAAGTATTCATTTCTACCTTTAAGGTTTGTACTTTTTGTGCATTATCTAAGAAAGCCTTAAATAAAGATTGTGTTGCTATTATTTGTGTGGCTATTTCTGTTATGAAAACCCTCATTCTTTTTTTACTTTTATATAACTATTATGTGTAATAATTTTTAATATATTCAAAGTACTACTGGCCTCAGTGTTCATCTCTATCTTCTTCCTGAACAGCCTATATTTTTCTTATTCAGCCCAAGCTATTGATTCAGAACTTGGGAACTCTCCAATTGCCCCAACAATGTCATGCATGTTACCAAAGAGCTTGTTGAAAATCCCATGCATCCCTATAAGGCTAATTATTCAGGAGATTTCAAAATACAAGTCTGAGTCAGCTAGCAGGCACTGTTGTGTTTACTAAGTAATTCCTCTCTTTCCCTTTCTTGTTTCTAGTGTGCCACCTGGGCTTGAAGGCATGAAGGAACAGGACCTGTGCAACAAGATAATGGCTAAAATTCTAGAAAATTACAATACCCTGTTTGAAGTAGAGTATACAGAAAATGATCATCTGAGATGTGAAAACCTGGCTAGGCTTATCATAGTAAAAGTAAGCAACTTGGTTTTTAATTTTCAGTATTGCTATAATTTTGGACAGAAGATTTTATTTAATTCTTTCTCATAAAAATTCCATATGGATATAACCCTCAGATTATTATTCCTGTGTATAGTGAATCCTTCTTATGAAATCTATTATTCCAAATGCTTATTAAATTGAAATATAGCCTTCTAAAATTCAAGAATAATAGCAATTTTATGTTTTCTTGTTGCTATAAAGTCATCTCAAAAACACTTGCATGAGCCCAGTGCTCTGATCAACTGGCCGCACCACCTTTACTACAGAAGCCTGATGTTACAGCAGGAATAAGTGCATATGGCTGTGATCAGGAGTGCTAGGTTACTAACTAGATTGCAAATTCCTGAAGACAATATTACTGTGTCTTTTTGTCTCTTTTGTGTCTGGCACAATTTGAAGCCCAACCTCAGATTCTAAGTCCCATATATTAGTTTTTGGTAACAATCATCAGTAAAGGAGAATATTTTAAAAACCTATAAAGGAGTCCTTGACAATACTATCTAAATCTTTTTATACATTGATAATTTTATAATATACCCTGTATATATTAGGTAAATGCCTGTAGGTCTCCAAAGACCTAGAATTGAGAATCAGAGGGTAAACATCCAAACAAATCCCCTAGATGTGGGAAAATAAGGAAGTTATCTTATTTCGTCGTCATTTATATTGAGGTGAATCATGATGGAGCTGGTATGAGATTTCCTCAGGAGGTTTCTTGAAGCTTATCAGGTTTACAGACCATAACATACTCTTTGCTGATTCATATAGCAATGAATGATAAAATCAGAGGCACTTGGTTTGGGCACTTAAAGGAATGTTTTCATCTCTTCTCCCAGTTGAGGCCATGACTTTGAAGAAAGGTTAAAATGGTTTGAGTATCAAGTAGCATCCTACAAAAGGATCTAAAACTAGATTTTCTAGTTTGCTCAGTTAAAATGATAAAATGAGATAATTGGAGACTATCAGTTGTAAATCTGAGTTAGAAATAACACGGTAGCTGAAAAAAATGTCAGTGATTCACAAGAAAAAATAAGAAAACAACATTACTTCAGTTTTGCCTCAGAAAAGTTAAATGATTTTTTAAATAGAAAAAAATCGCCCTCAAGTTTGTTCCTCTAGTGCCTATGGTACTTTGAAAAGGATCTCTTTTTAAAATGTTAAAAGGTAATTAACTTTGTTTCAGCAGCATCTCTCAATCACATATACCCCATAAATATGTACAACTATTAAAGGACCTATAATGATAATTAAAAATAAAATATTTTAAAAATCTTTTATAAACAATTTTTAACACTCATACCTTTTTACTAGGGCAGATAAAATAATAAGGTGAACCTGAAGTATAATGGAAATAGATAAATATAATCTTAGGCAGGGCAAACTTGCTGAGATAAAGCTAATTGCTGGAATATGCCAATGGGAAGTTGATATGGTTTGGATGTTTGTCCCCTCCAAATCTCATATTGAAACGCAGTCCCTGGTGTTGGAGCTGGGGCCTGGTGGGAGGTGTTTGGATCATGAGGGCGGATCCTTCGTGAATGACTTAGTGCCATCCCCTTGGTGATGAGTGAGTTCTTGCTGTGAGTTCACAGGAGACCTGCTTGTTTAAAAGTGTGTGGCACTTCCCCCCCTCACTCTTGCTCCCACTCTCGCCATGTGATATGCCTGCTCCCCTTCTTCTTCTGCCGTGATTGTGAGCTTCCTGAGGCCTCATTAGAGGCAGATGTTCTGTATGGCCTGCTGAACTGTGAGTCAATTAAACCTCTTTTTGAAATAAATTACCCAGCCTTAAGTATTTCTTTATAGCAACACAAACAGACTAACACAGATGTTATTTGCTGTGCAAGTAAAATAACACCTGTTGAGATCTGTGGAAGAGTGCCCTGCTTGGAAATCCTTGAGTGACTAGGTTTAAGGCTGGTGGAGAACATCGTATGAGAATATAATATAAGACATAATTCTGTGGGAGCCAAATACAGATGTCTTAGGTAGATGAAGAAGAATATAAAATGGTGCTCTTTTAATGTAAGTTTCAGATCGGCCTAGAGGCAGATAAATGTCATGATTAGAAACTACATTTATATTCTCTGGAAGTGTCATTCTGCCAAAGCAGAATTTTAATGCATTTTTTTTAACTGATCTCGCTGATAGTCTCTTCTTTGAGAAAGTAGAGAATGTGACAAGGGGTGTGATTCTCTGGACTTAATCGTAACGAGTAAGGATGAAATAGAAGTTATGGAAATCATTTCAAAAGGATGTGCCAATGCCATTTTAGAGTTCATAGTAATAAAAGGAGAATATGTTAGCCACATTTAGATATGTAAACATTGACAATGCTTAGAAAACAGACTTTTTTGAAAATTGTAAAGATCATAGAAACATTAGATAGAAACTAAAAGGTAGATGGGCTTAAAAGAAATTGAGAATCTCAGAATGAAACTATTAATATACTGAAAAAGAAGAAAAATGAGAAGGTAATTAAAGAAAAGTTATCTTTCTGTTCATTTTTTCATATGAGTTCAGTTTTTGGAAGGATGAATATAAAGATAGGAAATGGGCGCAAAGTAAATGATAAAGACCCAAGAGTAACAGGGACATAAAATATATGAGTTGGGAATAAGGCAAGTCTCATGTAAATGACTTAGATATAAGGCTTTTAAGTGGGGAAAAGGACTAAACATAAACACTGACATACCTCTGTATATCCCAGTTTGGAGAACAGAGTCATAAAGTGTTGAATGAAGTTTCTTATATATTCTTGCATGTGAAACGGAGATTTGGGCCCAGAGAAATATGTTCGGTTGTATTTGGACCTAGATAAAGAACTTTGACCAGAGTATTGGAAGATGGAGTCTTTTTCTGTCATAGGCTATCAAAGCCTAATGTCTGTTTCTGTTCAGCTGACTCTGGTCAGTAGCTGCAAAATTGATCATGGCATCTACAGCACATTCATCAGCCTCACTTCAAGACAGACTTCCTCTGTCTGAAGGCCAAGGTAACAATAAGGGGAAAAGTTTTGTCAGTATGACTTCCCCTTCAACTTTGCTTTCCCTGCCATTCTTTGGGAGTGAACCTAGGTCCCTACAGAGTTTTTCCAGATTCTGCAATGGTTTGGCCATGTTGACTAGATCTAGTTACTCCAGTGAAGGAAATTTTGGATAGACCTCTTAGCCCTGTGACATTTGGAGAAATATGAGAATGTATATGTTGGCCCTTGGCATTTTAGCCTACATTTTGTTGAATTTGGCAAATAGTCTTCACAGTCAGTGGTCCACAGTTATGGCCATCTCTTACTTCACTTAAGTTGGAGGTTTCTTTTCTCTCTTTCATTAGTTTTGTTTTTATAGGTTTCAAGAAGGGAATTTACATAGGAACATTTTTATTTTGTCAAAATGAAAGGTTACAGCTGTATTTCTGAATAACTGGGTTAGGAGAAGCACATCTTTCCAGTAGGCATCTAACAGCCACAGTCTAATTTCTCCAGCTGCAGGATAATTCTAGATTTTCTCTTCAGAAGGTGTTCTAAATCCAGACACTAGTGAAGCCCCATTCAAGAAATAACTTAATCATCCAGATATTTACATACACAAAATTTAGTGAGAAAAGTATGGATAAAATAATGGACCATGGACTATACGTTGAATTCATTAAATCCAAGTGTTAATAATTATTCGGTGCCTACTAGGAGCAAAGCATTGTTCTAGGCATACTGAACAATAGATGAAAATCTCTGCTCTTATGATTCTTATATTCTCATGGAAATACACTAAACAACAGCCAATAAAAAAGAAAAGAAAATATGTAGTATGTCAGATGGTGATATATTCTGTGAAGTAAAATAAAGCAGGGAAAGGCAGAAGTAGAGGATTGGCCTTTGCTTATTTAAATAGGACAGTTAAAATGCTTCATTGACAAGAAAACGTTTGAGTAGAGACTTGAAGGAAGCAAGGGAGCAAGCCATGAAGACACTTGAGAGAAGAGTATTCCAGGCAAGGAGAAGAGCAGTACAAAGGTCTTGAGATGTGAATATACCTGGTCTGATGAGCAGTTGAGAGGCCAGTACAGTTGGATTACCATGAGCAAGATGGAATTGAAACGAAATGAGGCCACAAAGGAAACAAGGGATCAGCAGATTGTGTCTATTCATAGATCATTTTGAGGACTTTGACTTTTACTCTAAGTGAAGCTATTAGTCAGTATTAAGCAGAAGAGTGCTACGTTGTGACTTCTGTATTAAAAAGATTACTAGGTTCTTGAAAGGGATAGGCAGAAGTAGGGCAATGTATTAGGAGTTTATTACAGTAGTCCAGGTAAAAACAATGGTAAATTGGGCATGGATGATGGTAATGAAGGTGATGAGAAGATCTGAAGGTAAGCTAGGATATACAACAGCAATACAAAAGGAGGTACTAGAGACTGTAGTTAGGCTAAAGAATGTTTGAGGCAGAAGTAGATGAGCAAGCAAGCTAGAAGAATAGGGGCTGAAAACAGGAAATAGGAGGTTTGCATTACTGATTTTGGAGGTTGAGCTATCTGGAGTGAAAATAAGGCTTAGATTGGGTTTATGAGCATGAGGGACTAAAGTGAAGGAGAAGAGAAAATTATGGGAAAGGAGAAGGCAAAGAGATGGGAGATAAAGATATTGATGGTTTCTCCTTATTGACCCTGAATTTACCCAGAAGGGTGGCAGATATTGAGGGGGACAGTAGTCTATGAGCCTGGTTTGTCTTGTTGTCCAGTTTGTGTATAAGAGTTATGAATATATATGTAATAGGGTTCATGCAAACCTCATATATATGCATCCTATAAAATAATGTGATGAGCATATTGCTAAGTATCTATCTAGAAATATCTAGATGAATATGAGCCTATTCCAGATAAACATGTTATAAGACTTTCTTTATTAGACAGTGTTGCTGTTGCTCATTATATCTTTTGGAATTTTAAAGTTGTCTTCAGAGCATATATATGTCATTCATATACCATATTTTTCTGTATATCATTGGACTGGGAAATCTTCGTACTTTAATGCTTTATTTGATTGTGGGAAGTAATCAATAGTCATTTTAACCTATGGCATATCACTAAGTTGAGGAGTGCTGATTATATGTTAACTTTTGGGTTTAAAATTTAAATCTGGCTATAAAATAATTATGTTGATTTTCTTATATGACTTTTAAGCAAACTCTCAAAACAGTTACTAACAAATGCTCTGAGCAAAGCAAAATATTAGAATGGCCTTCCATAGCGATTAGTTCGAAGGAAGTGCCCACATTAATAAATGTTATGGCAAGTTTGACCACAAAGCTCATTTTTTTGTGTATTTGACTTTCCGGTCAAAAAATTTAATATTGTTTATGTAGAATCAAAGTCACTTACCATATAAACTGATATATCACAGAAACTTCCTAAACCATTTCCCATATCTTTTTCATGCTCAAAAACATTGCATGTGTCTCCATTTTCATTTAGGGCCACAGCCTAAGCACAATTAACTTCAACAAATGTTTATTCACTTTTTTCTTATTTAATGCAAAACTACTCTGGGCAAAGCTTTGTACTAAGTGCTGGAGAGCTTCAGAAAATAAATAAGACATGTCCCTGTCCTTGGGGGACCTTACAGTCTAAAAGAAACAAACAAACTCAGTGTAGGAACACAGGGGCAAAAGGGAGAATAGGGCTTTATGCTAGACATTGTGCCAAATTCTTCTATATATGTATCTCATTTACTACTGACAGTAACCTCACAAGTAATTGATCTTAATACTGGTTTACAGATGAGGAAATGTAATGATAAATTGCTTAAGATCACACAACAGTAAATGACAGAGCTGGGTTTTGAAATCAAGAAAGTACTGATTAGAGGCAAAGTAGAGAAATAACCAAAATCTTAGAGATTTAACTGAGGCCATCAGTGCCATGAGCTTTTATATGTGTTTTCATTTAATGAGTATGTACTGTAGCAACTTAGTGTCAGTGTCAGGAAAGTAGTTGAACTCTGTTCTTCTGACTCCTATATGTCTTCACTATTCCTAACCTCTTCTGTAGCCCCTCAAGAATATTAGAACCTTCTGAGCAGCAGGAGAGTTATAACAGGAAATAAAAGATGTTTTTGGCTTTTTGTTGTTTGCTTCTTTGTAATCTGATTGTATTATCTCTCCTTTTGTGTAGGTAAACTTACATAGTGAGAATGACTAGCTTGTACCCACCAAAATCTATATGTTATCATTTTGAGCATTTATGAAACTCAGAGGTGGCACTTATTTAGAATTCATTTGTTCCTTTCTTCAGAACAAATCCTTCTTTTGATCGTGAGTTATAATTTTTAGGTAGATTCTGAATTTGGAGGTTAAAAAAAGTTAAATGATGTATTTTTAAAATGCAATGATTAAATAGCATGACAGATCATAGAGTTGAGATCAAGATGGCTGAATAGACCCAGTAGTATATGTCTCCTTCACAGAGAGGGACCAGAATAGTAAGTAGATACATTTTGAACAGATTGTCTAGGAGAAGACACTAGGATTCACCAGAGAAGAGATGGGAAACACCAGAGATAAGTAAGGAGAGGGTTTGAGGCAGCCTGCATGGCCAGGGACTGACTGAGAGCCAGGAGAGGCTCCTGGACATGGGGAAACAGTGAAAGAGAAACCCCCAGGGCTCCACACTCTGGAACAGGCTTTTATAGTTTTGGATATAGGAAAAACTCTCAACCCACTAGGGCCTTTACCCTGACACATGGAGCTCCAGAAAGGGAACCCACACAGAATCCCACAGGCATCCAAGCCTAGAGCAGCCTCATCTGGATGCCACTTTGAGAGTAGCCTAGATACCCATCATCTACAGACACAGCTGCTGCCACCACATTGCTCCAAGGAGAGAGAGGGGAAACCAAGCACTCCCATGCACCCATGGGAGGGTCCCTGCCACCCTGCTGTGAGCTGCTGTTGAGACTGAGATGTGAGTGGACTGCACTCCCCACAGCTTCTTGTCCAGGCTTCTTGCCTGAGAGGGACCCCACTCTTTCTGGTCCCAGGCCCAAGGCACCATTTTGAGAGTTTAACACTAGGCTGTGCCTCACTGTTAAGCCAAGTTTGAGGCAACATGGCTGCACTCATCACCTAGCCATGGGAAGGACAGGAAAGAGCAAGCTCTCCTAAGCTTAGGACAATACATATCACCTTGCTATAAGCGGCTGTGGGACTGCAGAATAGGCTGCCCCACTCACTGTTGCTTTCAGCAACATTAACACAGACCACTTGGGGGCCAGTGGGTTGCTCCACCACTGCTATGCCATCACCCATACCACTTCAGTTGCCTAGGACCTTAAGAGCCCACTCACACATGTAGCCCAATACTCTCACAACTAGCTTCTGTGAAAGCCACCAGGAGGCCCAAGAATCAGCCCTCCAGGACCCACTAATGCTGCAGCAAGCTAAAGTAAGCTGCTCTGGGGCCTAAAAACAGGGACACTTAATCCATTGCTGCCACCACCAGGGCCCAAATACTGGCTTAGTTGATGTCCAAGTCCCCAGCAAAGCTTCACCACAGCCTCACCTAATAACTACTCTAAGCCACCTAGGAAATCACAGATACCACTGACCCTGTGTATTGCTGAGTGTCATACAAAGATTATACTACCTCAGGTGCCCAAAATCAAAGCCAAAGTATGCTACTCAACCAGAAAAAATACATCTTCAGAATAAAATTCTCCCCTACAAAAGCAATTTTTAAAAATGGGAACAAGTGATTACTATACCAGATGTGTAATTATCAAAGGAAGGACATAAAAAACATGAAAAAGCATGGAAATAGGACACCACCAGAGGACACAACAAGTGTCCAGTAACAAATCCCCATCAAAACAAAATTCCTCAAAATGCCAGATGAGGAATTCAAAATATTGGTTTTAAAGAAGCTCAATGAGATGCAAGATAATTCTGAAAACCAGTACAAAGAAATCAGAAAATCAATTCAGGATATGAATGTGAAACATACCAAGAGATTGATATCTTAAAAAAAAAATGAGCTCGGTGGCTTACCTGTATAATCCCAGCACTTTGGGAGGCTGAAGCAGGAGGATCACTTGAGCATAGGAGTTCAAGACCAGCTTGGGCAACATGGCAAGACCCTGTCTTTACAAAAAAATTCAAAAACTAGCTGGGCATGGTGGTACACACCTGTAGTCCCAGGTATTCAAGAGGCCAAGGTGGGAGGATCACTTGAGACCAGAAAATTGAGGTTGCAGTGAGCTGTGTTTGCACCACTGTGTTCCAGCCTGAGTGACAGAGAGAGATCCTGTCTCAAAAACAAAAAACAAAGCAGAAATTTTGGAATTAAAAAAATGCACTGAAGCAAATACAGAATACATTTGAAAGCTCCAATAATAGACTTGACCAAGTAGGAGAAAGAATCTCAGAACTTGAAGACAGGTCTTTTGAAATAATCCAGTCAGACAAAAAGAAAAAAAAAGGAAAAAAAGATGAACAAAGCCTTCAAGACATATGGAACTACAAAAAGTGACTGAACTTACAAATTATTGGCATTCCTGAGGGGGAAGAGGGATAAAAAAAAGTTTAGAAAATCTAAGGAAATAATTGATGAAAACTTCCCAAATCTAGCAAGAAAGTTAGACATCCAGATATAGGAGTCCCAGCAATCTCCAGGAAAATACGTTGCAAAAAAGACTGCACCATGGCATATTATATTCAGAATGTCTAAAGTAAAAGTGAAAGAAAGAATTTTCAAATTAGCCAGAGAAAAAAGTCTAGTTATCAATATAAGAAACCCCTTCAGTCTAATATCGGACATTTCAGCAGGAACCTTACAGGCCACAAGAGAATAGGATGGCACTTTCAAAGTGCTGAAAGAAAAAAAAAACTATCAGCCAAGAATTTTATATCCTTCCAGAATATACTTCATAGATGAAGGAGAACTAAAGTTTTTATTAGACAAGCAAATGCTCAGACAATCTGTCACCACTAGACTGGCCCTACAGGAAATGGCCAAAGGCGTCTTAAAAATGGAAATGAAAAGTTAATATTCACCATCATGAAAACACCTGGAAATATGAAACTCAGAGTTCTTATAAAGCAATCACAGAAAGGAGGAAGAGAGAAGAATAAAATGACAACATGATAATTTCATCAAACCACAAAGACAAAATTAGAGAAAAAGAAACAAAGAATTTATAAAACAATTTGAAAGCAATTAACAATATGACAGGATCAAAGCCTCACATATAAATATTAACCTTGAATGTAAATGGATTAAATGTTCCACTTAAAAGATACAGATTGGCAGACTGGATTAAAAAGAAAGAAGCATGATCCAACTATATGCTCCCACAAGAAACCCACCTTACATGTAAAAAGACACATAGGCTGAAAGTTAAAGAATAGAAAAAGATATTCCAGGCAAACAGAAACCAAAACCAAGCAGGAGTAGCTATACTTATATCAGATAAAACAAACTTTAAATCAAAAACAGTAATAAAAGACAAAGAAGGTTTTATGTAATGATAAAGGGATCAATTCAGCAAGATATACTCTGGGAACCCTACCCTGGAACACCCAGAGTCACAAAACAAATATTTCTAGGCATAAAGAAATAGACAGCAATACAGTAGTAATAGGGACAGCAATAGACAGATCATTGAGACAGAAAATTAACAAAGAAACATTAGATTTAAGTTGGACTTTAGACTAAACGGACTTAGCAGACATTCGCAGAACATTCTACCCAACAACTATGGAATATACATTCTTCTCTTCAGCACATGGAACATTCTCTGAGATAGACCACATGGTTGGGCCACAAAACAAGTCTTTATAAATTTTTAAAAATCAAAATGATATCAAGTATTTTCTCAGACCACAGTGGAATAAAAACTAGAAATTAATACCAAAAGGAACTTCAGAAACTATACAGACACATGGAAATTAAACAACATGCTCCTGAATGATCACTGGGTCAATGAAGAAATTAAGACAGAAATTTTAAATTTTTTGAATCAGATGAAAATGAAAACACACCATACACAGGATACAGCAAAAATAGTGTTAAGAGGGAAGTTTGTGGCATTAAATGCCTACATTAAAAAATTAACAACCTAACTTCACACCTCAAGGAACTAGAAAAACAAGACAAAGCAAATCCCAAGTTTGCAAAAGAAAGGAAATAACAAAGATCAGAATAGAACTAAATAAGAAATCCCCCAAAAATACAAAGGACCAATGAAATGAAAAGTTGGTTATTCAAAAAGACAGACAAAATTGATAGACCACTCACTAGACTAACCAAGAAAAGAAGGGAGAAGATCCAGATAAACACACAATCAGAAATGAAAAAGGAAACATAACAACTTACACCACAGAAATAAAAAAAATCATCAAAGACTATTATGAACAACTATAGGCTCACAAACTACAAAACCTAGAGGAAATAGATAAATTCCTAGAAACATACAACTTTCTGAGATTGAACCAGAAATAGATAGCACTCCTGAACAGACCAACAATAAGTAGAAAAATTGAATCAGTATTAAAAAAAATTCTACCAAGAGAAAAAAAAAACCTAGAACCAGATGGACTCACCAGAGCAATCAAGCAAGATTAAAAAAAAAAAAGACATCCAAATTGGAGTAGAGTAAGTCAAATTATCCCTGTTCATTGATTATACAATCTTATATCTAGAAATCCCTAAAGGCTCCACCAAAAAACTCTTAGATTTGGTAAAGGCTCGAGATACAAATTTGATGTACAGAAATCAGTAGCATTTCTATATACCATTAAGGACCTAGCTGAGTACCAAATCAAGAAGAAATCCCATTTACACTACTAGCTATACAAAAAAAAAAATATACATAGGAATATATTTAAACAAGAAGGTGAAAGATCTCTATCAGGGGAACTAAAAAACACCGGTGGAAAAAAAACTGTAGATGACACAAGCAAATGGAAAAACATCCCAGTCTTATGGATTGGGATAGCACTGTTCACGATAACAAAGATAGAATTAACCTTAATGTCCATCAAGGGAGAATTGGATAAAGAAAATGTGTGTGTGTGTGTCTGTCGGTGGGTGTAGGTGTGTGTACACACACTAAAAGCCCAGACTTCACCACTGTGTAATATATGCATGTAAGAAATATGCACCTGTCCCCCTAATTATATAAAAGTTAAATTTTTAATAGCATGGTAGAGGGTTGTTTGCTTGAATTACTCAAATGGGCAACTTTTGGTAGTAGAAACTAATTAGACTAACAAGAAGTGTAAAGCATTAAGTAATAAAAGTAATATTAAAAGTTACTTCATAGTTTGGAATGCTTTATGGCTCCAATTTTTAGATCATACTCATATATTTACAATTTAGATTGCTGTTAATTTCTTCTCCCCAGACATTTTGTTTTATAGAGCGATTATAGGTAAACACTAGAAAGTCATGTCTTCTCATGAATCATTAGATGTAACACATTGCCAGATATTACATTCTTTCCTATTATAAGGAATAATTAACAGAAGACAGACTAAATTGCTTTTGCTTATGAAGACGCCATTATGCTATGTATCCTTTAAACTGTTTCCAGTGAGATGGCAAAACTTTGGAACTGTTTGTTAAAGAAGCTGACTACTTTAAATCATTATACTGTGTATATTTGGCAAATAGGAGGCACTCAGTAAATGGCAAGCGAATATTTGAGGTTTTTAAAGATCACTTATGTTTTCTATAAAACTGAATTTCTGATATTTTCTTCAGTTGATCTCCTCAGGATGAAAGTTATACTTCTGTGGGCTGGAAGTGCCTAGAAATGAACATCCTTCCAGGGATGGGGGGTAAGCCTTACCCATGGCTGAAAACTGTGGGGGTGTAAATTTCCAGCTGCTTTACTCCTCGATTGGAATTATTCTGGGGTGTGTATTTTACACTGTTGCCCGAGCTCTCCCCTAAATTTAAGCTTCAGAACCACTGTGGGAGCTTAAGAGTGACATTTCTTGTTGGCTCCCTTCCTCCCTCTCTTATCACCCCCATTCCACCGCAGAACCACCCGCATAAACTACTTGCTCTCAATCCTCGCAGCAAGTTCTGCTTCTGGTTAAGTTGGTGCGGGTCCAACTGAGACATCTCAAATACTACCCCCTCCACGAAGCCCTCCCCATCCTCCAGGTACAGTTAATCCTCATCTCCTTTCTTGTCTTGTGGCACTTTCTTTCTCCTTCTGTTAGAACATTCTGCCTTGGATAAGTTGGGGTTTTTTTTCCTCTCACGTTGCATTGTAAATTTTTCTAGGGTGAGAACAATATCTCATATTTACTTATACATTGGCATTTCTCTTTTTTTATTTTTATTTATTTTTTATTTTATTATTATTATACTTTAAGTTTTAGGGTACATGTGCACAATGTGCAGGTTAGTTACATATGTATACATGTGCCATGCTGGTGTGCTGCACCCATTAACTCGACATTTAGCATTAGGAGATATACCTCCCCCCTCCCCCCACCCCACAACAGTCCCCAGAGTGTGATGTTCCCCTTCCTGTGTCCATGTGTTCTCATTGTTCAATTCCCACCTATGAGTGAGAACACGCAGTGTTTGGTTTTTTGTCCTTGCGATAGTTTACTGAGAATGATGATTTCCAATTTCATCCATGTCCCTACAAAGGATGTGAACTCATCATTTTTTATGGCTGCATAGTATTCCGTGGTGTATGTGTGCCACATTTTCTTAATCCAGTCTATCATTGTTGGACATTTGGGTTGGTTCCAAGTCTTTGCTATTGTGAATAGAGCCGCAATAAACATACATGTGCATGTGTCTTTATAGCAGCATGATTTATAGTCCATTGAGTATATACCCACTAATGGGATGGCTGGGTCAAATGGTATTTCTAGTTCTAGATCCCTGAGGAATCGCCACACTGACTTCCACAATGGTTGAACTAGTTTACAGTCCCACCAACAGTGTAAAAGTGTTCCTATTTCTCCACATCCTCTCCAGCACCTGTTGTTTCCTGACTTTTTAATGATTGCCATTCTAACTGGTGTGAGATGGTATCTCATTGTGGTTTTGATTTGCATTTCTCTGATGGCCAGTGATGATGAGCATTTTTTCATGTGTCTTTTGGCTGCATAAATGTCTTCTTTTGAAAAGTGTCTGTTCATATCCTTTGCCCACTTTTTGATGGGGTTGTTTGTTTTTTTCTTGTAAATTTGTTTGAGTTCATTGTAGATTCTGGATATTAGCCCTTTGTCAGATGAGTAGGTTGCAAAAATTTTCTCCCATTTTGTAGGTTGCCTGTTCACTCTGATGGTAGTTTCTTTTGCTGTGCAGCAGCTCTTTAGTTTAATTAGATCCCATTTGTCAATTTTGGCTTTTGTTGCTATTGCTTTTGGTGTTTTAGACATGAAGTCCTTGCCCATGCCTATGTCCTGAATGGTAATGCCTAGGTTTTCTTCTAGGGTTTTTATGGTTTTAGGTCTAAAGTTTAAGTCTTTAATCCATCTTGAATTAATTTTTGTATAAGGTTTAAAGAAGGGGTCCAGTTTCAGCTTTCTACATATGGCTAGCCAGTTTTCCCAGCACCATTTATTAAATAGGGAACCCTTTCCCCATTTCTTGTTTTTGTCAGGTTTGTCAAAGATCAGATAGTTGTAGATATGTGGCGTTATTTCTGAGGGCTCTGTTCTGTTCCATTGATCTATATCTGTGTTTTGGTACCAGTACCATGCTGTTTTGGTTACTGTAGCCTTGTAGTATAGTTTGAAGTCAGGTAGCATGATGCCTCCAGCTTTGTTCTTTTGGCTTAGGATTGACTTGGCGATGCGGGCTCTTTTTGGGTTCCATATGAACTTTAAAGTAGTTTTTTCCAATTCTGTGAAGAAAGTCATTGGTAGCTTGATGGGGATGGCATTGAAGGTATAAATTACCTTGGGCAGTATGGCCATTTTCACGATATTGATTCTTCCTACCCATGAGCATGGAATGTTCTTCCATTTGTTTGTATCCTCTTTTATTTCATTGAGCAGTGGTTTGTAGTTCTCTTTGAAGAGGTCCTTCACGTCCTTTGTAAGTTGGATTCCTAGGTATTTTATTCTCTTTGAAGCAATTGTGAATGGGAGTTCACTCATGATTTGGCTCTCTGTTTGTCTGTTACTGGTGTATAAGAATGCTTGTGATTTTCGTACATTGATTTTGTATCCTGAGACTTTGCTGAAGTTGCTTATCAGCTTAAGGAGATTTTGGGCTGAGACAATGGGGTTTTCTAGATATACAATCATGTCATCTGCAAACAGGGACACTTTGACTTCCTCTTTTCCTAATTGAATACCCTTTATTTCCTTCTCCTGCCTAATTGCCCTGGCCAGAACTTCCAACACTGAGTTGAGTAGGAGTGGTGAGAGAGGGCATCCCTGTCTTGTGCCAGTTTTCAAAGGGAATGCTTCCAGTTTTTGCCCATTCAGTATGATATTGGCTGTGGGTTTGTCATAAATAGCTCTTATTATTTTGAGATATGTCCCCTCAATACCTAACTTATTGAGAGTTTTTAGCATGAAGGGTTGTTGAATTTTGTCAAAGGCCTTTTCTGCATCTTTCGAGATAATCATGTGGTTTTTGTCTTTGGTTCTGTTTATATGCTGGATTACATTTATTGATTTGCGTTTGTTGAACCAGCCTTGCATCCCAGGGATGAAGCCCACTTGATCATGGTGGATAAGCTTTTTGATGTGCTGCTGAATTCGGTTTGCCAGTATTTTATTGAGGATTTTTGCATTGATGTTCATCAAGGATATTGGTCTAAAATTCTCTTTTTTGTTGTTGTGTCTCTGCCAGGCTTTGGTATCAGGATGATGCTGGCCTCATAAAATGAGTTAGGGAGGATTCCCTCTTTTTCTATTGATTGGAATAGTTTCAGAAGGAATGGTACCAGTTCCTCCTTGTACCTCTGGTAGAATTCGGCTGTGAATCCATCTGGTCCTGGACCCTTTTTGGTTGGTAAGCTATTGATTATTGCCACAATTTCAGAGCCTGTTATTGGTCTATTCAGAGATTCAACTTCTTCCTGGTTTAGTCTTGGGATGGTGTATGTGTCGAGGAATTTATCCATTTCTTCTAGATTTTCTAGTTTATTTGCGTAGAGGTGTTTGTAGTATTCTCTGATGGTAGTTTGAATTTCTGTGGGATCGGTGGTGATATCCCCTTTATCATTTTTTATTGCGTCTATTTGATTCTTCTCTCTTTTTTTCTTTATTAGTCTGCTAGCGGTCTATCAATTTTGTTGATCCTTTCAAAAAACCAGCTCCTGGATTCATTAATTTTTTGAAGGTTTTTTGTGTCTCTATTTCCTTCAGTTCTACTCTGATTTTAGTTATTTCTTGCCTTCTGCTAGCTTTTGAATGTGTTTGCTCTTGCTTTTCTAGTTCTTTTAATTGTGATGTTAGAGTGTCAATTTTGGATCTTTCCTGCTTTCTCTTATGGGCATTTAGTGCTATAAATTTCCCTCTACACACTGCTTTGAATGTGTCCCAGAGATTCTGGTATGTTGTGTCTTTGTTCTCGTTGGTTTCAAAGAACATCTTTATTTCTGCCTTCATTTCGTTATGTACCCAGTAGTCACTCAGGAGCAGGTTGTTCAGTTTCCATGTAGTTGAGCGGTTTTGAGTGAGTTTCTTAATCCTGAGTTCTAGTTTGATTGCACTGTGGTCTGAGAGACAGTTTGTTATAATGTCTGATCTTTTACATTTGCTGAGGAGAGCTTTACTTCCAATTATGTGGTCAATTTTGGAATAGGTGTGGTGTGGTGCTGAAAAAAATGTATATTCTGCTGATGTGGGGTGGAGAGTTCTGTAGATGTCTATTAGGTCCGCTTGGTGCAGAGCTGAGTTCAATTCCTGGGTATCCTTGTTAACTTTCTGTCTCATTGATCTGTCTAATGTTGACAGTGGGGTGTTAAAATCTCCCATTATTATTATGTGGGAGTCTAAGTCTCTTTGTAGGTCACTGAGGACTTGCTTTATGAATCTGGGTGCTCCTGTATTGGGTGCATATATATTTAGGATAGTTAGCTCTTCTTGTTGAATTGATCCCTTTACCATTATGTAATGGCCTTCTTTGTCTCTTTTGATCTTTGTTGGTTTAAAGTCTGTTTTATCAGAGACTAGGATTGCCACCCCTGCCTTTTTTTGTTTTCCATTTGCTTGATAGATCTTCCTCCATCCTTTTATTTTGAGCCTATGTTTGTCTCTGCACGTGAGATGGGTTTCCTGAATACAGCACACTGATGGGTCTTGACTCTTTATCCAATTTGCCAGTCTGTGTCTTTTAATTGGAGCATTTAGTCCATTTACATTTAAAGTTAATATTGTTTGTGTGAATTTGATCCTGTCATTGTGATGTTAGCTGATTATTTTGCTCGTTAGTTGATGCAGTTTCTTCCTAGTCTCGAAGGTCTTTACATTTTGGCATGATTTTGCAGCGGCTGGTACCAGTTGTTCCTTTCCATGTTTAGTGCTTCCTTCAGGAGCTCTTTTATGGTAGGCCTGGTGGTGACAAAATCTCTCAACATTTGCTTGTCTGTAAAGGATTTTATTTCTCCTTCACTTATGAAGATTAGTTTGGCTGGATATGAAATTCTGGGTTGAAAATTCTTTTCTTTAAGAATGTTGAATATTGGCCCTCAC